>NC_000023.11:73674663-73977693 GCF_000001405.40 Homo sapiens | reverse complement strand
GAAAACCCACGCCAAACAAGGACACAAAAACAAGGTATCATTATAGGGTTTGAAGTTTCTGATACACAGAGAGTAACCATGGTAACAACAAAACTTCAATCCCAGACCAACTCCTGACTAATTTCACAAAAACCTCCACGCTAATAGCCTAGATGAAGGAAAGGTGTGCTTATCGCAAAGAAAATACATATATATACCTCAGTATCTACTACTTTATATGTTTGACTCTCAACATTATAATGTATACAAAAACAAAGAAAAAAATACCATCTGAAAAGAATGCAATCTTGAAAACCAGACTTAAATATGAGATGCCAAAACTAACAGAAAATGAAAAGTAACTGTAATACCTTGTGTCCTTCTTACTCCCATTTGTTAGTTCTAGGTTTCTGGAGATGCTCTAAAAACGTCTATGTAGACAATCTTATAATCTACAAATAAAGATTTATTTTTTCCCTTCCAGTCTATATTTCCTTTTCTTGTATTAGGAGTGGTGAGAGAGGACATCTTTGCATTGTTCCCGATCTGAGCAGTATGTCCAGTCTCTCACCATTAATAAGTGGAGTCTGTAAGACTAAATGCAAAAGAAGCTATACATAAGCATTATACTCCAGTTGATAGAGTTGTTTCCAGTAAGGGTAAAAATCAACAATTCTGAAACAGTTATACCTGTATAATGGGATAGTACAATTATGTAAATGAATGGTAAATGTTAGGAGACAGGCTCTTTCCTATTGGAGTGAGAGAGTGAGGACAGACAAACAAGGAGATATGACTAGAATTAACCATGTGGTAATGGATTAGTTAGAAATACCAGTATGAACTCACATTTAACTTAAAAAAATCGATAGTTACATATAAAAATGTGTATAAATATGTAGCTATACATGGGTTAGTATACATATCTATCTATACTTCCTCTGAGAAGAGTTGGCTGTAGAATACAAACCTATAGGCTGGGTGCGGTGGCTCACACCTGTAATCCCAGCACTTTGGAAGGCTGAGGTGGGTGGATCACCTGAGGTCAGCAGTTCAAGACCAGCCTGGCCAACGTGATGAAATCCCATCTCTACTAAAAATACAAAAAAATTAGCCAGGCGTGGTGGTGGGCGCCTGTAATACTTAGCTACTCAGAAGGCAGGAGAATTGCTTGAACCCAGAAGACAGAGGTTGCAGTGAGCCAATATCCACCACTGCACTCCAGCCTGGGCAACAAGAGCAAAAACTCCATCTAAAAAAAAAAAAAAAAACAAAAAACCTATATAATAAATTGTTCTGTTTTCATACTAGCAATGAATGATCCAAAAATGAAATTAAGAAATCAATTCCATACAAAATAGCACCAAAAAGACTAAATCTTTAGGAATAATTCAACAAAACACCTGCAAGATTTGTATAAAGAAAGCTACACAATGTTGTTGAAGAAAATTTTAAAAGACCAAAATAAATGGGGAGATATTTCATGTTTAAGATGCGTTATTGGCTGGGCGCAGTGGCTCACGTCTGTAATCCCAGCACTTTGGGAGGCCGAGGCGGGTGGATCATGAGGTCAGGAGTTCAAGACCAGCCTGGCCAACATGGTAAAACCCTGTCTCCACTAAAAGTACAAAAAAATGAGCTGGGTGCAGTGATGGGCACCAGTAATCCCAGCTACTCGGGAGGCTGAAGCAGGAGAATTGCTTGAACCCGGGAGGTGGGATTTGCAGTGAGTCAAGATCGTGCCACTGTACTCCAGCCTGGGTAACAGAGCAAGAATCCATCTCAGAAGAAAAAAAAAAAAAAAAAAGATGCGTTATTATAGCTAAGATGGTAATTCTCCCAAAACTAATCTATATAGATTCATTACATTCCCTATCAAAATAACAGCAGGCTTTTTTCAGAAATTAACAAGTTTATTCTAAAATTCACATAAAAATGCAAAAGACCCTGAACAGACAAAAGTACAGATTTGGACAACTTCTATTGCCAGATTTAAAAATTATGCAAAAGATTTAAATACACATTTCACCAAAGAAGAATGGCTAATAAGAACATGAAATATTTCCTACTCCATTAGTCATTAAGGAAATGCAATAAAACCACAATGAGATAATTTTACTTTCACAAAAATGGTTTTAATAAAAGACAGTAATAAATGTAGACAAATATGTAGAAAATCACTAACCCTCATATATTGCTGATAGGAATGTAATGTAGTACAGTCACTTTGGAAAAGAGTTTGCCAGATTCTTAAAAAGTCAAATTACCATATTATCCAAAAAATCCTACATAAGAGAAATGAAAGCACGTCCGCTTAAATATTTCCACATGAATGTCAACAGACGCATAATTGATAATTGCCAAAACACAGAAACTACTTAAATTCCCATCAAGTGTTTAATGGAGAAAGAAAATGAGACATATTGACACAATTGAATATTATTTACAAATAAACTAAATGAAAGGCTGATACATATAATAATATAGACAAACCTCAAAATAATTAACCCATGTAAAAGAACTGAGACATAAAATACTATATGTTATATGATTCTAATTGTATGGAAGGTCCAGAAAGGGCAAATCAACATAGATGAAAGTAGATTAGTATTTGCCTGGGGGTGAGGATGGGAACAAAGGTTAACTGTAAAGTGGTATGAAAAATGTTACTGGGGTGGTAAAAACATTACAAAACTGGAATAATGGTGTTAGTTGCAGAACTCACTAAATTTACTAAAAATAATTTAATTGTACCCTTAAAATGAGTAAATTATATAAGTTTTGCCCAAATAAAGTTTTTTTTTAAATTGTAATGGTCTAAACACCACCAGTAAAAGGATGAACACTGTCACATGGAATAAAACACAAGCCAACCCACCTATCTATTTAGCCTACTTACCTACCTAAAAACCCAACCACCCACCTACTTACTGTGAAATACATACATACACAAACTATAAAGGCATACAATGATTAAAAGTACAAGGGTGGAGAAAGATACAGCATAAAACACTAACCAAAGAAATAGGTTGAAAATATTTATTAATATGAAACAAAATAGACATCAGAACAGGAAAGATTATCAAAGGATAAAGAGAAACCTCATGAAAAGACAGTTATTTCCCCAAGAACACATAATAATCTTATAGGTATACGCACCTAATCAAAGGTTTTCAAAATGAATAAGACAATAAATGAGGTATGAAAAAACAAGTAGGCATATCTAAAATTAGTTTGAGATTTGAACACTGCTAAGAAATTAATAAAACAAGTAAAAAATCACAAATGATATGGAAGGCCTGAACATTACTATCAAACAACTTCATATAATGATAGAACACTTTAAGCAACAACAGAATACATATTCTTCTCAATTATATGTAGCATTCACAAAGACAGATCATGTTTTGGCTTATTAAATAAACCTCAATTAATTATTTAAACATAGAAAAAAATACAAGGTGCATCCTGAGATCATACAAATTAGAAATGAAAAAAAAAAATCTGGAAAATTCCCTCAAACAATTGGATATGAAACAAGAAACTTTCAAATAACACATAGGTAACAAACAAAGTCTCATGAGAAATTAAAACATGGATTGAACTAAAGAACAATATAAATACAATATATCAAAACATATAGGATGCAGACAAAGCAGTGTTAACAGGGAAGTTTATAGCATTCAATATATACATTAAAAAATAATATCTAAAGTCAGTAACCAAAGTTTGTCTCAAAGGAACCAGAGAAAGAAGAGCAAAGTAAATATAAAGCAAGATGAAGAAAGGGAATAATAAACATTGAGAGCAGGAATCCAAAACAAAAAACGAAAAAACAGAAACATACAAAAGAAAGAAATCAATAAAACCAAAAGCTGAGGCTGGGCACGGTGGCTCATGCCTGTAATCCCAGCACTTTGGGAGGCCAAGGCAGGTGGATCACCTGAGGTCAGGAGTTCGAGACCAGCCTGGCCAACATGGCGAAACCCCATCTCTACTAAAAATACAAAAATTAGCCGGGTGTGGTGGCGGGCGCCTGTAATCCCAGCTACTCCGGAGGCTGAGGCAGAAGAATCGCTTGAACCCAGGAGGTGGAGGTTGCAGTGAGCCGAGATCATGCCATTGCACTCCAGCCTGGGCGACAAGAGCAAGACTCTGTCTCAAAAAAAAAAAAAAAAAAAGCTGATTATTTGACAACACTGACAAAACTGAACAACCTCTAGCCAGGCTCACAGAAATAGAGAAGATATAAATCATCAGTACCATAAAATGATGCCAAAGACATTAA
The DNA here is from genome assembly GCF_000001405.40 of Homo sapiens. Classification (NCBI taxonomy): domain Eukaryota; kingdom Metazoa; phylum Chordata; class Mammalia; order Primates; family Hominidae; genus Homo; species Homo sapiens. The sequence goes on along the minus strand of NC_000023.11, from coordinate 73,973,426 downwards.
GAGGATAATGAAGGAATACAATTCTATGCCTATGAATTTGCTAAGTTACATGAAATGGAATGATTATGTGAAAGACACAGACTACCAAAATTTGCCAAGAAAACCTGAATAGCTCTATTTCTAGTAAATAAGTTAAATTGAAAGTTATAAACCTCCTAAAGATAAAAACTGTAGGCCTACATGGTTTCAATGGTGGATTCTACCAAACAATCAAGGAAGAAACAATATCAATTCTACACAATTAGTTCATTAAATAGAAGGGGAGAAAACATATTCCAATTACGAGGCTAGCATTACCCTGATCACAAAAGCAGAGAAAAACATTACAACAAATGAGAATTACAAATAAACCCAGACATTTACGTTAAAGTGGCTTTTGACAAAGGTACCAAGAACGTACAATGGAGAAAGGACAGCCTCTTCAGTAAATGGTGTTGGGAAAGTTGTATATCCACATATAGAAGAATCAAATCAGACCTTTGTCTCATACCATATACAGAAAAGAACTCAAAATGAATTAAAGACATTAGACCAGAAACTGTAAAACTACTAGAATAAAACATAGGGAAAATGCTCCACAACATTGGTCTGTGCAAAGATTTCATAAATATGACCTCCAAAAGCACAGACAACTAAAACAAAAATTTTAATTTAAAATGGGATTGCATCAAACTAAAAAGTTAACTACACAGCAAAGGAAACAATTGAGTAAAGCAACAACCCACAAACTGGGATAAAATATTTGCAAATCACATATGAAATAATGAGCTAATATTCAAAATATATGGAACTCCAACAATTCAATAGCAAGAAAACCAAGAACCCAATTTAAAAATGGGCAAGGGACCTAAACATACATTTCTCAAAAGAAAACATACAAATGGTCAATGGACATATGAAAAACTGTTCATTATCACTTGCAAATTAAAACCACAATGAAGTATCACCTCATACCTGTTAGCATGGCTATTACCAAAAACAAAAAAGATGTTAAGTGTTGGTGAGGTTGTGTACAAAAGGGAATCCTTGTGCAGTTGGTGAAGAATGTCAATTAATATAGCCATTATGGAAAACAGTACAGGTTCCTCAAAAAACTAAAAATAAATTTACAGATAATTCAACAATCTCCCTTTTGGGTACATATCCAAAGGAATTGAAATCAGTATGTCAAAGAGATATCTGCACTCTTGTGTTCATTACATCATTATTTGCAATAGCTAAGATATAGGAGCAACTTACATGTCCATCATCAGATAAATGAATAAAGAAAATATGATATACGTACATAACAGAATACTATTCAGCCTTAAAAAAGAAGGAAATCCTGTTATTTGTGACAACATGGATAAACCTGGAGGACATCATGTGAGTGAAAAAAGCCAGGCACCAAAAGACAAATACCACAAGATCTCACTTATATGTAGAATCTAAGAAAGTCAAACTCATAGACATAGAGTAGAATAGTGGTTACCAGTGACTGGAAAAGTGAGGTGGACGGGGAAAGGGGAGATGTTGATCTACTGCACACAATGGTGAGTATAATAAATAATAATGTACTGCATTTTTCATAATTGCTAATAGATTAGATTTTAATTGTTTTCACCATTAAAAAACTGGTAAGTATGTGAGGTAATGGATTTAATTAGGCTGATTCAATCATTCCATGATATAAACATATATCAAAATATCACACTGTGCCCCAAATATATAATATACACAGTGTTTAAAAAAAATTTAAATAGGAAACTACAAGTCAATCTAATGGGCATAAATAGAAACTTGTCAACAAAATATTTACAAATCAAATCCAGCAATATAAAAAAATGATAGGCCAGGCATGGTGGCTCATGCCTGTAATCCCAGCACTTTGGGAGGCCAAGGCGGGTGGATCACGAGGTCAGGAGATCGAGACCATCCTGGCTGACACGGTGAAACCCCATCTCACTAAAAATACAAAAAATAATTAGCCGGGCATGGTGGCGGGCACCTGTAGTCCCAGCTACTCGGGAGGCTGAGGCAGGAGAATGGCGTGAACCCAGGAGGCGGAGCTTGCAGTGAGCGAGATAGTGCCACTGCACTCCAGCCTGGGTGACAGAGCAAGATTCCGTCTCAAAAAAAAAAAAAATAATAATACATCACAATCAGCTGGGTTTCATACAAGGAATGCAAAGTTGGTTCAACATTTAAAAACAATCAATAAATAAAATTCAGTATCAATAATTTAATGAAGACCGCACAATCATGTCAATACAGGAAAACGCATTTGGCAAATTCAACATATTTTCAAAATAAAAACTCCCAGAAAACTAAAAATAGAATGGAGGTGCTTAACCTAATAAAGGGCATCTATGAAAGACCTACAGGTAACATGCAGAGTGGAAAACTACTAGTAAAGTATGCCCTCCCACCCTGCCCTATTCAACATTGTATTAGAAGGCCTATAAAGCCAGAAAAACAATTATAGGGCACATACATTGCAAAGGAAGAAATAAAAAAAGACTCTTACTTGCAGAAAACAATTGTGTGTCTGGAAAATATCAAATAATCTATATTTAAAAAAACCTTTTAGGCTGGGCACGGTGGTTCACGCCTGTAATCCAGCACTTTGGGAGGCGGGGGGGGGGGGGGGGGGGCAGATCACAAGGTCAGGAGTTCAAGACCAGCCTGGCCAACATAGTGAGATTCCGTCTCTACTAAAAATACAAAAAAATAGCTGGGCGTGGTGGCGGGTGCCTGTACTCCCAGCTACTTGGGAGGCTGAGGCCGGAGAATCGCTTGAACTTGGGAGGCGGAGGATGCAGTGAGCAGAGATCGTGCCACTGCACTCCAGCCTGGGCAACAGCGCGAGACTCCATCTCAAAAAACAAAAACAAAAAAAAACAAAAAACCTTTTAGAACAAAAATGGTGAGTTGAACAAGGTTGCAGAACACAAGGCCAATAAACAAAAATCAATCATGTTCACATAACAGCAGCTATAAATAACTGGAATTTGAAATGAAAAAAATACAAACAACACAATTTTAATCACAGCACCCCCAAAATGAAGTTCTTACATCATTTGTTAAATCTAACAAAATATGTCAGGATTTATAGGCTGAAAACTACAAAACATTGATGAAATAAATGAAAAAAGATCTGGATAAATAGGAAATACTAGGTTCATGAATCAGGAGACTCAGTGAGGTACAAATGCTCTCCAATTTCATCTAATAGATTCAATAACATACCAACCAAAATTTCAGCAACGTCTTCTTGTAGCTATTGCCAAATTTATTCAAAAATTTAAGTTAAAAAGCAAAGAAATTAGCGAAAACAATCATGAAAAATAAAAAAGGTTGAAAGTTCATACTACCTCATTTATAGACTTAAAATAAATACTTAGTAATACCATGTGGTATTGGAGAAACAATAAATACAAATATCAATGGAAAAGAATAAGCAGTCCGGAAAAATACCATGCAAATCTAGTTATTTTCAACACAAATGCAAAAACCATACAATATAGGAAAGATAAGCTCTTTTTGAGACCAAGTCTCGCTCTGTCGCCCAGGCTGGAGTGCAGTGGCACCATCTCGACTTACTTCAACCTCCGCTTCCCGAGTTCAAGCGATTCTCCTGCCTCAGACTCCCGAGTAGCTGGGACTACAGGCGCCTGCCACCACACTTGGCTGATTTTTGTATTTTTAGTAGAGACGGGGTTTCACCATATTGGCCAAGCTGGTCTCGAACTCCTGACTTCGTGATCCGCCGGCCTCGGCCTCCCAAAGTGCTGGGATTGCAGGCGTGAGCTACTGTGCATGGCCTGCAATCTCTTTAACAAAAGGTGCTGAAACAACTAGAGGACCACATACCAAAAAAAGTGACAACATATTACCTCGCTCATTCAAATATTAATTAAAATGGATCATGGACCTAAAGGTAAAAAGATAAACTATATGACATCTACAAGGAATAATGTGAAAACACTTGAGCATTTTTAGAAACTGTAATAAAGGTACAATATTAATGCTAACTGATAAAATTTTTACAGGAACTTAGGCAGTTATAAAACCACTTTAAATGTATAGTAAAGTAGAACAAACAAGTAAATATAGATAACAGGACTCAGTTTTCTTACTATTAGAGAAAGAAGTTTTGTTGTTGTTGTTGTTGTTTTGAGACTAAGTCTTGCTCTGTCACCCAGGCTGGAGTGCAATGGTGCGATCTCTGCTCACTGCAACCTCCGCCTCCTGGGTACAAGCGATTCTCCTGCCTCAGCCTCTCAAGTAGCTGGGATTACAGGTGCGCACCACTATGCCTGGCTAATTTTTTGTATTTTTAGTAGAGACGAGGTTTCACCACGTTGGCCAGGCTGGTCTCGATCTCCTGACCTCATGATCTGCCCACCTCGGCCTCCCAAAGCGCTGGGATTACAGGTGTGAGCCACAGCACCCAGACTGTTTTGTTTTTTTTTTTTTTTTGGAGACAGAGTCTTGCTCAGTTGCCCAGGCTGGAGTGCAGTGGTGCAATCTTGGCTCACTGCAACTTCCACCTCCTGTGTTCAAGTGATTTTCTTGCGTCGTGGCGCATGCCTGTAATCCCAGCTACTCGGGACACTGAAGCAGGAGAATCGCTTGAACCCAGGAGGCAGAGGTTGCAGTGAGCCGAGATTGCACCACTGCACTCCAGCCTGGGCGACGGAGCAAGATTCTGTCTCAAAAAAAAAAAAAAAACAAAAAAAATTAGCTGGGTGTGGTGATGGGCACCTGTAATCCCAGCTACTTGGGAGGCTGAGGCAGAAGAGTCACTTGAACCCGGGAGGCAGAGGTTGCAGTGAGCCGAGATCATGCCACTGCACTCCAGCCTGGGCAACAGAGCAAGACTCGGTCTCAAAAAATAAATATATAAATAAAATAAGCAAGTATGAGAGCTAATCTCAAATAAGAGTCAGATATCACTGTACATTCATGTTTACTTTAATGGACACATAGCTACATACATGTGTATGTAAAAATAATTAAATAGATCCAAACATTACTATGCATACATATATTTTCTAGCTTTCTGTTTAGGAGGTACAGAATCAGTGCTACCTCAGTAACTAAAAGGGCACTCAGTGCTCAGACCATGGTTTCTAAATGTATTTTTCAATAAAAAGTACCCGGGCTCCTTATTAAAATGGCTAAAAGTAAGGCTGGTGCAGGGAGAATACAAGATAAGCCTATACTACCTTGTACCAGAAAGTAAGCAATAGCTCCAAAAAAAAGATGTGGGATTATGTATAATTAACAAATTAATAATTATTCACGAATCCAGAATGATAGAAACAGATGACCAAATAAATAAGGGAGAGAAAAAAAATCTTCCTTAGAGAAAATTTCCCAAAAATAAATACATATATACAGGTAGATACCCCTCCAGATATGGAGGTTAATTCTGCTTCCCTTAAATGTGGACTAAATTTAGTAACTCACTTCCAAAGCATAGAGGATGGAAACAGAAAAACAGTAACTTTACAGTGGAGAAACCGGGCAACCTGAACTAAGTGATTAAGAGTAACATCCTCAGTAATAAGTAATGCTAAAATCGTGTATATATATATATATATATGTATGTATACATATATGTGTGTATATATGTATACATGTGTATATGCATACATATAGGTATACGTGCGTATATGCACACATATATGTATACGTGCGTATATGCACGCATATATGTATACGTGCGTATATGCACGCATATATGTATACGTGCGTATATGCACGCATATATGTATACGCGTGTATATGCATGCATTTATGTCTACGTGTGTATATGCATGCATTTATGTCTACGTGTGTGTATACATGTCTACGTGTGTATGTGTATACATGTCTACGTGTGTATACATGTCTACGTGTGTATGTGTATACATGTCTACGTGTGTATATGTATACATGTCTACGTGTGTATATGTATATATGTATATATGTGCGTATATGTATACATGTATGTATATGTGTGTATATGTGTGTGTGTATGTATACATATATATCCTGATATGAAGCTATGAGAATGGTATATCTGTGTGGTATTCTTCCCCAAAATTCATATCATTTAATCATGAGACTATATCAGACAAATCCAAATTGAGAAATATTCTACCAAATACCTAACCAGTACACTTTTTAAATCTGTCAAGGTCATGAGAAACAGGGAAAGACTAAGAAACCATGGGGACTATGATACTTTGGATTGCATTATGAAAAAACCATTCCAAACCAAATCATTTTTTTAAATTAGAGATATAAATCCAACAATATGAAGAAAATCACAGTAAATATAATGGGGCTTCACAGTAAGTGAAAGACAGTACCAGACTAGACTAGAAAACATCATCTGGTTCTGGTAGGTAGAGAGCTAGAGAGAGCATCACTTTCACCCTTACAAATAAAGAGGGTAGGAGAATAGGAAAGAAGTTCACAACTTTCCTTGAATCCCCCAGAGACAGGAGTCTTACTGGGGCCAACCAAAATCTAAGTTGTGGTGCCCCAAAGGAATGATGAGACACACCCCCGGCTTACCTGTGAAAGTAGATGCAACCAGACATCAGTAAGAGATCAACTAAAATGGTTGGTCAATTGGCAAAGGGTAAGTGTTAACTGGCAAGTAAGTATGAAGCCCAGGGTGGGGCAGCACAGAATTGAGAGGTCTGCAGACTATTCAGGTATTTTCTCCACTAACCCATTCAAGAGATCACACAAAAGATTGATGACAGTCTTGAGAAACTACCCTCAAGGTACACACCTGGGAGAGGGGAACAAAATCTGTTTTGGGAAGGTCAAAGAAATCTGTTCAGATCCTACTCCATCTACAAAACAAAGTCCTTACTCAGTGGGAGGAAGGGCAACAAACACTGTGGCCATTAGGATAGTTGTAAAAACTGTGACCCTGGGAGAATGAAATAGAGAGAAAAAAAAAATTAGCTATGAAGAAAGAGCAGAAATACACAATGGGTCCAAAATTACAGCAGGAGGAAGAGGCAGGAGTACTGAGTATAACACAACCACGAGACCCCAGGACACTGGTGCCTAAAACTAAGCCTTAATTAATAAAACAACAGATAGGGCACACTCCTGCCAACCAGTGACCAGGCTAAAAATGTCATATAGCAACACCAAGAGGACCACTACTGAGAAAGAAACAATAATGTGGAAACATTCTCTGAGACATAGCACAAAGGGAAGACTTAACCTTAGGGTGACATTTAGGAAAACCAGAGGCCATCTTCCCCTGCCAAACACCTTGCTTGCGTCACAGGGAAAACTGAGACAGTTTCCTTGCCCTCAGCTCCAGAGCAGCAATGCAGAGGTTTTGCCCGAGGGGAAAGGCAGGCTGCAATAACAGAGTTCTGAAGGTATCCCCAAAATAAATGACTTAATTTGGAACACAATGGGGAGAAAAAAAAGCCTAAGGATGTTCCCAATAACAATAGAGATTTGGGTGGTAAGCTATTAAGAGAAGATTAGTAACTACTTGAGAGCAACAAGCTATAGAAACACCAGCTAGAAGACAGCCAGAGACCCAGAGAAAAAGACAAATAAGAGCCTACCTGGGATCTGAGCCAACCTCAAAGGTTGGTCTCAAATACTATCTCTATAAAAGGGCCCAAATTTGGATCACATAGTTAGGCAATTTATGCCCCTGGACATGGTCAAAACCAATAGAGTAATCAGTCTGAAATTAGTGCAAACTAATGATTAGGTGAGATAACAGAGGCTGACAGATTAACAGAGAAATTAGAAAAAGACACTGAAAGACAGCCCTGCTAAAACCAATCATTCCATAGTGACTATGCTTATTCCCAAAGCTGTCCCACTAAAGAGGGACACCAAAGGATGTACACTGTAGGTTAAAAAACACATCACAGCCAGGCGCGGTGGCTCACACCTGTAATCCTAGCACTTTGGGAGACTGAGGCGGGTGGATCACCTGAGGTCAAGAGTTCGAGTCCAACCTGGCCAACACGGTGAAACCTCCTCTCTACTAAAAATACAGAAATTAGCCAGGCATGGTGGCGGGCACCTCTAATCCCAGCTACTCTGGAGGATGAGGCAGGAGAATCGCTTGAACCCAGGAGGCGGAGGTTGCTGTGAGCCGAGATCGTGCCATTGCACTCCAGCCTGGGCAACAGAGCAAAAACTCCGTCTCAAAAAAAAAAAAAAAAAAAACCAAAAAACAACAACAACAAAAAAAACACTATAAGTTCTGGCAAATAACTAAACAAAGAAGTAAACAATACCAATGAGCCCCACAGTAGAGGAGGGGGTAGCAGTATCCAGAAATCACTGCAATATATTATCTAAAATTTGTAGGTTTCAGCAAAAAGTATGAGGTATTTTTTAAAAAAAGTGAGATTCATATAAGAAACCAAAAAGCAAGTAACAGAAAAATGCCTTGAGAAGGTGATATAGAGTTTACATTTGAGGCCCAAGACTGTTATACTTAAAAAGGCCTGCCTTCAAGGATGGCCCTTAGCTGGCATCTGAGAACCTGGATTTCAAGAGAGTTGCCACTATTCCCTGATAAGAATGGCTCACTGTGGCTAAACTGTATAAACAATGGGGTTTGTGCTGAACACCTGCTTTCCTTCCGCAAGCCTGGAATTTTGCTATGTGCTAGGCAAAGGGTGCCTGCATGACCAGCCCCCAATAAAAGCTATGGTCACTGAGCCTCTAATGAGCTTCCCTAGTAGACAACACTTCATATGTGTTCTCAGAATGCATTCCTGGAGAAATGAGGTATGTCCTGTGTGACCATACTTGGAAGAGAACACTTGGAGGCTTGCACCTGGCTCTAACAAACTTTAGCCCCAGACATCTTTTCCCTTCGCTGATTTTGCTTTGTATCCTTTCACAGGAATAACTCATATCCATGAGTACAATTATACGCCAGTCCTGTGGGTCCTTGCAAATCACTGAAACTACCCTTGTGCTGGGGCTCGCCAACGCAAAAGCACAGATCTCAAACACAGCAGACAAAGACATCAAGGAAGCTAATACAAACATGTTCAGAGAACTAAAGAAAACCACACTTAAAGAAGTAATGTGCCAGGCGCAATGGCTCACGCCTGTAATCTCAGCACTTTGGGAGGCCGAGGTGGGTGGAACACCTGAGGTCAGGAGTTCAAGACCAGCCTGGCCAACATGGTGAAACCCTGACTCTACTAAAAATACACACAAAAAAGAAAAAATATTAGCCAGGCCTAGTGGCAGGTGCCTGTAATTCCAGCTACTCAAGAGGCTGAGACAGGAGAATCGCTTGAACTGGGGAGGTGGAGGTTGTGGTGAGCCGAGATCGCACCACTGCACTCCAGCCTGGATGACAGAGCAAGGCTCCATCTCAATCAAACAAAAAAAACCCCAAGACCCTAGCAGGCAGAGACACAAGCAGCTGGACGTTGAAAGGAACACAGCAGCAGCAGAAGACACAAGCGGCTGGACGTCAAGAGGACGTCAAGGGGAGGATGCCAGTGGAAGAGCACACCAACAGATGCTGGCAGGCCATCAAATGACCGGTTGAATGACGTGGAGTTTGGCCTGGGCAGTCGGAGGAGAGCCTGGGCAACCAAGCAGCCTAACGCCAGGGGAAAACCCTATCTCTTCTGGCAACCCTATCTGTTGGAGCTACTTCCACTCAATAAAACCTTGCACTCAAGCCCACGTGTGATCCAATTCTTCCAGTACAACAAGGCAAGAACCCCAGGATACAGAAAGTTCTCTGTCCTTGCCATAAGGCAGGGGGTTTAATTGTGCTGACTAACACAAGCTACCTATGGACGGCTAAACTAAAAGAGCACCCTGTAACAAATGCCCACTGGGGCTTCAGCTGTAAACATTCACTCCTAGAGGGCCGGGTGCAGTGGCTCCTGCCTGTAATCCCAGCACTTTGGGAGGCTGGGGCAGGTGGATCACGAGGTCAGGAGTTCAAGGCCAGCCTGACCAACATGGTGAAATCCTGTCTCTACTAAAAATACAAAAATTAGCCAGGCATGGTGGCACACGCCTGTAATCCCAGCTATTTGGGAGGCTGAGCAGGAGAATCGCCTGAACCTGGGAGGCGGGGGTTGCAATGATCCGAGATCGCACCACTACACTCCAGCCTGGGCAACAGAGTGAGTCTCCATCTCAAAAAACAAAAACAAAATTCAACCCTAGACACTGCCGTGGGGTCAGAGCCCCGCAGCCTGCCTGACTGCATGCTCCACCTAGAGTTTTGAGCCAGCAGGCACTGAAGAAGCAATCCACACCCTCATCGCGTGCCCTGCGAGGGGAACAAGGGAACTTTTCCTGTCTCACTTCCAGCAGGGGAAGAACATACAACCATTTTGAAATACATAACAGCATTCTGTTCATATCAAGGCCTCCACTCAAGACAAACTACTTAATTAGAGCCTAACTGACCTGGAGAAAGGGAAATACCCATTACCTGCCCCTCTAGCCTTTCTCTTGGGGTAAAGGAACTACCCAACTCAGCCCCCTCTAGCCATCATATCCCATATAAGTGGAGGATAGAGAAGACTGAGAAGCAGTTGCAAAGTTCGCAGCCCAGGAGCACAGGCTAAGAATTAATCGTAGGTATACAGAACATTTCCACTTACCATACATCTTACCACCACATCACTAAAGGCCTGTGTACCGAAGTTCCTTTTACTCAATACATCATGTCTGGCTTTCAAAAAAAAAAAAAAAATTACAAGGCATTTTAAAAAGTAAAAAACATTGCTTGAAGAGAAATAGCAAGCATCAGTACCAGACAGATATGTCATGGGTGTTGAAATTATCACACTGGAAATTTAAAATAACTCCGATTTGATTAACATACTAAGGGCTCTAAGGAAAAAAGTAGACAATATGCAAAAATACATGTGTAATGTAAGCAGAGATGCAGAAAGAATCAAAAACAAATGCTAAAGATCTAAAACACTACAACAGCAATGAAGAATGACTTTGATAGACTCTGTACACTGGACACAGCTGAGGAAAAGAATCTCTGAACTTGAGGATATGTCAATAAAAACTCTCAAAACTAAAAATCAAAGAGAAATGACTAAAAAAAAAAAAAGAACAACAACAACAACCGGCCAGGCGCGGTGGCTCACGCCTGTAATCCCACCACTTTGGGAGGTTGTGGCAGGTGGATCACGAGGTCAGGAGTTCAAGACCAGCCTGGCCAAGATGGTAAAACCTCGTCTCTACTAAAAATACACAAATTAGCTGGGTGTGGTGGCAGGCGCCTGTAATCCCAGCTACTCAGGAGGCTGAGGCAGAGAATCGCTTGAACCTGGGAGGCAGAGGTTGCAGTGAACTGAGATCGTGCCACTGTACTCCAGCCTGGGCAACAGAGTGAGACCCCATCTCAAAAAAAAAAAAAAAAAGAACAGAATATTGAAGAACCGTGCAACCATAAAAGGTGTAACATGCATGTAACTGGAATAACAGAGGAGAAAAAATGGAAAAGTAGTATTTGAAGCAATAATGATGGAGAATTTTCCCCAAATTAATGTCAGACACCAAACTACAAATTCAGGAAGCTAAGAGAACACCAAACAATATAAATGCCAAAACAAACAAACAAAACTACACCTAGGCATATCCTACTCAGCCTGCAGAAAATCAAAGATACAGGAAAAAATCTTCAAAGAAACCGCCCAGTGGAGAAAAAAACACCTTACCATAGAGGAGTAAAGATAATTATATCTGACATCTCAGAAAACATGCAAGCAAGAAGACTGAAATACTTAAGAGTTTTTAGAGAGAGAGGAAAAAAAAAAACCTAGAATTCTGTACCTGCAAAATCATCCTTCAAAACTAAAGGAGAAATACTCTTTCTCAGACAAAAACAAATTGAAGGAATTTGTTGTAAGTAGATCTAGCTTGTCAGAAACGTTTTTCAAAAAAAGTTCTTCAGGGAAAAGGAAAACTATACAGCTCAGAAACTCAGATCTACATAAAGAAAGGAAGAAGAATTTCTTCTTGATCAGAAAAGGAATAAGTAAAGCTATTATAAAAACTTTTATTATTTTATTCTTAATTAATCAGTTAAGTTTGTTCAAAGTAAGAATACTAACAATATATTCAATGATTATAGTTTATGTACATATGAAATGAATGATAGCAAAGACACAAGGGAGAAAAAAGAGGAATTAGAACTATTTTGTTATTAAAAAGTACTTGCACTATCAATGAAGTAATGCAGTGTTACTTCAAAATGGACTTGTAAATATATATTGCAAGCTCTAGGGCAACCACTAAAAAAGGTAAAATAGACCAAATAGACCAATACCTTGAAAGAAACAAGGTGCCAAAACTCACAGAGAAGGAGAAAATAATATACACTATGAACAAGTGGGGTTTATATCAGGTATACAAGACTGGTTCAACATTTGAAAATCTACTAATGCAATCCATAATATCAGCAGGCTAAAGAAGAAAAACCACATGATCATTTAAATGGATGGAGAAAAAGCATTTCACAAAACCCAACTCCCATTCATAGTAAAAACAACTCAGCAAACTTGGAATAGAGGGGAACTTCCTCAACTTTATAAAGAACTTAACAACTAACAACATACTTAAAGGTAAGAAACTGGCTGGGCGCAGTAGCTCACGCCTGTAATCCCAGCACTTTGGGACACAGAGGCAGGCGGATCACCTGAGGTCAGGAGTTCGAGACAAGTCTGGCCAACATAGTGAAACCCTGTCTCTATTAAAAATTTAAAAATGAGCTGGGTGTGGTGGCAGGCACCTGTAATCCCAGCTACTAGGGAGGCTGAGGCAAGAGAATCGCTTGAACCCGGGAGGCAGAGGTTGCAGTGAGCCAAGATCGTGCCATTGCACTCCAGCCTGGATAACAAGAGTGAGACTCCATCTCAAAAAAAAGAAAAAAAAAAAAGGTAAGAAACTGAACACCTTTCCATTAAGATCAAGAACAAGGCAAGCATGTCTCCTCTCACCGCTCCTTTCCAATATTGTACTGGAAGTCCTACCTAATGAAATAAGACAAAAAAAAAGGAAATAAAAGGTACACACACTGGGAGGGAAGAACTCACACTGTCTTTGTTCACAGATAACATGATCATCTATGTAGACATTCCAAAACAATCAACCAAAAAAAACCAAGGTTCATATTCAGTAGCAAGGCCGGGCGCGGTGGCTCATGCCTGTAATCCCAGCACTTTGGGAGGCCTAGGCGGGGGGATCACCTGAGGTCAGGAATTCGAGACCAGCCTGACCAACATGGAGAAACCCTGTCTCTACTAAAAATACAAAATTAGCCAGGCGTGGTGGCACATGCCTGTAATCCCAGCTACTAGGGAGGCTGAGGCAGGAGAATCACTTGAACCTGGGAGGCGGAGGTTGTGGGGCGCCGAGATCGCGCCATTGCACTCCAGCCTGGGCAATAAGAGTGAAACTCCGTCTCAAAATATATATACACACACACACACACACACATACAGTAGCGAATTGCTTCCCAATATACCAGCAATGAACAGGTGGAATTAAAAACAAAATAGCATATACACTAGCAGCCCCAAAAATGAAATATTTAGGTATAAATCTACCAAAATACATACAAGATCTATATGAAAAAAAAAAACTACAAAAGTCTAATGAAAGAAAAAAAAATTACACAAATGGAGAGATATTCTATGTTTGTGGATACAAAGACAATACTGTCAAGATGTCACTTCTTCCCAACTTCATCTACAGATTTCATGCAATTCCAAACTCCCAGCATATTTGTGGATATCAGCAAACTGATTGTGAATTTTATATGGAGAGCCAAAAGACTCAAAATATCCATCACAATATTGAAGGGGAAATAATAAAGTCACTGCGCCAGGCACAGTGGCTCACGCCTGTAATCCCAGCACTTTGGGAGGCCAAGACGGGCAGATCACTTGAGGTCAGGAGTTCGAGGCCAGCCCGGCCAACATGGTAAAAGCCCGTCTCTACTAAAAATACAAAAATTAGTTGGGTGTGGTGGTGTGTGCCTGTAATCCCAGCTACTTGGGAGGCTGAGGCAGGAGAATCGCCTGAATCCAGGAGGCAGAAGTTGCGGTGAGCCAGGATTGTGCCACTGCACTTCAGCCTGGGCAACAGAGCGAGACTCAGTCTCAAAAAAAAAAAAAAAAAAAGAATAGTCACTGCTTGACTTCAAGACTTAATAAAAAGCTATGGTAATCCAGACAGTGTGAAATTGGTGAAGGAATGGATAAATGGATCAATGGAACAGAATAAAGAGCCCAGATAGAGACATAAATATAGTCAACTAATCGTTGAGAAAGAAGCAAAGGCAATACAATGGAGCAACAAATAGTGTTGGAATAGCTGAATATCCAAATGCCAAAAAATGAATCTAATACAAACTTTACACCCTTCACAAATATTAATTCAAAATGGATGCCAGACCTAAATGTAAAATGCAAAACTGTAAATAGAACTCCAACATTTGAGAAAATCTAGACATCACTGGGTATGGCAATTACTTTCTAGATACAATACCAAAAGCATAATCCATAAAAGAAATCATTGACAAGCTAAATGTTATTAAAATTAAAAAAAAATTACTCCACAAAAGACACCATTAAAATATGAAACGATAAGTCAAAAAAAATCTGCAAAACACATAACTGATAAAGGACTGTTACCTAAAACATACAGACAGCACTTAAAACTCAATAAATAGCCCAATTTTTAAAATGGACAAAAGATGTCAACAGAAATCTCGCCAGAGAACATATACAGATGGTAAATAAGAACATGAAAACATGCTCAACTTTGTATGTCATTAGGGAGTTGCAAATTAAACAGTCCCATTGCACACCTATTAGAATGGTGAAAATCCAAAACACTGGTAACACCAAATGCTGTTGAGATTGTGGAGCAACAGGAACTCTCATTCATGGCTGGTGGGAATGCATCAACAGTACAGCAATTTTGGAAGACAGTTTCGTGGTTTCTCACAAAACTAAATATACTCTTACCATATGAACCGGCAGTCATACTCCTTGGTTTTTTGTTTTGTGTTTTTTTTCTTTTTGAGATGGAGTCTCACCCTGTCACCCAGGCTGGAGTGCAGTGGCGTGATCTCGGCTCACTGCAACCTCCACCTCCCGGGTTCAAGCAATTCTCCTGCCTCAGCCTCCCGAGTAGCTGGGATTATAGGTGCCTGCCACCACGCCTGGCTAATTGTTTGTATTTTTAGTAGAGCCAGGGTTTCACCATGTTGGCCAGGCTGGTCTCAAACTCCTGACCTCAGGTGATTCACCTGCCTCAGCCTCCCAAAGTGCTGGGATTACAGGCGTGAGCCACCATGCCCAGCCATGCATGATTTTTAACATCCTAAATGGATCATTTACAAAATACTGTTTCACTGAGCAATGCAGATGTTTCAAATGTTGACATATTTCATTAAGCAATATTTAAAAACCACTTTCTTTAAAATCTGATGTTAACAGAAAAGTCTTTAAGTACTGGGAAGCTATCAAGTTCACAGAAGTAGATACAAGTATACAGAAATTCTAAATTTTGTTTGAAAGCTAATTTAAAATAGGCAACAAGTACTATCAGTTGTTTTCCTTGAAAGGATAAGCCCATTTTATTTAGAAAAACATATCTGGTCAATACCCAAGTGTAAAAAACTGTAGCTTGTCTATTAGTTATTCTTCTAAGTATAATGTTGTAAATTTTAAAAAGTGAGCAGTACAGCTTGCTGACAATGTTACAGGTGATTTTCCTCAAGATAATTTAAAATTCAGTTTGCAGAACTGCTTCACGCATACTTCCCTTTTCATCACACCATATTAAGAAGACACGTACTCAAGGGTCCATATTTAATGAAACTAGTAACTTTACTGCTCATCAAAGACATTTTTTGAGAGAGTCTTACTCTGTCACCTAGGCTGGAGTGCAGTGGCACGACCACAGGTCACTCTTAGCCTCGAACTCCTGGGCTCAAGGAATCCTCCCGCCTCAGACTCCCACCTCAGCCTACGAAGCAGCGAAGACTACAGGCATAAGCCACGGTGCCCCACCCTCATCAAAGACATTCTTAAAAGAAACTGACTTTTTTTAAAAAAAACTACAGGTGTGGGGTGAAGAATACAATGACTACTGATACAATTTGGTGCCACTACCTTGATTTGTATTCAGGTAAAATGTTTATTTTCCACTGCTTCAACACCATCAGTAAAGATGTCAATACGGTAAAAACAACTTAGTATTAAGAAAAACAGCTTTCACTTTACAGATCCCTTGAAAGGTCCACATATTGAGAACTGTTGGCCGGGGGTGGTGGTTTACGCTTGTCCCAGCACTTTGGGAGGCCAAGGCGGGTGGATCACGAGGTCAGGAGTTCAAGACCAGCCTCGCCAACAGTGAAACCTCATCTCTACTGAAAATACACAAATTAGCCGGGCATGGTGGCGGGCACCTGTAATCCCAGCTACCCGGGAAGCTGAGGCAGGAGAATCGCTTGAACCCGGGAGGTGGAGGTTGCAGAGAGCCGAGATCGTGCCACTGCACTCCAGCTTGGGCTGAGTGAGTGAGACTTCTTCTCAAAAAAAAGAAAAAAAAGAAAACTATTGGCCACCACCTCAGCTAGATGTTCCCCTAGATCTGCCCCCACCTTATGGCTTATTGCCCTATCCCAAAAACATTATCTGATGTCTACTCAGTGACAACTTCCCTATCAGTTAACCTAACATTCTTGTAGAAAACAAGGTATCAGGCTGGGCACGGTGGCTCACGCCTGTAATCCTAGCACTTTGGGAGGCCAAGGTGGGCAGATCAGGAAGTCAGGAGTTCAAGACCAGCCTGGCCAACATAGTAAAACCCCATCTCTACTAAAAATACAAAAATTAAACGGGCATGGTGGCGCGCGCCTGTAGTCCCAGCTACTCGGGAGGCTGAGGCAGGAGAATCACTAAAACAAAAATTAGCCGAGCATGGTGGCTGGCGCCTGTAAACCCAGCTACTCTGGAGGCTGAGGCAGAGAATCACTTGTACCCAGGAGGTGGAGGATGCAGTGAGCCGAGATCGTGCCACTGCACTCCAGCCTTGGCGACAGAGTGAGACTCCATCTCAAAAAAAAAAAGAAAAAAAAAGAATATTATGTAAATAGTATAATATAGTATGTAACTATACGTCAGAGATTGGCTTTTTTCATTCAGCATAATTCTCTGGGAATTCATCCAGGTTGTTTTGTGCATCAGCTTTGTTTTTCATTCCTGTGTGGTATTATGTTATGAATGCACCACCATTTGTTTAGCCATTCACCCATTAAAGGACATCTGGGCACTTCTGTGTTGTTACTATCATGAACAAAGATGCCATGAACATTCATACACAAATTTTTGCAAGAACGTTAAGTTTTCATTTCTCTGGGATAAACACTCAAGAATGAAAATGCTGGGTCATATGGTAGTTGCAGGTTTGTGGTTTTTTGTTTTGGTTTTGTTTTTTTGAGACGGAGTTTCGCTCGTTGCCCAGGCTGGAGTGCAATGGCACAATCTCGGCTCACCGCAACATCCGCTTCCCAGGTTCAAGCAATTCTCCTGCCTCAGCCTCCCGAGTAGCTGAGATTACAGGCATGCACCACCACACCCAGTTAATTTTTGCTTTGTTTTGAGACAGAGTCTCTGTCGCCCAGGCTGGAGTGCAGTGGCGCGATCTCTGCTCACCACAAATTCTGCCTCCCGGGTTCACGCCATTCTCCTGCCTCAGCCTCCCGAGTAGCTAGGACTACAGGCGCCCACCACCATGCCCGGCTTATTTTTTGTATTTTTAGTAAAGACGGGGTTTCCTCATCTTAGCTAGGATGGTCTTGATCTCCTGACCTCATGATCCGCCCACCTCGGCCTCCCAAAGTGCTGGGATTACAGGCGTGAGCCACCACGCCCAGCCAATTTTTGTATTCTCAGTAGAGACGGGGTTTCTTCACGTTGGTCAGGCTGGTCTCAAACTCCTGACCTCCAGGTGATCAGCCCACCTCTGCCTCCCAAAGTGCTGGGATTACAGGAGTGAGCCACCCCACCTGGCCTGCAGGTTTATTTTAATAAGAAACTACCAAACAGTTTCCCAGAGGGGCTATGCCATTTTACATTCCAATCAGCAGTGGATAAGTAATCCATATTCTCTTCATCCTAACCAATACTTGGTGTTATGACTATTTGATAAGTGTACAGTGATTTCTGTTGTGATTTTAATGTGCATTTCCAAAATGGTTAATAATGTTAAACATCCTTTTATTTTATTTGCCATCTGTGTATCTTCTTCCATGAAATAATCTCTTCATGTCTTTTGCTCATGTTCTAATTGGACTGGTTGCTTTTTTACTGAGTTTCCAGAGTTTATGTATTCTAAATACAATTAATTTGCAAGATATGTGGTTTACAAATAAATTATCCTACTCTGTAGCCTCTCTTCATTCTCTTAACAGAGTCTTTAGCAGAACAAGAGTTTCTAACTTCAATAAAATTTAATTCATCAATTTTTCCTTTTACAGATCATCCTTTTAAGCATATTAAGAGTAAGAACTCCTTGCCTAGCACAAACTGAAGATTTCCTCCTATGTTTTCTTCTAAAAGTTTTATAGTTTTAAGTTTTACATTTAAGTCTCTAATTCATTTTGAGTACATTTTTGTATTAGATATGAGACTCAGGTTCATCTTTTTGCCTACAGATGGACAATTGGTCAAGCACCATTGTTAAAAAGGCTTTCTTTCATTACTGAACTGCTATTCCACGTTTGACAAAATTCAGTCGGGCCTAATTGTATATGTCTATTTCTCAGTTCTCAATTATGTTACACTGATTTATGTGTCTATCCTCCACCAATACAACACTGTCTTAATATAG
Organism: Homo sapiens; assembly: GCF_000001405.40. Classification (NCBI taxonomy): domain Eukaryota; kingdom Metazoa; phylum Chordata; class Mammalia; order Primates; family Hominidae; genus Homo; species Homo sapiens. Next base: position 73,954,538 of record NC_000023.11, on the reverse strand, counting down.
GAATATAGTAGGCATTAATGTCAAGTTAATGATTCTACCAATGTACTATTTTTCAAGATGGTTTTAGCTATTTTAAGGCCTGTGCCTTTCCACATACATTTTAAAATAAGCTTTTCTATATCTACAAAAACATACTAGGATTTAAATGGAAATTCCATTAAACCTATCAATTTGTGGAGAATTGACATCATTACTATGTTGAGTTTCCCAAGTCATGAACATGATAAGTCTTTTCAATTATATAGGACTTCCTGAGTTTCTTTCACCAGCATTTTGTAATTTACAAAATACAAGTCCTGTACATGTTTACTTATGTCTAAATGTTGTGTTTCTTTGCAGTGCTTGTAAATGGTACTTTGTATATAATTTCCGTTTCCACATATTAAATTGCTAGTATATAGAAATGTGATTCATTCCGGGCGCAGTGGCTCATACCTGTAATCCCAGCACTTTGGGAGGCTAAGGCGGGCAGATCATGAGGTCAGGAGATCGAGACCAGCCTGGCCAACATGGTGAAACCCCATCTTTACTAAAACACAAAAAATTAGCCGGGCATGGTGGTGCATGCCTGTATTCCCAGCTACTCAGGAGGCTGAGGCAGGGGAATCACTTGAACCCGGGAGGCAGAAATTGCAGTGAGCCGAGATTGCAGTGAGCCGAGATCAGGCCACTGCACTCCAGCCTGGCAACAGAACGAGACTCCATCTCAAAAAAAAAAAAAAGCAACGTGATTCATTCATTTTTGTGTGTAGATCTTTTAGCCTGTGGTGTTACTAACTCATTAGTTCTAGAAATTTGGGGGTTGTTTTTTAGATTCCTTGAGATTTTCTACATAGACAATCATGCCATCTGCATATAGGGACAAATGTCTTTCTTTCCAATTGGGATATCTTTTATTTCTTGTTCTTACCTCACTACAGTGGCTTGAATTTCTATTACTATGTTGAATAAGGAAGATAAGAATGGACATCCTTTGCTTTTTCCTGATCTTAGGGGTAAGAGTCAGTTTTTCACCATTATGTATAATATCAGCTACAGTTTTTTTATAGATACTTATTCCTCATTTTCTGAAAATCATTATCAAGAATAGGTATTTGACTCTGTCATATGTTTTTTTCTGCATCAATATAATCAATTATGATTGTTTTTCAGACTGCTGATATAGTACATTATATTGACTGATTTTCAAATGCTGAACCAATCTTACATATCCATAAGATTGATTTTCAATTGCTGAACCAATCTTATATAACTATAAAAATTCCAACTTGGTCGTGGTCTATCAATTTCTTTTCATATATTGCTGGAATCAATGTGTTAATACTTTGTTAAAAGTATTTGGGGTCAGCCAGGCACGTTGGCTCACGCCTGTAATCCCAGCACTTTGGGATGCTGAGGCGGGAGGATCACCCAAGGTCAGGAGTTCGAGACCAGCCTGGACAACATGGTGAAACCCCGTCTCTACTAAAAATACAAAAATTAGCCAGGCGTGGTAGCGGGCACCTGTAATCCCAGCTCCTTGGGAGGCTGAGGCAGGAGAATCGCTTGAACCCAGGAGGCAGAGGTTGCAGTGAGCCGAGATCGCGCCACTGCACTCTAGCCTGGGTGACAAGAGCGAGACTCTTGTCTCAAAATATATATATATATATAAAATATATATATATAAAATATATAACATATAATATATTCAAAATGTAATAATTCTACAGTTGTTGAGCATTCTATAAATGGCAATTAGATCTTGTTGGTTTATTACATTGTTGAACTGTGTACTTGCTGATTTTCTAATTGTTCTGCCAGTTGTTGTGAGAAGGCTGCTGAACTCTCCAACTATAATTATGGACCTGTCTATTTCTACTTTCAGTTCTAGCAGTTTTTGCTTCACATATTTTGTAGCTCTATTGTTTGATACAGGTGCTTTAGAACTGCCATGTCTTCTTGGTGAATTTCATTATAAAACATCCCTCTTTTGTCTATAGTAATTTGTCTGAAGCCTACTTTATCTAACATAGCCAGTACTGCTTTCATTTGATTAAAGTTTGCATGGTATATCTTTGCCCATCCTTTTACTTTCAATCTGCTTATACAGTCATATTTGGGGGGGTTTTTTGTTTGCTTTTTGAGATGGAGTCTCACTCTCTCTCCCAGGCTGGAGTGCAGTGGCACGATCTCGGCTCCCTGCAACCTCCGCCTCCCGGGTTCAAGTGATTCTCCTACCTCAGCCTCTCGAGTATCTGGGACTACAGGTGTGTGCCACCACGCCTGGCTAATTTTTTGTATTTCTAGTAGAAATGGGGTTTTGCCATGTTGGCCATGCTGGTCTTGAACTCCTGACCTCAGGTGATCCACCCACCTCGGCCTCCCAAAGTGCCAGGATTACAGGTGTGAGCTACCATGCCCAGCCTATATAGTCATATTTGAAGTCTCATATTAACACATACAGTTACGTCATTGCCACTCTGAAAATCTCTTATCTTTTAAATGGTACATTTAAACGATTTAAATCTAATGTAATTGTTCATATGTTAGGGTTTAAGTCTGCGATTTATTTTTCCTTTGTTCTTAGTTTTCTATTTGTCTGTTTTTATCTGCCTTTCTGTGAGTTAGCTGAACATTTTATAAAATTCTGATTCCTCTCTAGAGTTTTTGCATATATGCATGGCATTTTTAGTGGTTGCTTCACATTATATATATACATTACTTATTACATTCTACGGCTGTCAACATTAATTCAAGTCCAGTTTAGAAACTAACTTTTCTTTATGTCCCTTCACCATCCCCAATTTATACCATATTGTCTTACTTTTTTCTTTTTTTGAGACAGACCCTCACCCAGTTGCCCAGGCTGGAGTGCAGTGGCGTGATTTCAGTTCACTGCAACCTCTACCTCCCAGGCTCAAGCGATCCTCCCACTTCAGCCTCCCAAGTAGCTGGGACTACAGGTGCAGGCCATTATACCCAGCTAATTTTTGTATTTTTTGGAGAGATGGGGTTTCATCATGCTGCCCAGGTTAGTCTCGAACTCCTGGGCTTAACCGTTCTGCCGGCCTCGGCCTCCTACACTGCTGGAAGTATAGGTGTGAGCCACCATGCCCAGCCCCATATTTTCTTTAAATACATTTTCTTGGCTGTGTGCGGTGGCTAACGACTATAATCCCAGCACTTTGCGAGGCCGAGGAGGGCGGATCACGAGGTCAGGAGTTCCAGACCAGCCTGACCAACATGGTAAAACCCCGTCTCTACTAAAAATACAAAAAAAATTAGCCGGGCATGGTGGCGTGTGCCTGTAATCCCAGCTACTCGGGAGGCTGAGGCAGAAGAATCGCTTGAACCTGGGAGGCGGAGGTCGCAGTGAGCCGAGATCGTGCCACTGCACTCCAGCCTGGGTGAGAATCCGTCTCAAAAAAAAAACCCAAAAAAAAAAATTTTATTTAAATGCATGTAAATACATTCATCAACTGATGAACAAAAGGTGGTACATTCATATATAGATTATTCAATCATAAAAAGGAATTAAGTACAAATTATATGCTACAGTATGGATGAATGTTGAAGATGTTATGCTAAATGAAAGAAGTCAGACACAAGAGATCACATATTACAGTTGACCCCTGAACATGGTTTTGAACTGCGTGGGTCCACTTTTATGTATTTTTTTTCAGTAAAAGTTACACCAGGTATGTCTGCCTCTCCTGCCTCCTCCATCTTTTCCACCTCTACCACTCCCTAGACAGCAAGACCAACCCCTCCTCTTCCTCAGCCTACTCAACATGAAGACAAAAAGGATGAAGACCTTCATGATGATCCACTTACATTTAATGAATCGTAAATATACTCTCTCTTCCTTCTGATTTTTAATAACATTTTCTTCTCTAGCTAATTGCAAGAATATAGTAGATAATAAATTACCATAGAAAGTATGTGTTAATTGACTATGTTATTGGTAAGGCTTCCAGTCAACAGTAGGCTATTAGTTAAGTTTTGGTGGAATTAAAAATTTTATGCAGATTTGACTGTATGAGGGGTTGGTGACCCTAACCCCCCCATTCCTCAAGGGTCTACTATATATGATCCCACTTGTATACAATATTCAGAACAGGCAAATCCATAAACAGAAAGCAAATTAGTAGCCATGGGATAGAGGGCAAAGGGAATGAGTACAGGGTTTCTTTTAGAAGTGATTAAAATCTGTTGGAACTAGACAGCAGTGATGGATGCACAACACTGTGAATGTATGAAATGCCACTAAATTGTATACTTTAAAATGGCTAAAACACTAATGTGTATTGTGCCACAATTAAGTAAAAAAATACTATAAAGTGAAAAGAAAAGTAGCTAACTGAAAAAAATATCTGCAGGCCGGGTGCAGTGGCTCATGCCTGTAATCCCACCACTTTCGGAGGCCAAGGCGGGCGGATCAAAAGGTCAAGAGATCGAGACCATCCTGGCCAACATGGTAAAACCCCATCTCTACTAAAAATACAAAAATTAGCTGGGCATGGTGCCACACGCCTGTAGTCCCAGCTACGCGGGAGGCTGAGGCAGGAGAATCGCTTGAACCTGGGAGGCGGAGGTTGCAGTGAGCCAAGATCGTGCCACTGCACTCCAGCCTGGCGACAGAGCAAGACTCCATCTCAAAAAAAAAAAAAGTCTGCAATATTATAACAAAAAAAGGCGAATTTCCTTAATTTATGAAGAGTGTCTACAATAAGAAAAAGTCCAAACACCAATTTTTTTTTTACAGGACCAAGAATATTAACAAATAGTTCACCCAAAAAAAATACCTTTCAAATGGATAAAAAAAAAAAGTTCAAATATCTTTAACACTGACATTCTCCGTTTCCCCTTCAATTTTCTCACAACTGGCATTCTTATCTCTTTCACTGGATAGGGGAGAGTTTTTAATGCTCAGTTTTAGATCCCCTGGTTTGCTTTCCTGATACTGGAAATGCTGCCATGGTATAGCTGGCAGAGTGAATGGACCAACATTCACAAATTATTTTCCCTATATGTAAACTAATCACTAACGGTACAGTTGGCATGACCCCAACTCGTGTTTTGTGAAGTTCAACAAGCCAATTTCATAAAACAAACAAAAGAAGGGGTTATAGGGAACTGCTCTAAATTTTAAAAGGCTCAAAAGACATAAAAATCAAATGCAATGTGTGGTCTCCGAATAGATCCTGGTTTGAAGAAAGCAGCTATAAAAGACATCCTGCGGACAACTGGGAAAATCTGAATATGCACTGGGTGTTAAACATTAAGGAATGGCCGGGCGCGGTGGCTCACGCCTGTAATCCCAGCACTTTGGGAGGCCGAGGCAGACGGATCACCTGAGATTAGGAGTTCCAGACCAGCCTGGCTAACATGGTGAAACCCCATCTCTACCAAAAATACAAAAATTAGCCGGGCATGGTGGCAGGCCCCTGTAATCCCAGCTACTCGGGAGGCTGAGGCAGGAGAATCACTTGAACCCGGGAGGTCGAGGTTGCAGTGAGCCGAGATCACACCATTGCACTCCAGCCTGGGTGACAAGAGCAAGACTTCATCTCAAAAACAAAAAAAAAATTACGGAATTACTGTTAATCCTACTATGTATAGTGATGGCATTGTGACTATATAGAAAAAGGTCCTTGTTTATTATATGTTTATATTGACTTATTTAGAAGAAAATGTCATGATAACTGTAATTTACTTTACAGTATTTTGGGGGAAAAGGCAAGTAAGGCAAAATCATAACGGTTGCTAAATCTAAGTGATCCATATATGGAAATTCATTTATGTTATTCTCTCTACTTTCATGTGAATGTCTAAAATTTTTCCCAACAGATAATAAATCACTAACCTATTAATTCATTTCTCACCAACTAAACATGCACCCCATTAAGCAAATAATTATTCTAGAAAGAACATTTGTGAATATACAATATAGAAATTAATATTATTCATTATTTTGAAACATCCTTTAAGGAGCTTTTATACTTTTTTTTTTTTTTGAGACGAAGTCTTGCTCTTGTCACCAGGATTGTAGGCACAAGGCAGCATTTATACTTTCTTAGGTTATGTTTCAGAAAACATGCTTCCCGGCCGGGCGCGGTGGCTCAAGCCTGTAATCCCAGCACTTTGGGAGGCCGAGGCGGGCAGATCACGAGGTCAGGAGGTCGAGACCATCCTGGCTAACACGGTAAAACCCCGTCTCTACTAAAAATACAAAAAAATTAGCTGGGCATGGTGGCAGGCGCCTGTAGTCCCAGCTACTTGGGAGGCTGAGGCAGGAGAATGGCGTGAACCTGGGAGGCGGAGCTTACAGTGAACCAAGATCGTGCCACTGCACTCCAGCCTGGGCGACAGAGCGAGACTCCATCTCAAAAAAAAAAAAGAAAAGAAAAGAAAATACGCTTCCCGATTATCTTTGAGTTATGCATTTCGACCAGTATGCTACTTCACATAATTATTTACTTATTAGCACCCTTTAAATGTCCACTCTGTTCTGGTTCTGCTGCTTCACTTTCCCTAACCCCCAATCAGCCCATATCAATCTCTTCATTGCTAAAACAGTACAACATCAACAGCACTGGAACACAGTATCTAGCTACGTAAGAAAACTTACATTTACCCTGCTGCAAAATATGGAGAGGAATCCATAAGAGCTAAGTTTCTTTTCTGTCCAGTGTGTATGGCATTAACTAATCACCATTTTCCTTTTTTCTTTTAAGTTAATGTGTCAAACATAGAAATAACCTGAAGTACTATGAATTATTTTTAAAAAGTTATGTTGATAATTATTTTACCTGGAAAGTATTAGTTTGCTTTTAAATGTTATTCAAAGATATACTCCACAAGTATAATTTTATTATACCTCAAGAATATTTTATAAGAACTCATCTTAATTTTATAATTATTAACCTCTTAAATCTGTGTAAGACATTCTATTTAATGCAACTCCTTATAAAAATCATATCCCACAAATTATCTTTAACGACAAAAATCTAAGTCTAGCTTGTCAAGTTTTTCTCTGTAACATATTCTCTTAACAATTTGTATCCTTGATTACTAATAGTCAGTTCCTGCAAATGAACCAATCAATAATCAATTAAAAAAACCTAAAAAAATTAAATGATGTCCAACATTGTTCTCATAAAAATATATACAAAATTAACATACCAGTCGTCAATGCAATTTCAAACAAACAATGCAAAATTGGTAAAATGTTTTAGTCTTTATGTAGATTTCATCAAGTGTTTTGCCTTCTCCCAAGGGTTAGGAAGTTTAAAACTAATGTTCTGGCCGGGCGCGGTGGCTCACGCCTGTAATCCCAGCACTTTGGGAGGCTGAGGTGGGCGGATCACCTGAGGTCAGGAGTTCAAGACCAGCCTGACCAACATGGAGAAACCCCATCTCTACTAAAAAATACAAAATTAGCTGGGTGCGGTGGCACATGCCTGTAATCCCAGCTACTCGGCAGGCTGAGGCAGGAGAATAGCTTGAATCCAGGAGGTGGAGGTTGCAGTCAGCCGAGATCGCGCCATTGCACTCCAACCTGGGCAACAAGAGCAAAAATCCGTCTCAAAAAATAAATAAAACATAAATAAAATAAAATTATTAATGTTCTAACCACTGTTTACAGGGTTGTTGCACTAATAAATTCCACGTCCTGGACCTAAATGATTGCTAAAATGTTTTGCACACAGCAGCTAAATGTAATCACACTAACATGATGCCAGAAACAACTGATTCATCTACATGCAACCTCATTTCCCTCAGATGCCTCCAAGGCAACTGAAGTTCATAGATTTTGTCTAATTACAAGTGCAGGCTCAAATCACCTTGGATTTGAGTTAGGATCCACGGATTGTTTTTTGTTTGGTTAGTTGGTTTTGTTCTGTTTTTCAATTCAGGCATCTTGTTCATGGAACATTCATTATTTGCTTGAGATTGCTTTCACTGCCAGCTGCTTACTTTCTTTACCACTGTAGTATAATCTACACCCTTTGACTCAACTGCTTGCTAGATTCTCCCCTCAATTAAGAAATTTCTAGGCTCAAGGAAAAAAAAAAAGAAAAGAAGGAATTTTGATTGGCCACTGTTACAGTAATAGTCAGATAAGGCTGGGCACAGTGGCTCACGCCTGTAATCCCAATACTTTGGGAGGCCGAGGCAGGCAGATTACCAGAGGTCAGGGGTTGGAGACCAGCCTGGCCAATATAGGGAAACCCGTCTCTACTAAAAATACAAAAATTAGCCAGGCGTGGCAAGGTGTGCCTGTAATCTCGGCTACTCTGGATGCTGAGGCATGAGAATCGCTTGAACCCAGGAGGCGGAAGTTACAGTGAACCGAGATCGAGCCACTACACTCCTGCCTGGGTGACAGAGCAAGACTCCATGTCTGTCTGTCTCTCTCCCTCTCTCTCTCTCTATATATATATAAAATAAATTAAAATTAAATTAAAATTAGCCGGGCACAGTGGCAGGCGCCTGCAATCCCAGCTACTCGGGAGGCTGAGGCAGGAGAATCGCTTGAACTGGGGTGGTGAAGGTTGCAGTGAGCCAAGATTGCGCCACTACGCTCTAGCCGGGGCAACAAGCAAGACTTCATCTCAAAAAAAAAAAAAAAAAAAAAGTCAGATAGACACTTGCTTTCTTCTTTCATTGACTTTTTTTAAAAATTCATCTTCAATATTTACAAAAAATAATCCATGCTAGAAGTTGCTATGTCACAGAAGTTTAAGAAATGCATGGTAAAAATCACTAAGTTTAAAATAATGGTTACCTCTGGGGATGAGAGAAGAGAGAGATGCAATCAGGGATGGGTACACAGAGAACTTCAACTGTCACGTTAATGTTTGATTTTTTTTTTACGTTGGGTGGTGAGAAGAGAGGTTCATTGTATTATTCCTTGTATATCTGTATATGTCTTAAGTATTTCATAATATATTTAACGTCTCCTCCAAAAGATAAAGAAGTTAATCTTGCATTCCTTCATCACCCCATCAAAAAAAAAAAAGGACTCATACTAGACTATTCTGCAACTTACTTTTCTCACATAACCATCCATCATAAGATTCTCTAGGTCAAAAGTCAAAATATTTCATAATATTTATGTACCAAAATTTACTCAAACATTCTCCTATTGATGGATACACAGGTTGTTTCCAGTTGTCACAAGAACAAAATAGTACAAAAGTATCCTTGTTCATGCGTCATTATATACTGGTACTTTTATTTCTGTAGGATAGATTCTTAAAAGTCAGACTTTTGAATTCCAGTTTTTGTTCAAGTGATATCTGTATTTTTTATTTCCCTAAATATTGCCAGATTCTTTTCTAAAAGGTTGCAGCAATTCATACTCCGCGGTAATGCATGAAATTTACTTTAATCACATAAGCATTTAACAACATATTAGATGTCACTCTTAACTGTCTTCCCCATATATATAGTAAACATGCTATGCTTAACATAAACTTAATTTCGCCAACAGATTTGAAAACAGGAAATCTAGCTCTTTTCTTAGTGAGTAATCAACCTGGCAATGTAAGTCCCCCAAAGATTACACACACACACACACACCTCTGAGATGCTTCAAGAACAAATGTTAAGTTTTTGCCCAAAACTCCACATTTGGGGTATAGTGGGCACAGAAAAAAATTGTTTAATCTAGTGCATAATGAATACGTTACAAACAAATTAATTAAAACTAATAAGTCTGGACATGAAAGGCAGAACAAAAAAAAAATAAAGTTAGGCCCAAGAGGTTAGGCTGTTCCTAGGAAAGCTCTGAGGAGATGGAATCCATTTTGGCGCGACATGGTGTCAATAAAAACCCATTTAAATAAGGAAAAAGGAAAGAACGACCCATATATCCCTCCTAGGAGCTACCTTCTGCAACTTCCAAGCTTCGTCAGTAGAAGTTAGGCGATCAGCGAGAAAGAAATTATTCTCCGATATTTTGAAGAGACTGGAGAGAGAAAAATGGAATACAGGCCGGTTACTCCCCCGACTCAGGCCACGCGATCCCAAAGTGTGTAGCCTCGCTAACGGCCACTTCTCTAGCCAACGTGAGGCTCATCACTCACCACAATACTATTAACTGGCGAGTTTCTGGACTTTTGTTAGTGGACTCATACTTCGGACGCCTTGCAACCCCCGTAAGGACGCAGTGATTGCACTCCGTGCAAACGCCGCCATCTTAAGTCTTCCACTAGCCCTAGGGCATAGGCGGATGAAAGCCGGGGGTGGGCGTCACAGCCAAACAGGCCCGGCGCCCAGCCGTCGTGCACTACCTAAATGCCTCCGCCGGCAACATGCACCAGCCGTTGCCGTGCCCCAGCCGTTGCCGTGCCGCAGCCGTTGCCGTGCCGCAGCCGTTGCCGTGGACCCTCCCCCAGTTTCCTGACCTGTTGCACTTCCTCTCACAGCCTTTATCTCTTTTGAAATTCCCTTTTCCTTTTTCTTTCTCTTCATTTCTTTTTTCCTTTCCCAACCCAAATTTCTTTTAGCTTTGCCTCGACTCCTTTCTTTCTTCCCTATTTCCAGATCTCTCACTCTCATTAACTTTACCTCACAAGTATGATAGACAAAGCTGCCATTCACTTCTGTTATCTCACTAAGTCATTGCAACATCAGGTAAGCTGAGGACTGATTTTTTCCTGTTTTATAGATGACGAAATTAAGGCCCAAAGAGGTGACCCAATTTTCCAAAAGTGCTAGAATGAGCTAGAACCTACTTCTTTTCACTTTACTAAGCCCCGTGTTCCGATAGATGAGGGTGTATGTACTTCAACCAACTAATGGGAAAACAGAAACCAGAGGGTTTTGGCCTAGTCATACAGTGAGTCCGTCAATGGCAAAACTGGATTCAGAACAAGGTGCTTCCTTTAATTCTGTAAACAAAAGAGTCTTCATAAAAGAGTTGGTAGCCAGGTGTGGTGGCGCTTGCCTGTAATCTCAGTGTAATCCCAGCTACTTGGGAGGCTGAGGTGGGAGAATCGCTTGAACCCGGGAGGCGGAGGTTGCAGTGAGCTGAGATCGTGCTGCTGCATTCCAGCCTGGGCGACCGTGCCAGACTCCGTCTCAAAAAAAAAAAAAAAAAAAAAGAGTTGAGATGCTGCTCTTGAGCCTAAAAGTCCTTCCATCTTCCCTCTTCTTTTATTTATTTTTGTTTTATTTTTTTGAGACGGAGTCTTGCTCTGTCGCCCAGGCTGGAGTGCAGTGGCGCGATCTTGGCTCGGTGCTACCTCCGCCTCCTGGGTTCAAGCGATTCTCCAGCCTCAGCCTCCTAAGTAGCTGGGATTACAGGCATCTGCCACCATGTCCAGCTAATTTTTACTAGAGACGGGGGTCTCACCATCATGGCCAGGCTGGTCTTGCACTCCTGACCTCAAGTGATCCACCCGCCTCAGCCTCCCAAAGTGCTGGTATTATAGGCGTGAGCCACCGCACCCAGCCTCCCTCTTCTTTTAGATTCAGCTCTTTTAGATTCAGTCCTGACACTTCTAAGAGGCCTCTATATTTATCAAAACCTTTATCTCTGTTGTTCCCGCTCCATGAGGGAAAATACACTAGCTGGATACCAGCCCCAAAAGTATGAAAAAACCGAGGCCAAAACTTGTTTGTGAAGCATTATGTGTGAGTGGTGCAGGTTTCTGGGGGAAGGCTTGTGCTTCACCGGTAAGGAAAAGACACTTTAGAGGTCCTAATCCCTTTCCAAAGCTATAGTTTCTCTCTATGCACTAATGTTGTCTCTGGTTTTCTACGAGACCCCCACATAGAACACCTCTTATTCTATTCATTTGCATCATTACTTTTCTGTCTTTATTTTGATATCGTCACCCTCAAAAGGAAGGTAATGATACACAGTTGTATAAAACATCTGGGCATTGACATATGGACATTTTGGAGTAAAACACCAAAAACACCACATAAAACCAGTTACGTGTTCAAAGGTCAGTAATAGAGGTGGAGAGGTCTCTAAGCTTAAACTGTTTCATCTCCTAGGGTTTAGGCATATTTGAGCACATCTTGGAAATTTGTAGGACAGGCACCAAAAACCAATTGCAAAAGGAACTGTTGAGCTCCTAAGAAAGAACTAGTACTAAAAGAGTAGGGAATCAGATAGACAATGTAGGGTAAAAGAAGGATCAAGTCTGAATGTTGCAGAGGAGGCAAATATGACTGTAAATTCTGTCATATTTTCTTTTGGCAGTAGCACACCATGCATTTATTTTGGGGCAGGTACAAAACATCCCTCTGTAGTAATTTAATGGTAAGTAGAAAGGGGGATAAAAATGAGTGAAACCTGCCGGGCACGGTGGCTCATGCCTGTAATCCCAGCACTTTGGGAGGCCGAGGTGGGCGGATCACCTGAGATCAGGAGTTTGAGACCAGACTGGCCAACAATTACAGCAATACAAAAATTAGCTGGATGTGGCGGTGGGCACCTGCAATCCCAGCTACTCGAGAGGCTGAGGCGAGATAATCACTTGAATCCAGGAGGCGGAGGTTGCAGTGAGCCGAGATAGCGCCACTGCACTCCAGCCTGGGCGACAGAGCAAGACTCCGTCTCAAAAAAAAAAAAAATGAAATCTATTGCAGTTTTGTTCTGATGACTCTTGGGACTTTGTCTGTTTGGGAGGAAAATGACTTTTTATTTATTTATTTTTTTTATTTTTTTGAGACAGAGTCTCACTCTGTCACCCAGGCTGGAGTGCAGTGGCGCAAACTCGGCTCACTGCAACCTCTGCCTCTCCTCTCTCGGGTTCAAGCGATTCTCCTGTCTCAGCCTCCCATGTAGCTGGGACTACAGGCGCAGGCCCCCACACCTGGCTAATTTTTGTATTTTTAGTAGAGACGAGGTTTCACCGTATTGGTCAGGTTGGTCTCGAACTCCTGACCTCAGGTGATCCACCCGCCTTGGCCTCCCAAAGTGCTGGGATTACAGGCATGAGCCACCGTGCCTGGCTGAATTTTTTAAATACACATATAAAGAAATAATCAGCAGGAAGCATTATTCGAGAAATAGGCTTATAAAGCTGCCAGTCAATTTTTTTTTTTTAACAAATTGATGCACTGGTTTTATTTGGTAATGTTTCGAATTGAAAAGTGCTAGACCCAGAGACCCAGGGACAGAAAAGCTATATTAATTCACAGCCACGGTGCAAGCTTCATGCCCCTGCCTCCACTCACTCACATTTCCCCTAGTCTACCTGCCTCAATTCCAACTTAAGAAAAATGCCTCCAGAAAACACCAGAGACAGAGTTTGGTTGCCAGGTTACAATATTTCCTCTTGAAGACTGATCTTGGTAGCTTCCTGGACTACTGAACTAGCTAGTACCTATTTCATTCTCTGTGGAAACCCACTTTTCCTCTTACATAAGTAATTGTTCCAAAGGTAAGAAAGCTGCCTCCTGAAAGAATATAAAATCCAAATAGGTGAAAGGAGAGTTGGGATTTTACCATCATCCAGCCATATTTGGCAGGCACTTGCTTAGAAAGGGCTCTTATTTGGAAATTTTACAAACAAATTTACAAAGGCAATGACCCCTGGGACAATAGTTCATGTTATCTTTGCATTCACAATTTAAGACAAATAAATGAGTAACAGTCTTAACAGCTAAAATGATAGATGCTGAGTTACACTAGAACAAATTCATTTGAAACATGAGTTGGAACAAGAGTGAAACCATCTCAAAAATAAAATAAAATAAAATAAAAAAGTACAATTTGCGGTGGCATGTGGGAGAACAGATATAACAGAATTTATTCATTCATTAAGAACTTACATGTAAAGAATAAGACTACACAAGTGGGTGATGAATGCAATCCAGTATTAATCTTCAAGGAGATTACATTCAAATCGGAGAGGGGAAAAAGAAAAAGAATCGTAAGAAGTGTCTTTATCCAAGGCACTGTGCTAGGTACAAGGTAGAAATAGAAGTGAGAGTTGGGGCCGGGCACGCTGGCTCGCGCCCATAATCCCAGCACTTTGGGAGGCTGAGGGGGGCAGATCACTTGAGGTTAGGAGTTCGAGATCAGCCTGGCCAACGTGGTGAAACCCCGTCTCTACTAAAAATACGAAAATTAGCCAGGTGTGGTGGTGTGCGCCTGTAATTCCAGCTACTCAGAAGGCTGAGGCAAGAGAATTGCTCGAACCCAGGAGACAGAGGTTGCAGTGAGCCAAGATTGTGCCATTGCACTCCAGTCTGGGTGACAAAGCGAGACTCTGTGCCAAATAAATTAATAAATAATAAATAAATAAATAAATAAGGTAGAGTTGGGTATGGAGATGAATCTACCATGAATCTTAGCATTAGGGAATTTATTTTCTAGTAGGGAGAAATAAAATGTGAAGGTTGGGTAATTTTTTTTTATTAGGGGCTTAAGGGGATGAAAAAGTATTTCATACATAAATTTCAGCACCCAAAATAATTTATAAAGTTATACATTTTGCAAAGCACTGTACCAAGTGATGTAGGGAATGGGAAAAACAACAAGAAGGGAATTTATAAATGTAATGTGAGCCAATGAAGGCAATATATTAGAAAGAAGGATGTATCATGAGATGTAAAATCACGCCACTTAAACTATATATAAAGTTGACCAATCCTAAAGCTCCTTTTTAAGCTGAGCTATAATTCACATACCATAAAATTCACCCTTTCTAAGAGTACAAGTCAGTGGTTGTTGATATATTCACAGACTTGTGTAACTGTCACTACTATCTAATTTCAGAACATTTCCATTACAATAAGAAACCCCATACCCGGCCGAGTGTGTTGGCTCACACCTGTAATCCCAGCACTTTGGGAGGCCGAGGCGGGTGGATCACCTGAGGTCAGGAGTTCGAGACCAGCCTGACCAATATGGTGAAACCCCGTCTCTAGTAAAAATACAAAAATTAGCTGGGCGTGGTGGTGGGTGCCTGTAATCCCAGCTACTTGGGAGGTTGAGGCAGGAGAATCGCTTGAACCCGGGAGGCAGAGGTTGTAGTGAGCCGAGATCTTGCCACTGCACTCCAGCCTGAGCAACAGAGCAAGACTGCATTTCAAAAAAAAAAAAAAAAAAAGAAACCCCATACCCATTAGCAGTTACTACTCATTACCTCTTCACCCAATCAGCCCCTAGCAAACACCATTTTTTTGTCTCTATGGATTCGCTTCTTCTGAACATTTCATTTAAATGAAATCAACAGGTGACCTTTTGTGCCTGACTTCTTAGCACAATATTTTCAAGGTTCATGCATGTCGTAGCATATATCAGTGCATTTCTTTTTACGACTAAATAATATTCCATTGTATAAATATACAACATATTGCTTATCCATTCATCAAATGATATATATTTGGGTTGTTTCCATCTTTTGGCTATAATGAATAATGCTACTATGAACATTTATGCACAAGTTTTTGTGTCAACCCACGTTTGCAGATATCTTGGGTATATACCTAGGCGGGCAACTGCTGGGCAACACGGTAACTCTATGATGAACTCTTTGAGGAATTGTCAAAGGGTCTTCCAAGGCACTGCATCATTTTACATTTCTACCAGCAATATATGAGTGTTACAATTTCTCCACATTGTTGCCATACTTGTCATTTTAACTATAGCCAGCCTAATGGGTGTGAAGTAGTATCTCAAATGCTTTTGATGAGCATTTTCCCAGTAGCTAATGATGTAGAGCATCTTTTTATGTGCATATTGGCCTTTTATATATCCTCTTTGGATAAATATCTATTCAAATACTTGGCCTATTTTTCAATCAGGTTATTGGTCATTTATTGAGTTGTAGGAGTTTTACATTATCAGATATATGATTTGCAAATATTTTCTCCTATTTCGTAAGTTTTTTTCAGTTTCTTGATGCGTTCTTAAAGCACAAAAGTTTTTTATTTTCACTAAGTACAACTTACTTTTTCTTTTGTACCTTGTGTTTTTAATGTCATAACTAAAAAAAAAAAAAAGCCACATTGTCTAACCTAAGGGCATGAAGATTTTCTTATATGAGTTTTATAGTTTAAGCATTTACATTTAGGTCTTTGATACATTTTGAGTTTTTTTTTTTTTTGGTTGTTTTTGTTTGGTTTTTATTATTTATTTATTTGTTTTATTTGTATTTTTATTTATTTATTTATTTTGAGACAGGGTCTCGCTGTGTCACCCAGGCTGAAGTGCAGTGGCAAGATCTCGGCTCACTGCAGCCTCCGCCTCCCGGGTTCAAGTGATTCTCCTGCCTCAGCCTCCCGAGTACCTGGGACTACAGGTGCGTGCCACCACGCCCGTCTAATTTTTGTATTTTTAGTAGAGGCGGGGTTTCACCACGTTCTCCAGGCTGATCTCAAACTCCTGACCTCAGGTCATCTGCCCGCCTCGGCCTCCCAAAATGCTGGGATTACAGGCATGAGCCACCGCGCCCGGCCTTTTTTCTTTCTTTCTTATTTTTTTTTTTTTTTTTTTGAGACAGGCTTTCACCCTCATCACTGCTAGGGTGCAATGGCGCAATCTTGACTCACTGCAATCTCTGCCTCCCAGGGTTACGCAATTCTCCGACCTTCGCCTCCCAAGTATCTGGAACTACAGGCGCAGCGCCACTACGTCTGGCTAATTTTTTTTTTTGTATTTTTTTGTAGAGATGGGGTTTCACCATGTTACCCAGGCTGGTCTCAACTCCTGGACTCAAGCGATCTGCCCACCTCAGCCTCCCAAAGTGCTGGGATTATAGGCATGGGCCACCGCGCCTGGGAGTTAATTTTTGTATGTGATGAGCAATAGTAATCTAACTTCTTTCTTTTGCATATAGATACCCAGTTTTCCCAGCACCATGTGTTTAAAAGAGTGTTGCTTCTTTGTTTATAATTGACCATAAATGTAAGGGTTTATTTCTAAACTCCCAACTCTATTCCTTTGATTTATATATATTTATAAATGTAACTTTATACCAATCCCACAGTCTTGATTACTGTAGCTTTGAAGTAAATTTTAAGATAAAAAACCATGAGTATCTGACCCCACTGGAAACGAAAAAGAAAAAAAAAAAAGAAACATGAATGCTTCAACCTCCAACTTTATTCTGGATGATTTTCACTATTCTGGACCCTTGCAGTCTCATATGAGTTTTAGCATCAGCTTGTCGATGTCTGTAGTAATCAAGCTGGGATTTTGATAGGGATTGTGTTGAGTCTATAAATAAATTTGGAAACCTTTGACATTATAACAATATTAAGTCTTTAAATTCATGAACATGCGATGGAGGTCTTCCAATATATGTAGATCTTCTTAAACTTTTTTCAATAATGTTTTGTGTACAAATTTCGATAATGTTCTGTGTACAAGTTTTGAACTTCTTTTGTTAATTTATTCCTAAGTACAAGTATTTTTTATGCTATTTTAAATGGAATTTTTTGCTTAATTTTATTCAGATTTGTTTATTGCAAGTCTATAAAATACAACTCTTTGTTGTATATTAGTTTTGTATTGTACAATGTTGGTAAAGTGTCTTGTTAGTTCTAGTTCTAGTTCTAGTTCTAGTATAGTTGTCCCTCAATATCCAAGGGGATTTGATTCCAGGACCCCTCACAGATATCAAAATTCTCAGATGCTTAATTTTCTTACGTAAAATGGGGTTATATAATCTATGTACATCCTTCTGAATGCTTCAAACCATCTCTGAATTACTTACAATACTTGATACAATGTAAATGCTATGTAAATAGTTGTTATACGGTATTTGTTTCATTTATATTATTTTTATTGTTGTTTTTTTAATATTGCTTTATTTTTGATCCACAATTTGTTGAATTTGTGGATGTGAAACCCATAGATATGGGGGGCTACTGTAGTTTTTTGTGGATTCCTTAGGATTTTCTATATGCAAGGTTATATCTTGTAAAAGTAGATATAGTTTTACTTCTTCCTTAACAAAAGTAGATATAGTTTTACTTCTTCCTTAAAATTCTAAATGTCTTTTATTTCTTTTTCTTGCCTAATTGCCCTGGACAGAACCCCTAGCACAAACGTGAATAGAAATGATCAGAGCAAAACATTCTTGCCTTTTTTTTTTTTTTTGAGACGGAGTTTCACTCTTGTTGCCCAGGCTGGAGTGCAATGGCACGATCTTGGCTCACTGCAACTTTGCCTCCCGGGTTCCAGTGATTCTCCTGCTTCAGCCTCCCGAGTAGCTGGGGTTACAGGCACCCACCACCACGCCCGGCTAATTGTTTGTATTTTTAGTAGAGACGGGGTTTCACCATGTTGGTCAGGCTGGTCTTGAACTCCTGACCTCAGGTGATCTGCCCGCCTCGGCCTCCCAAAGTGCTGGTATTACAAGTGTGAGCCACCGCAGCTGGCCAGCTTTTGTTTTTTGTTTTTTTTTTTTTTGAGCACTATGAATGGTGTCATCCTCCACTTTTCTAGCCTCCATGACCTCCTTGTGGCCTTCATGATGAGAAATCACTTTTGTCTTCCGGGAGATACCTTAGACATAAATAACCTCCCTCTTGCTGCTTTCCTGATTTTTAATGGAAGCAAATTCATCGATAATAATTTCAAAAGTTACGTCTTTCCTTATCTTGTTTTCAAGTAAGAGAAATCGATGTTTGGCAATTTCTCTTGACCAACTGAACAATCTTAAATTAATTTTTAATTAATTTTAGCATATGGAAATTGCTTTCACAGGATATCGTTTTAAAAATATATTAAGTCTACTTCCAAATTTGAATAAGATTACACTAAAGCAACTTTATGAACCAGCTTTAGAATACTCAAACTCAATGCTGATTTTATATTACACATTACTGATTTTGCAGGATACTTAAAATTATTTTGGATGAAATTCTGGGGCCAGGTGCAGTGGCTCATGCCTGTAATCTCAACACTTTCAAAGGCTGAGGCGGGCGGATGACTTGAACTCAGGAGTTTGAGACCAGCCTGGCCAACATGGTGAAAGCCCATCTCTACTGTAAATACAAAAATTAGCCAAATTAGCCAGGCATGTTGGCAGGTGCCTATAATCCAGCTACTTGGGAGGCTGAGGCAGGAGAATCACTTGAACCTAGGAGGCGGAGGTTGCGGTGAGCTGAGATTATTGTGCCACTGCACTCCAGCCTGGGTGAGGCAGAACAAGACTCCATCTCAAAAAAAACCTATTTTGGGCCAGGTGCGGTGGCTCACACCTGTAATCCCAGCACTTTGGGAGGCCGAAGCAGGCAGATCACCTGAGGTCGGGAGGTCAAGACCAGCCTGACCAACATGGAGAAACCCCGTCTCTACTAAAAATACAAAATTAGCCCGGCGTGGTAGAGCATGCCTGTAATCCCAGCTACTTGGGAGGCTGAGGCAGGAGAATTGCTTGAATCTGGGAGGTGGAGGTTGCAGTGAGCTGAGATCGTGCCGTTGCACTCCAGCCTGGGCAAAAAGAAAAAACTATTTTGGATGAAATTTTTACAGGATTTTAGTCATTAGAATATTTTTGAGCCAAGTCGTTGACTGCTTTTCGTTATTTTGTTGTTGTTGTTTGTTGCTGTTTTTAAGTATTAAGAGATTTATCACAAGGAATTGGCTTACATGATTTATTGCAAGGAAATGGCTATGCAAGTCCAAAATCCATAGGGCAGGCTGGAACTGTTGGGCATGAGCTAAAGTTCTATCCTCAGCGAAAATGTATTCTTCAAGTAAGCCTCAGCTCTGCTCTTAAGGCCTCCAGTTTATTGAATCAGCCTACCTAGATTATCTAGAATAATCTACCTTAAAGTCAACTGATTGATTATAACCTTTAGTCACATCAACAAACCACCTTCACAACCAGACCTAGATTAGAGTTTCATTGAATAACTGTAGAATGTAGCCTAGCCAAGTTGACATAAAACTGACCATGACACACGTGTTACATTCATCATGCTATGTCCTTAACACTGAAGACAGCCTCTAGTGCATTTCTATATCTCCTTCCCCAGGTCCCAGGTACAGATAAACACACATAAGTTAAATGAGCAAGTCTACAGGCAAATATGCTTATCCTTTCATCATTCTACTTTTCATCACTCTCTTCTGCTGTGCCATACAACCCCACTGGTTCCTTTTTTAATTTTAATTTTAGATTCAGAGGGTACATGTGCGAGTTTGTTACAAGTGTGTATATTGCATGATGCTGAGATGTGGGCTTCTATTGACCCCATCACCAGATAGTGAACATAGTACCTAATAGAAAGTTTTTGAGCTCTTGCCTCTTCTTTCTTCCCTACCATTTGGAGTCCTCAGTGTATATTGTTCCCATCTTTATGTCTGTATGTATCCAGGGTTTAGCTCCCACCTATAAGTGAGAACATGCAGTATTTGATTTTCTCTTTTGGCATTAATTTGCTTAGGATAATGGCCTCCAGCTGCATCTACGTTGCTGCAAAGAACAGGATTTCATTCATTTTTATGGTTGCATAGTATTCCATGGTATATATTTACCACATTCTCTTTTTTTTTTTTTTTTGTCTTTCTTTTTTTATTTTTCACTGAGACGGAGTCTTGCTCCGTAGCCCAGGCTGGAGTGCAGTGGCGCAATCTTGGCTCACTGCAACCTCCGCCTCCCGGGTTCAAACGATTCTCCTGCCTCAGCCTCCTGAGTAGCTGGGACTACAGGTGCACGCCACCATGCCTGGCTAATTTTTGTATTTTTAGTAGAGATGGGGTTTCACCTTGTTGGCCAGGATGGTCTCCATCTCCTGACCTCGTGATCCTCCTGCTTCAGCCTCCCAAAGTGCTGGGATTACAGGCGTGAGCCACCGAGCCCAGCCTATATGTACCACATTTTCTTTATTTAATCCACTGTTGATGGGCACCTAGGTTGTTTCCATGTATTTGCTATTGATTGGCTACTCTTTGGAAATCAGAAGTATTTAGAGAAAATAACTTTTTACTGGCTAAAAATGAAAATTCTAATGGTATTTTATTTTATTTGTCACAGTTCCACTTCAAACATGAAATTGGGGCTTGTATAATCTTCTAACTTTCTGTTGTTTTTATTTTTGTTGTTTTGAGCCAGTGTCTCACTCTGTCTCCCAGGGTAGAGTACAATAGCATGATCTGGCTCACTGCAGCCTCGACCTTCCAGGCCCAGGTGATCCTCCCACCTCAACCTCCCGAGTAACTGGGACTACAGGTGCATGACACCATGCTCGGCTAATTTATTGTATTTCTTGTGGAGATAGTGTTTTGCCATGTTGTCCAGGCTGGTTTTGAATTCCTGGGCCCAAGCGACCCACCCACTTTGGCCTTCCAAAGTGCTGAGATTACAGGTGTGAGCCACCATGCCCAGCCTACTATTCTTACTTTCTATTTGATATCTGCTTGTTCCTTAATAATTAATGCTCTCATCTGGTGATTTGTACATTTCTAATTTTAATTTCCTTTTTTATTTCTGTTCATATTCAGGAGGAATAGTAACATGTCTTGATAAAGTTTTATATTAAAAACATACTTTCAAAGTTAGTCTCTTTCATTACCATTCAGAATAAATAGAAATGTACATAGGGACACACATTTTTCTTTTTGCTTCAGGCCCCAATGTGGCTAAGCACAGCACTGCTAGATCCTGTATTTATTTAAAATTTTGATATTTTGTTCATGGACTTTTTGAATTGATTTTAAATTTTTAAAAATATTGCATTTATTACTTCATGTCCATTAGAAGGTCTATAATTAAAAAGGCAGACAAATAAGTGTTGGCAAAATGTGGGGAATTTAAGACCCTCATACACTGCTGGTGGGAACATAAATAAGGAACAGTTACGCAGTTTCTCGAAAAGTTAAACATAGAGTTATCATATGACTCAGCAGTTTTAGTTATAGGAATATGCCCAAGAGAAATTAAAACATAGGTCCACACAGAAACTTGTTCATAACAGCACTATTTATAATAGCCAACAAGTAGAAACAACTCTAATGTCCATCAGCTGATGAATGGATAAACAAAATGTAGTATATCCACACAATGGAATATTATTTTATTTTATTTATTTAATTTTTTTGGAGACAGAGTCTCACTCTATTGCCCAGGCTGGAGTGCAGTAGTGTGATCTCAGCTCACCGCAGCCTCTGTTTCCCAGGTTCAAGTGATTCTTGTGCCTCAGCCTCCCAATTAGCTGGAATTACAGGTGTGTGCCACCACACCCAGCTAATTTTTGTATTTTTAATAGAGACGGAGTTTCACCATATTGGCCAGGCTGGTCTCGAACTCCTGACCTCAGGTGATCTGCTCACCTTGGCCTCCAAAGTGCTGGGATTACAGGCGTGAACCACTGCGCCCAGCCTCAATGCTGCCTTTTAAATATGATTTTACATCTCTTTTTCTTTTTCTTTTTCTTTTTTTTTTTTTGTGACAAGGTCTGGCTCTATTGCCCAGGCATGATCTTGGCTCACTGCAACCTCCACCTCCCACACTCAAACTATCCTCCCACCTCAGCCTCCCGAGTAGCTGGAACTACAGATACACACCACCACACTCAGCTAATTTTTGTAATTTTTTGTAGAGATAGGGTTTTGCCATGTTGCCCAGGCTGGTCTCAAACTCGTGAGCTCAAGCGATCTGCCCGCCTCAGCCTCCCAAAGTGCTGGGATTATAGGCGTGTACCATCGCGCTCAGCCTAAATATGAATTTCTTATGATCGATATATCTAACATTTACTGAATGCTTACTCTGTGTCTGGCTCTAGGGTATATAGAGGGGTATAGCAATAAAAAGAACAGGCCCCTGGCGCAGTGGCTCACGCCTGTAATCCCAGCACTTTGGGAGGCTGAGGTGGGTGGATCACCTGAGGTCAGGAGTTCAAGACCAGCCTGGCCAACATGCAAAACTCTCTCTCTACTAAAAATACAAAAATTAGCCAGGTGTGGTGGTATGTGCCTGTCATCCCAGCTACTTGGGAGGCTGAGGCAGGAGAATCACTTGAACCTGGGAGGTGGAGGTTGCAGTGGGCCGAGATTACACCACTGCACTCCAGCCTGGGCAACAGAGTGAGACTCCATCTCAAAAAAATAAAAATACAAATAAAAAGGACAGGCGTATTTCCTGGTTCTAATGAATTCACAGTCTGTCAGGCGAGATAAACTAGTAACGACCTGATTTTGTATAGTATAAGTATTATGATAAAGGGCATGAGATAAAGGCATTTTTTAAAAGTACAGTCACCTTTTTTTTTTTTTTTTTTTTTTTGAGGCAGAGTCTCACTCTGTCACCCAGGCTGGAGTGCAGTGGCATGATCTCGGCTCACTGCAACCTCCGCCTCCCGGGTTCAAGCAATTCTCCCTGCCTCAGCCTCCCGAGTAGCTAGGATTACAGGTGTCCGCTACCATACCTGGCTAATTTTTCTATTTTTTAGTAGAGATGGGGTTTTGCTTTGTTGGCCAGGCTGGTCTTGAACTCCTGACCTCAGGTGATCCGCCCGCCTTGGCCTCCCAAATTGCTGGGATTATAGGAGTGAGCCACTACACCTAGCCCACAGTCACTATTTTGGGAAGGTATTTTACTGTTTAGAAATTTCCATCAAAACTATCATTAAGTATCTCTGTCAGAAGATGACTATGACAATTTTTTTTTCTTTTTTTGAGACAGAGTCTCTCTCTGTCTCCCAGGCTGGAGTGCAGTGGCGCGATCTCAGCTCACTGCAACCTCCGCCTCCTGGGCTCAAGCGATTCTCCTGCCTCAGCCTCCCAAGTAGCTGGGATTACAGGCGCACACTACCACACCTGGCTAATTTTTGTATTTTTAGTAGAGAGAGGGTTTCACCATTTTGGCCAGGCTGGTCTCGAGCTCCTGACCTCAGGTGATCTGCCAGCCTCGGCCTCCCGAATTGCTGGGATTACAGGTGCCAGCGAACTATGACAATGTAGATTGAAAAACAGCCCCAGGCAGGACTAAACCTGCTTTTCCCACAAACTCTACAAATCATAACAAAAACAACCAACCCAGTCTTGAAATGCAGGGTAATGGAATACCCAAGGTACCACCCAGCATGAGCTTTCCTGGGATTACTCATATTTTGATCCAGATGGATGACAGAAAACTTCACAAGTGTAAATGCAAAGTGCACAATGTGAGATGACATCACCATGATGACAGAGCAGGAAATAGTGGCTTTCATCCCCTTATACACACACAAAAAACAAAGATAGCCAGCTATCCCCATGAAAAAGAATGAAAAAAAGCTTACAGGATTTATGATACAACCAAAAGAGCAAATATTCAAATTATAGGAATTAAGAAGGAGAAGGTAAGACAAAGAGGCCAAAATATTATTTAAAGAAACGATAGGTCAGTCTCGGTGGCTCACACCTGTAATCCCAGCACTTTGGGAGGCCAAGGCAGATGGATCACCTGAGGTCAGGAGTTCCAGACCAGCCTGGCCAACATGGTGAAACCCCGTCTCTACTAAAAATACAAAAATTAACCAAGCGTGGTGGTGGGCACCTGTAATCCCAGCTACTCGGGAGGTTGAGGCAGGAGAACCGCTTGAACCCTGGAGGCGGAGGTTGCAGCGAGCCGAGATCACGCCACTGCACTCCAGCCTGGGTGACAGAGCGAGATTCCATCTAAAAAACAAAAAGAAACAATAACAGAAAACTTGGGAAAGATATAAATATCCAAGTACAAGCAGGTCAAAAGTCCCCAGTTAGATTCAATCCAAACAAGACTATACCAAGACACATTGTAATTAAATTGTCAAAAATGTAGGACAAAAGAGGATCCTGAAAGCAACAAGAGAAAAGAAGCATATAAAACATAAGGGATATGGCCAGGCCCGGTGGCTCACGCCTATAATCCAAACACTTTGGGAGGCTAAGGTGGGCGGATCACCTGAAGCCGGGAGTTTGAGACCAGCCTGACCACATGGAGAAACCCCGTCTCTACTAAAAATACAAAACTAGCCGGGAGTGGTGGCACATGGCACATGCCTGTAATCCCAGCTACCTGGGAGGCTGAGGCAGGAGAATCACTTGAACCTGGGAGGCGGAGATTGCGGTGAGCCGAGATTGTGCCATTGTACTGCAGCCTGGGCAACAAGAGCAAAACTCCGTCTCAAAACAAACCGACCAACAAAACAAAACATAAGGGAGTTCTATTAAAGCTAGCAACAGACTTTTCTTTTTTTTTTGAGAAGGAGTTTCGTTCTTGTTTCCCGGGATGAGTGTGATGGCACTATCACGGCTCACTGCAACCTCTACCTCCCCGGTTCAGGCGATTCTCCTGCCTCAGCCTCCCAAGTAGCTGGGATTACAGGCATGCACCACCACACCTGACTAATTTTGTATTTTTAGTAGAGACAGGGTTTCTCCATGTTGGTCAGGCTGGTCTCGAACTCCCAACCTCAGGTGATCCGCCCGCCTTGGTCTCCCAAAGTGCTGGGATTACAGGCAGGAGCCACCGCACCCAGTGCTGCAACAGACTTTTGAGCAGAAACCTTAGAGGCCAGGAGAGAGTAGGATGATATATTCAAAGTACTGAAAAAGAAATACTGCCAATCAAGAATACTTTACTCAGTAAAGCTGTCCTTTAAAAAACTAGGAGAGGTAAAGACTTTACCATACAAAAGCTGAGGAAGTTCATCAGCACCAGACCTGTCTTAGAAGAAATGCTAAAAGAAGTTCTTTGGCTGGGCACGGTGGCTCACACCTGTAATCCCAGCACTTTGGGAGGCTGAGGCGGGTGGATCACTTGAGTTCATGAGTTCGAGACCAGCCTGGCCAGCATGGTGAAACCCCATCTGTACTAAAAATACAAAAATTAGCCAGGCATGGTGGTGTGTGCCTGTAATCCCAGCTACTCGGGAGGCTGTGGCAGGAGAATCGCTTGAACCTGGGAGGCGGAGGTTTCAGTGAGCCTAGATCGTGCCACTGCACTCTAGCATGAATGACAGAGCTAGACTCTGTCTAAAAAAAAAAAAAAAAATTCTTCAAGCTGAAAGAGAAGGATGCTAATTAGTAATATAAAAACACCTGGGCCAGGCAAGGTGGCTCACGCCTGTAATCCCAGCATTTTGGGAGGCCAAGGTGGGCAGATCACCTGAGGTCGGGGGTTCGAGACCAGCCTAGTCAACATGGTGAAACCCTGTCTTTACTGAAAGTACAAAAATTAGCCAGGCATGGTGGGGTGCACCTGTAATCAGAGGTACTCAGAAGGCTGAGGCAGGAGAATCCCTGGAACCTGGGAGGCGGATGTTGTAGTGAGCTGAGATCATGCCACTTCACTCCAGCTCGGGCAACAGAGCAAGACTCCATCTCAAAAAAACAAAAAACAAACAAAAAAACCCAAAAAAAACCCATGAAGGCATAAAACTAACTTTTAAAAGCAATTGCATAGTTAAATTCAGAATACTTCAATACTTTAATGTTGTTTAAATCACTTATATCTTTAGTATGAAGGTTATAAGACAAATCTATTAAAAACAATAATAGCTACAAAAATTTATTAATGTATACACAATAGAAAAATGTGTAAATGATAACATCGAAAGCATAAAATGTTAGGAGAGCACTAAAAGTGTTGATTTTTTTAATGTAATCAAACTTAAGTTTTTATCAATTTTATTTATTTATTTATTTATTTTTGAGACGGAGTTTTGCTCTTGTCGCCCAGGCTGAAGTGCAATGGCATGATCTTGGGTCACTGCAACCTCCGCCTCCCGGGTTCAAGCGATTCTCCTGCCTCAGCCTCCCGAGTAGCTGGGATTACAGTCACCTGCCACCACGCCTGGGTAATTTTTTGTATTTTTAGTAGAGACGGGGTTTCTCCATGTTGGTCAGGCTGGTCTTGAACTCCCAACCTCAGATGATCCACCCGCCTTGGCCTCCCAAAGTGCTGGGATTACAGGCATGAGCCACTGCGACCAGCCATTTTTACCAAGTTTAAATAGCTTGTTATACCTGTAAGATGTGACACACTAAGCTACCAGAATAAAAGACAAAACCCATGTAATCATCTCAACAGATATTAATACAGAAAAAGCATTTGCCAAAATTCAACTTCCTTTTATCAAAAAAACTCTCAAAAAATTAGGTATAGGAAAAATGCACCTCAACACAATAAAGGCCATATTCAACAAGCCCACAGCTAACATAATAATAAATGGCGAAAAGTCGAAAGCTTTTCCTCTAAGATCAGAAACAGGCAAGGATTACCACTCTTGTTGCTTATATTTAACATAGTAGTAAAACTGTGCTAGAGCAATTAGGCAAGAGAAAGCAATAAAAGGCATCCAAATTGGAAAGTTAAATTGTCTCTGTTAGCAGAGGACATGATCCTACATATGAAAAACCGTAAAGATCTACCAAAGACCTGTTAGAGCTAATAAACAAATTCAGTAAAGTTACAGGATACAAAATTAAAATAACAAACATTAGTAGCATTTCTGTACACTAACAATGAACTACCCATAAAAGAAATCAAGAAAACAATCCTATTTACAATAGTTAAACAAAAAATAAATAATAGTAAGTTCAACCAAGGAAGTAAAACTTTTTATACTAAAAAGTATAAAACATTGATGAGGCCAGGTGCGGTGGCTCACGCCTGTAATCCCAGCACTTTGGGAGGCCTAGGCGGGTGGATCACCTGAGGTCAGGAGTTCAAGACCAGCCTGGCCAACATGGTGAAACCCCATCTTTACTAAAAATACAAAAATTTGCTGGGCGTGGTGGTGCACGCCTGTTATCCCAGCTACTCGGGAGGCCGAGGCAGGAGAATCGCTTGAACCATAGAGGCGGAGGTTGCAGTGAGTCGAGATCGTGCCACTGCACTCCAGCCTGGGTGACAGAGAGCAAGACTGTCTCAAAAAAAAAAATAAATAAATAAAACCCCTTGATGAGATAAATTGAAGGCACAATTAAATGGAAATAAATCTTGTGTTTCTGAATTGGATGGGTTAATATTCTTAATGTGTCCATACTACCTAAAACAATCTCAAGATTCAATGCAACTGCCATCAAAATTCCAATGACATTTTTCACAAAAATAGAAAAAAAATCCTCAAATGTGTATAGAACTATAAAAAATCACAGATAGACAAAGTAATCTTGAACTAAAAGAACAAAGCTGGGCCAGGCGCAGTGGCTCATACCTGTAATCCCAACACTTTGGGAGGCTGAGGTGGACGGATCACCTGAGGTCGGGAGTTTGAGTCCAGCCTGACCAACATGGAGAAACCCCGTCTCTACTAAAAATACAAAATTAGCCAGTCGTGGTGGCACATGCCTTTAATCCCAGCTACTCGGGAGGCCGAGGCAGGGAGAATCGCTTGAACCCAGGAGGTGGAGGTTGCAGTGAGTCAAGATCACGCCATTGTACTCCAGCCTGGGCAACAAGAGCAAAACTCCATCTTAAAAAAAAAAAGAGAACAAAGCTGAAGACATCACACTACCTTTCCTCAAAATTGACTGCAAAGCTATAGTAACCAAAAGAACATAGTACTGGCATAAAAACAGACATATTAACCAATGGAATAGAAGAAAGAGTCCAGGAATAAATTCATGCACTTACAGTTTTTAATTTTTTTTTTTTTTCTGAGACGGAGTTTCGCTCTTGTTGCTCAGGCTGGAGTGCAATGGCGAAATCTTGGCTGACAGCAACCTCCACCTCCGGGGTTCAAGCGATTCTCCTGCCTCAGCCTCCCGAGTAGCTGGGATTACAAGCATGCCCCACCACGCCCAGCTAATTTTGTATTTTTAGTAGAGACAAGGTTTCTCCATGTTGGTCAGGCTGGACTCTAACTCCCGACCTCAGGTGATCCGCCCACCTCGGCCTCCCAAAGTGCTGGGATTACAGGCATGAGCCACCATGCCCGGCCTATAGTTTTTAATTTTCAGCAAATATAACAAGAACACACAATGGGAAAGGACAGCGTCTTCAACAAATGATCCTTTGAAAACTGGTTATCCACATGCAGAAGAGTGCAATTAGACTTTCATCTCACATCATATACAGAAACAAACTCAAAATGGGATTGAATTAAACATAAGACCTGAAACTGTAAAACTACCAGAAGAAAAAATAGGAGAAAAGTTCCATGAAATTGATCTGGGCAATTCTTTTTTGAGTATGAACCCAAAAGCACAGGCAACAAAAGCAAAACTACACAAGTGCTTTTGCACAGCAAAGGAACAAACCAACAGAATGAAGAGGCATCCTATGGAATGAGAGAAAATATTTGCTGACCATACATCTGATAAGGGATTTATTTTCAAAATATATAAGGAACTCAATTCAGTAATAAGAAAACAAATAACCTGATTAAAAAATTGGCAAGGGACATGAATAGGCCTTTCCCAAAAGAAGACATACAAATAGTCAGCAGATATATATAAAAAAGCTCAAGGCCAGGTGCAGTGGCTAATGCCTGTAATACTAGCACATTGGGAGGCCAAGGCAGGCAGATCACTTGAGGTCAGGAATTCGAGACCAGCCTGGTCAATATGGTGAAATGCCATTTCTACTAAAAAAAAAAAAAAAAAATTAGCCTGGCATGGTGGTGCATGCCTGTAATCTCAGCTACTCGGGAGGCAGGAGTATTGCTTGAACCTGGGAGGCAGAGGTTGCTGTAAGCCAAGATCACACCACTGCACTCCAGCCTAGGTGAAAGAGTGAGACTCCGTCTCAAAAAAACAAACAAACAAAAAAAAAGCTCAAAACCACTAATGATCATGGAACTGCAAATTAAAACCACAATGAGATATTACCTCATTGCTGTTAGAATGGCTATTATCAAACAGATGAAAGAGAACAAGTGCTGTCAAGGATGCAGAGAAAAGGGGACCCTTGTACACTATTGGCGGAAATGTAAACTGGTGCGGCCATTATGGAAAACAGTATGGAGGTTCCTCAAAAATTAAATTAACGGCCGGGCGCGGTGGCTCATGTCTGTAATCCCAGCACTTTGGGAGGCCGAGGTGGGCGGATCACGAGGTCAGGAGATTGAGACCATCCTGGCTAACACGGTGAAACCCCGTCTCTACTAAAAAAAATACAAAAAAATTAGCTGGGTGTGGTGGCCGGCGCCTGTAGTCCCAGCTACTCGGGAGGCTGAGGCAGGAGAATGGCGTGAACCCGGGAGGTGGAGCTTGCAGTGAGCGGAGATCGAGCCACTGCACTCCAGCCTGGGCGACTGAGCAAGACTCTGTCTCAAAAAAAAAAAAAAAAATTAAATTAACTACCATATGATCCAGCAATCCCACTACTGAGTATATATCCAAAGGGTATAAAGTCAGTATATTGAAGAGACATCTGCACTCCCATATTTATTGCAGCATTATTTACAATAGCCAAGATATGAAATCAACCTAAGTGCCCATCAGTGGATGAATGGATAAAGAAAATGTGGCATATATACCCAATAGTATACTATTCAGCCTTAAAGAGAAGGAAATGCTGTCATTTGTCATAACATGGATGACCCTGGAAGGCATGTTAAGTGAAATAAGCCAAGCACAGAAAGACAAATAGTGCATGATATCGTTTATGTGAAATCTAAAAAGTCAAACTCATAGAAACAGATATAGTATAGCATGGTGGTGATAACTACCCAGAGGGTGGGTGGTGTGTATTAGGGAGATGTTAGTCAGAGGACACAAAATCTGAGTTATACAGAAGGAATAGTTTAAGAGATCTATTGTACATCATGGTAACTGTGGGTAATAACAATATATTGTTTACTTGAAAATTGCCAAGAAAGTCGATTTCAAGTGTTTGCATCTCAAATAATGATGTATGTGAGGTAATGTATATGTTAAATAGCTTGATTTAGTCATTCCATAATGTGTGTGTATGTGTGTATGTACACACATACACATATCAAAACATCATGTTGTATACCATAAATTTATATAATTTTTACTTGTCAATTAAAAAATACATTAAAAATCAGAGTGCACAAAGAAGGGAGGGTATTGGGATTGGCACAGCACTATACAATTTACAAAGCATCTTTTCACCCACGATTTCATTGGATTGTCACAACTCTAAGTTTGGCAGCACAGAAATTGGTATTGTCATTTTACACATGAGAAAACTGAGGCTCAAATAAATGGTAGTTATGACTAGAACCTAGATTTTATGATCTTTTTACTACATCCGGCAGCTCCTCACACAGAGGAGCCAGTCTACGCTCATTTGGCTTGTAGTGCTGGAGCTATAAGAGATGTGACTGGATGAATTTCATTTTATATTCTCCCTCATACCCCTCAAAATCTGCTTTCCTAGATATTTCTAAAATGCAGCCAACATTGAAAAAGATGAAGGAGACATGAGTAAAGAGATCCTTTGCCAAATGATTCACACACATTATATTGGGATGTGCTAATGTTGTTCTTTACAAGTTGTTTTCCTTTTTGCCAGCTTCTGGATTTTTGCCAGTAAAATAGAATAATAAATGGTATTCTTGTTCACTCCTAAACAAAAACCTCAGACTATTCAAATGTGAACTGAAGAGCTCTATGCCTTCAGGATCATTATACTACAATTATTCAATGATTCTATTTTACAGAATTTACCCCAACCAACTACCATACACACATACACACAGAAAGACATTCATACCCTACAGAACACATACACCAAGCATAAACATGTATGGGTTTGAATAAAGGTTTGTCTCAAACTATTTCCCAAACATTTGGTGCTTGTTAAATTATTCTGCCTCAGGCAGTTTTGTGTAATTTTTTTCTTTTTTTGAGACGGACTCTCACTGTGTCGCCCAGGCTGGAGTGCAGTGGCACGATCTCAGCTCACTGCAACCACTGCCTCCCAGGTTCAAGCAATTCTTCTGTCTCAGCCTCCAGAGTAGCTGGGATTACAGGCGCCTGCCACCGCACCCGGCTAATTTTTGTATTTTTAGTAGAGATGGAGTTTCACCATGTTGGCCAGGCTGGTCTTGAACTCCTGACCTCAGATGATCCACCCGCCTCAGCCTCCCAAAGTGCTGGGATTACAGGCGTGAGCCACTACCCATGGCCTTTGTGTAAATTTTTGTAACTTTGTGTCATTTCAGGAAAATTCCTGACATGTATTTCTGATTTTTTGCATTTAACTCATCAAAACATCTAGAAAGAGCTATGTGTTGCTCCAACATCTCTTGTGCCTTGTGATATAGTTTGGATGTTCAAATCTCATGTTGAAATGTGATCTCCGATATTGGAGGCAGGCCTAGTGGGAAGTGGCTTGGTCATGGGGGTTGATCCCTTACAAATGGGTTGGTGCTCTCCCCATGTAATGAGTGATTTCTTCCTGTATGACTTCAGGTAAGATCTGGTTGTTTAAAAGAGTCTGGAACTTCCTCCCTTCTTTCTTGCTCCCTCTCACCACGTGATACACTGATTCCCTGTTTGCCTTCTGCCATAATCATAAGCTTCCTGAAACCTCACCAGAAGCCAAGCAGATGCTGGCATGATTCTTATACATCCCCCAGAACCATGACCCAAATAAACCTCTTTTCTTTATAAATTACCCAGTCTCTGATATTCCTTTATAGCAATGCAAAACAAACTAACATATTTTCTTCAATAGCCTTTTAAGTCATCATTTTCTATTCTTTTTTTTTTTTCTTTTTGAGACAGAGTCTCGCTCTTTTGCCTAAGCCGGAGTGCAGTGGCACTATCTTGGCTTGCTGCAAGCTCCGCCTCCCAGGTTCATGCCATTCTCCTGCCTCAGCCTCCCGAGTAGCTGGGTCTACAGGTGCCCACCACCATGCCCAGCTAATTTTTGTATTTTTAGTAGAGACGGGGTTTCACCATGTTGGCCAAGCTGTTCTCGAACTCCTGACCTCAAGTGATCCACCCGCCTTGGCCTCCCAAAGTGGTGGGATTACAGGCGTGAGCCACTGCGCCCAGCCCATTTTCTATTCTTAAAACTAGGCCAATCTGTGTCAAGGATGTCCACTTTTTTTTCTTTTAAGAGATGGGGTCTTGATATGTTGCCCATGCTGGATTCAAACTCCTGGGCTCAAGTGATCCTCCAACCACAATCTCCTGAGTAGCTGGGACTACAGGCATGCACCACCATGCCTGACTTTCCATTCATTTTTGATATACCAGAGTACTGCACAAACAGGCCATGCTATTTGGATTTGGTTTGGATTTAAATTTGACCAAAGAGTGAAAAACAAAATTCTAAATTTAGTCACATAACTTCACTTGGGTATTTAGCTTCCCAATCAGATAGATCATCTTCACACTCTGAACTTAGGTTATAAGCATATCCCTGAGACTGAAATTTTAAAACTTATCTTCAGGTTCACTCTCCTAACATTTACACACTCTTCCACTTTAAAGAAACAAACAGAATTGCTCTTCTTTGGTGACCACAAATAAAGATATCAGGCTTCTATTGAATCGGATAGGATTTATATTAGATAAAAACATCCTAACTTGGCCTTAGATGAGAGAATCTTTGGGTACAGTAGGTTAAGGATGGCTCTAATATTCCAAGATTATAAATACCTGGATGCTAAAATAACTCAAGCTTTAGAGATGAACAGATTTAGATTTGCTAGTAGGGTTAAGGAAGCTGTGTATATAGTGTGCCAGGTATTATCTTAAGAGCTTTACATATATTTACTTTTTAATTGTGCAGCAACCCTATGAGGTTGTACTATTAATCCATTTTACAGATGGGAAAGCAGTAGGCACTGAGAGGTTAAGCAATTTACCCAAAATCACATAACTGGAAAGTAACAGAACTAGAATTTAAACACAGGCAACCAGGATCTAGAGCCATGATATTAACTACTGTGCTATATGATCTTGCTAAAAGACCGGTTCCTTCTCTCCCCTTCATTCGCCCAAATATCAGCTCTCAGGTGACTGGAACTCTACAATTATATACATACACACACACTTTTTTTATTTTTATTTTTTTTGAGACAGAGTTTCGCTCTTGTTGCCCAGGCCAGAGGGCAATGGCGTGATCTTGGCTGACTGCAACCTCAGCCTCCTGGGTTCAAGTGATTCTCCTGCCTCAGCCTCCCGAGTAGCTGGGATTACAGGTATGCACCACCATGCCCAGCTAATTTTGTATTTTTAGTAGAGACAGGGTTTCTCCATGTTGGTCAGGCTGGTCTCGAACTCCCAACCTCAGGTGATCCTCCCACCTCGGCCTCCCAAAGTGCTGTGCTGGGATTACAGGCGTGAGTCACCGTGCCTGGCCTTATATACACACATTTTAATAGAGTATAAAGCTTTAAAGGGTATATATCTCCATTGATTTAAAGCTTTATATTCTATTAAAAGGTATATAGTCTTTTCAGAACAAATAGGTTTTGTTCTCCAAACTTGCTTTTAAGTTTTTGGGAACTCAGAATGCATTTTCCCATGGAAGAAAATGATATACATGTTTAGTAGTCAGGGTTCTCCAGAGTAATGGAACCAAGACAACTGGTTTTCCTGGGTCTCCAGCTTGCAGTTGGCTAACCATGGGACTTGGAGAGAGAGAAAGAGAGATTGACAGAGAGAAATTGGTTCATGTGATTATGGAGGCTGAGAAGTCCTATGATCTGCCATCTGCAAGCTGGAGACCCAGGAAAACCAGTGGTATAGTTCAATCCTAGTCCAAAGGCCTGAGAAGGCAAGGGTGGTTGATGGTGTAATTCTAAGTTTGGGTGCAGAAGACTGATGTCCCTCCTCAAGCAGTCAGTCATAGATTGCAAATTCACCCTTATTCCACCTTCTTGTTCTGTTCATGTCCTCAAGAATTGGATGATGCTTATTCACATGGGGAAGGGCAATCAGCTTCACTCTGTCTACTGATTGAAATGCTAATCTAATCTGGAAACACCCTCATGGACACATCCAGTAGTGTGTCTAACCAAATATCTGGAGACCTATTGATCCAGTTAAGCTGACACATGAAATTAATCATTACAACATTAAATTCTCAAGCCAAACTGTGAAAATCTATTTAACTCATGTAAAACTGAGCCTTAGAAACACAGTCCTGATTTAAGTGCTGGGTGCTAGAAGGTCCTGTTGTTTATGGGCTGAGACATAGGAAGAAAAAAGGAAGAGAGTTACCTTCCACCTTCTTGGGTAGAGCCAGTTCATCAGCAAAATATTCAAATAGGTAAGTTTGCTTTTGGTAGCCCATTGCTTTATAGAGCCCTTCTCCCCAGACCCTTGAATGCCAATACCCTCAGGCTCATCCCAGGAGATCACATTTGTATTAGTTTCTATTGTTGCATGGCAAAAGAATACAAACTGAATGGCTTAAAATAACAGCCATTTATTAGCTCACAGCTGCTATGGATCAGGAATCTGGCATAGCTTAGCTGGATCCTCTGTGGAGGTCTCAAGGCTGAAACGAAGATGTCAGCCAGGGTTGCAGTTCTGATCTGGGTCTCAGGGTCTTCTTCCAAGCTCATTCGGGTTGTTGGCAGAATTCAATGCCTTTCATATGTAGGTCTGAGGTTTCCATTTTCTTGCAAGCTGTCAATTAGTGGCCATTTTCATCTCCAAGAGGCTACCCATATTCCTTTCCACCTATCCCTCTCCATTTTCAAACCAGCAACAGAGAATTTCTCAAGCATCAAATCCCACTAATACTTCAAGTCTCTGACTTCTTCATCTGTGACTAGTTGGAGAAAACTTTCTACTTTTAAAGAGTTTGTGTGGTTAGATCAGACCCACCCAGATGGATACTCTTCCAATTATATAGTCAAGTGATTTAGCATCTTAATTTCATCTGGAAAAATCCATTCACAGCAGTACCTATACTACCATTTGATTGAATAACTGGAACTAAGGGAGGAGACCACCCCTCATATTGTCTTATGCCCAATTTCTGCCTCCAAAAAAAGAAAAAGTAAAAAGTAAAAGGCAGAAATGAAATCCACAAGTAGACAGCCCAGTGCCACACCCTGGGCCTGGTAGTTAAAGATGGACCCCTGACCTAATCGGTTATGTTATCTATAGATTACAGACATTGTATAGAAAAGCACTGTGAAAATCCCTATCCTGTTTTGTTCTGATCTAATTACCGGTGCATGCAGCCCCCAGGCACGTACCCGCTGCTTGCTCAATCGATTACGACCCTCTCACGCGCACCCCCTTAGAGTTGTGAGCCCTTAAAAGGGACAGGAATTGCTCACTCAGGGAGCTCAGCTCTTGAGACAGGAGTCTTGCCGATGCCTCCGGCCGAATAAACCTCTTCCTTCTTTAACTCGGTGTCTGAGGAGTTTTGTCTGCGGCTCGTCCTGCTACAGAACAAGGTGTGTATGCGAAAGGGACTCAATAATCTTGTGGGGCCATCTTAGAATTCTGCCTACTTACACCATTGAAGTCTGCTAAGCCCCACAGAGTGGAGTACCCTTTCTATCACAACTGAAACTCTCAGTTTCTCAGCTATCCTAATATTCACTGTGTCATCAGGAAAAGTAAGCTGATTAATTGCCTTTAAGCAATGAGCACTCATTTGGCAAAGCAACACCAATAAGCAAGGGTCTGGTAACTGCCCTAGTCCTCCTAGATGTTGTTTGTATACATTAAAATAAAGTGCTTATTTATCTCAATGTGTTTCCATATAGTATATCTTCAGGCAGAATTAAAAAGTTTTGAAAATAATTCAAGCTATGTGAGAAAAGATATTTTGGGGCAGAAAGCCATCATATAGTCAGGCAAGACCTATTTGGGAACATACACCTACCCTCTTCCTGTCTCCTAAACTGTTCTGGTCATCATAGCTTTGTCCCTTTCTCCCACAGATTTTCTACAAAATCGTTTTTTTTGTTTTTTTTTCCTGAATAGCTCAACTGCCAGTGTTACTGGGGGGCCTTTGAGAAGGGAGAGGAAAGTAAGAGAGAGGAAAGCAAGAGATG
Organism: Homo sapiens; assembly: GCF_000001405.40. Lineage (NCBI taxonomy): Eukaryota > Metazoa > Chordata > Mammalia > Primates > Hominidae > Homo > Homo sapiens. Next base: position 73,917,710 of record NC_000023.11, on the reverse strand, counting down.
GCAGTTAATTTTATGGAAGTATCATTTTTGAATCAAGCATTTGTAAGTTAGAGATTGTCCAAAATATTATTTCAGAGGCTGTAGGAAGTCTCCTTGCCCTGTAAGTGACTTCACATAACAGTTCACAAATGTCTCAGGGAAACAAGACATAAAACCTCTCTTATCTTTTGTTAGGGCCTTGAGAGCAGAGCTTAAATTCCCAAGGGCACTTGTCATTTCCTGGAGAGGCTTTCTTCATCTTATACAAAGGAAAGGAATGTTCATCTGTCTCTGTTGGTCAAAGTTCAACTCAAGCTTTCAGTTGTTTTTTTCTTCTCCTGAATTTTCAAGTACATGTTGGGGCCTATTTTTGTTTCACTGAATTTTACATATGACCACAAGCAAAATCAGGAATTTAATTCATAATCTAACTGCCAAACTCCTTCATATTTCTTGTACTTTGATTTACACTGCTAGATACTCTGGAGTTACAAAGATATAGAATACCATTTTTGCGCTCAAAAAGTTTATAACCCAGTAGACAGCTGGAACATATAGAAGTAAAAGTTCAGCTGAGGCTATAAATACCAAATAGCAGCCCATTGCTTCTTGGATAAGGTCCAAGCTCTTTACCCTAGAAGTCAAGCCATTTCTGTGTGTCTGTGGCTGCTCCAGCTTCATTTCTCACTACTTTGTCTCTATTTCACCCAAAACCCCACAGTGTCCTACTATACTCATTCTGTATATCTTTACCTTTGCCTAGGCTGCCTTTGTCTCTCTGCCCCGCCACCACCCCATTCTTCTTCACCCCTTTAAATTTTACCCATCCTAGTCTTGAAACCTCTCTTGACCATACAAATCATCCCCTTCTCTGAACTGTAACATTTACTACAATTACCATTCATTTTGCCCTTGGAATACAACTGATTTGTGTGGGAGCTGTTTTTATTCACTTTAGTCTTTTCTCTCCACTTACATCTGAAGAGGTTTAAGAGACTAAATTTTTCAATCTCTGTATTTCCCATAACAAAGCCTGGTTCAGTGTTCAGTTAAGGCTTGGTTAATTACCCTGATCAGAGTAAGAAAGAGAGTGAAGACTGCTGAGAAATGGCTTTGTAAAGGACATTGAGGACCTCTTAGAGAAGAATGTATCCATTGCTCACAAAATATTCACTCTAGGTAGCTCTTTTGGATAGAAAAGCCACAACAGGGTTGAATTTTTCCCTCAGAAGAATAAACCTATTTCCATAGTAAATTTGACCAAGTTGTCCTAATGAAACTAGACTGCAGAGTTTGGACCACGTCTTCTCTTGATCTTACCCCTACTCCATCCATTAGGAAGGACAAAGCCTAGCTTTAAAGCAGTTCATTCCTAAAAATAAAATGATTTTAACAGAAATTTAAAAGTTGTCCTGTTATAGTAACTTGCAGAAATGAATCCAACCTGATGCTTGAAGTAAGAAAGAGAGGACAGGGTCCTAGGGCCTTCCCCTTAACCACTATTTCTCTTGCTTTTAGAAATCTCTAACAAAACCTTAAGCTCCCTGAGTACAGAGACCCTATCTTACTTATAACTTTAATTTACATATCAGGGCCTAGCACTGTGTGCTGAAAACATATCGTCATACTCAGCAAAGGCTTATTGAAATAAACACAGACACTTAAATGTTACAGATCAACGGTGTCCAGTGTTAGGAGCAGAAAGAGAATATACGTTTTGAGAAATCAATTAACCACACACAATCATTGCCTCATTCAAGACAATGTGGTTGCTGCTTTAGGGGATAGAGAGATCAGTAATACAAGATCCCTGCCCTGCATGAGTTCATAATCTCATTGGGAAGACAAGTCATACTCAATTCCAAAAGAAAATCAGCTTAGCATAAAAAAAAGAATTGGACTAGAAGTTAGGAGTAGTGCTGGGGTTCCATCGGCTATTGGCTTACTTGTGATCTTCAACAACCTCTCTGGACATGTTTGGTCCTCCCTGCTTCACCTGAATCATAGGGTTATTTAATAGTTCAGATAAATTAGAGAATTTACTCATATGTAAAAGTGTAAAATACTTGGCCTGGCTCGGTGGCTCATGCCTGTAATCCCAGCACTTTGGGAGGCCGAGGCAGGCGGATCACCTGAGGTCAGGTGTTTGACACCAGCCTGACCAACATGGAGAAACCCCGTCTCTACTAAAAATACAACATTAGCCAGGTGTAGTGGTGCATGCCTGTAATCCCAGCTACTCGGGAGGCTGAGGCAGGGGAATTGCTTGAACCTGGGAGGCGGAGGTTGCAGTGAGCCGAGATCGCACCACTGCACTCCAGCCCGGCGACAGAGCAAGACGTCGTCTAAAAAAAAAAAGGAGGAAGCAGATCCCACATGGAGAAATAAAAACTCCTTTAAGCTTTCCTCTACCCTCTCCCCACTTCCCATCCTGGAATACCTCCAATTTATTCCTGTTCTTTTCTTCCAGTCTTTGCATCTGTCCTTCCGATTGGGTCACAGCATTAAAAGAGGTGAGCCATCCAACCCTGAACCTTCTAAGGAAGGAGCAATTTCTCCAAATCTCCATGAGCCTCTCTCCCCCAGCAAATCCACCCAATGATGTGAGGTTAGAGGAAAAAGCCTTCTGATAGAGTGAGGATGGGGTTAGGCAAACCATCACACAGGCAACTGGTGCAACAGCAAGACTTCCTAACAACTAAGAGCTAGGCCTACATGGGAAATGACACAACTGGCAGTGACATATGTGATTCAGTGAATGTTGATCCCTGCTAGTATGAAAGCTACAGCCACAGCTTTCTTTACTTGGTAGAGCCCTGGAGGCCATAATTACCCCACAGAGCTTCAGACTGCTGTTTTACTATGGACAGATTTTCTCCATTTATGAGGTTTTTAGGTGACTGAAATTTTCTCTGATTGGCACAAAAGTATACTTTTTCAGTCAGAAAAGGCTGTCTAGGAAAGACATAGGATATATATATATATATTTTTTTCCTCTGTATGTGTTTCTATCTACTGTGTGTGAATATGTATCTAATGTGCTTATGTGTGTGTATTTAGAATATAGTGTGTATGGCTATGACAGAAAAATTTTTAACTAAGTTGCATTTAGTGTTGCTCTCCTGGGACTCTGGGAGTGATGTCAATAATTTTTTCTAGGAAGTGATTAAATAGGCCTCAAGAATTATTTTTCTCAAATTTTCTTTTTACTTTTGGTTTGAGACAGAGTCTTACTCTGTCACCCAGGCTGGAGTGCAGTGGCGCAATCATGGCTCGCCGTCGCCTTGACATCTAGGCTCAGGTGATCCTCTCATCTCAGCCTCCCAAGTAGCTGGGACTGCAGGTGTGTGCTACCACACTTGGCAATTTTTGTATTTTTTTTTTTTGAGATGGGGTCTAGCTCTGTCGCCCAGGCTCTAGTGCAGTGGTGCAATCTCGGCTCACTGCAACCTCTGCCTCCCAGGTTCAAGCAATTCTCCTGCCTCAGCCTCCTGAGTAGCTAGGATTACAGGTGCCCACCACCACGCCTGGCTAAGTTTTGTATTTTTAGTAGAGACAGGGTTTCACTGTGTTGGCCAGGCTGGTCTCGAACTCCTGACCTCATTATCCGCCCGCCTCGGCCTCCCAAAGTGCTGGGATTATAAGCGTGAGCTACCACACCCAGCCTAATTTTTGTATATTTTGTAGAGACGGGGTTTTGCCATGTTGCCCAGGCTGGTCTCGAACTCCTGGGCTTAAGCAATCTGCCTTCCTTGGCCTCTCAAAGTGCTAGAATTATAGATGTGAGCCACCACGCCTGGCCTTTTCTCAAATTTTCTAGTTTGGTACTTTAGCAAGCCGGCAGAAGATTTGTTAGCACTTCCAAAAGACAAGAGAGGTACTGTGCCAGAAGCCTCAGGGGCAAAAGTCTATTGGTAGACTCCCGGCAATCAGGCTCAGCTAATCCTCTCCCTTATGAAGCTTTCCTTTCTTGGACCTTGGCAGTGGTCCAATCACAACACCAATATCCACTGAATTTCCTACGACAGATACACGGGAAAGCTAACTATTTAAAGGCTATTCTGGGAAGTATCAAGCTAGCCCTTATATCCCAAAAGTATAGCCAGGTATCCAACCCTATGACTAGACCAAAGGCACTGTACTGGTGGCACCAGTAGAAAGGGAGAAGTAAGCCTTCAAAAAAATCAGGTTAAACTGAATTCTTGTATCCCTCCTTTCCTGAGAGATATATCTCTCTCAGGTGCCCTGTCCAACTCTACCCCCACAGCAATTTCTTCACTGGACATTAAAACCTTATCCATTTCCTGGCTGTTAATGGATTGTGGATCCTTTTCCCACTCAGGCAGCTATTTCAGTTCTGAAGACTCTTAGAAATTGTGTGTCGAGCTCCCTCAACTTTCATCCAGAAAATGGAATTTCATAACATGGAAGGGGTTTGCTAAAGTTATGCAGCAAGTTGTAGAACTGGACATGTCTCCTGATTCCTTGATGCATGGTTTCTACTACAAGGTTCTCCAACTTGTGGCCTGGAGGCCACATGCAGCCCGGGACAACTTTGAATGTAGCCCAACACAAATTTGTAAACTTTCTTACAACATCATGAGATTTTTTTGTGATTTTTTTTTTGGTACATCAGCTATCATTAGTAGAGTGAATGTATTTTATGTGTGGCCCTAGACAATTCTTCTTCCAATGTGGCCCAGGGAAGCCAAAAGATTGCACACCCCTATACCACAACATAGTGAGTCTTAAACTTTGTTCTCTCTATCATGTGTATTATATTCCCTCTGGCTTTCCATGGATGAGGAGCAGATCTATCTCCAAGTTTAGGATACCTCCTCTGTGGCTTTGTATGTAAGAGCTGTTTCTATCAGTCTCCTCTTTGGATTAGCTGTATATATGTCACACTGGCTTCAGCAAAAACTCGTTTTCTTGTCAAGGTCTCAAGTGCCCAATACAAGGAAAGAGAGGGCTTTCTCAGTCGCAGCCTTGGAAGGGGGCCCTTCCCTATGTAACTCTTCTCATGGATTCCCTAGGAATTTAATAAACCAGCCCCTGGAAGAACAACTGGTTCTAAAACTACAAGAAGTGTGATGGTAGTTCAAAGCCACATATAGAGGTCCAGATACCTCAATATTAAAGCTAAGAACTGAGAATGAAAGCCAGAGGTTCTAAATGGGGAGCAGAAGATATTCTTTTTCTTTTTTCTTTTTCTTGAGACAGAGTCTCACTCTGTCGCCCAGACTGGAGTATAATGGCGTGATCTCGGCTCACTGTAACCTCCTCCTCCTGGGTTCAAGCAATTCTCCCTGCCTCAGCCTCCCGAGTAGCTGGGATTACAGGCATCTGCCACCACGCCCGGCTAATTTTTGTATTTTCAGTAGAGATGGGGTTTCTCCATGTTGACCAGGCTGGTCTCAAACTCCTGACCTTAGGTTATCTGCCTGACTTGGCCTCCCAAAGTGTTGGGATTACAGGCATGAGCCACTGCACCTGGCCAAAGATATTTCTTGCTTGAAACCTCCTCTTCCAGCTGGGTGTGGTGGCTCACGCCTGTAATCCTAGCACTTTGGGAGGCTGAGGTGGGCGGATCACCTGAGGTCAGGAGTTTGAGATCAGCCTGGCCAACATGATGAAACCCCATCTCTACTAAAAAATACAAAAGAAAAACATTAGCTGGGCGTGGTGCTGCGTGCCTGTAATCCCAGCTGCCTGGGAGGCTGAAGCAGAAGAATCGCTGGAACCTGGGATGTGGAGGCTGCAGTGAGCTGAGATTGTGCCACTGCACTCCAGCTTAGGCCACAGAGCAAGACTCCATCTCAAAAAAAAAAAAAAAGAAAAAAAAAGAAACCTCCTCTTCCTGTGTCACTAAATTTCTTGATTATTTCTAAATTTGCAGTTTTGTGGTCTTTTTTGTTATTTCTTATGGAAGCAAAAACCCTCTGAAAGAATCCATCCCTTCATACCACCTGATGCCTCCCCATCTGACCATATTGGCCTTTAGCTTAGAGAAGGTGGGATTGGGTCCCCCTACTGCTCAGTACGTCAGGAAATACCTCACTTGTGGCTTAGTCTTTAGGTGTTTTCTTTCCTCCTCTCCATCTTATACATTTATTTGTGAAGTTCAAGATATGACATTGCTTCTGAGATTTGGTTTGATTTTCCCTTTTTTTCCTCAAGATGTTCCCAGTGGCCTCCTCTCCAAAACTGGTACACAACTCGATGTCATGGTCTAATGGTTCTGAATTCACATTGTCTCTGTTTCCCCAACTCCTGTTATGTTTTCTTGCTTCTGTTTGTTAGCTATTTTTCTCTGCCTAACCTCTTTCCTCCATCACCCAGGTTGACTCTATGGGCTATTCATGATAAAATGAAAAAGAAAGCTAGGCGCAAGACAGCATGTTAAGGCCAAGTACGGTGGCTCACGCCTGTAATCCCAGCATTTTGGGAGGCTGAGGAGGGCGGATCACCTGAGGTCAGGAGTTCAAGACCAGCCTGACCAATGTGGAGAAACCCTGTCTCTACTAAAAATACAAAATTAGCTGGGCGTGGTGGCACATGCCTGTAATCCCAGCTACTCGGGAGGCTAAGGCAAGAGAATTGCTTGAACCTGGGAGGCAGAGGTTGCGGTGAGCCGAGATCACGCCATTGCACTCCAGCATGGACAACAACAGTGAAACTCTGTCTCAAAAGAGAAAAAGAGAGAGAGAAAAAAAGATAGCATGTTAATATCTCTAGCCAGGCACAGTGGCTCATGCCTACAATCCCAGCACTTTGGGAAGCTAAGGTGGGTGGATTGCTTGAGCCCAGGAGTTTGAGACCAGCCTGAGCAACATGGTGAAGTCCCATCTCTACAAAAATTACAAAAATTAGCTAGGCAGGGTGGCGTGCACTTGTAGTCCCAGCTACTTGAGAGGCTGAAGTGGGAAGATGGCTTGAGCCCAGGAGGTTGAGGCTGCAATGAGCCGTGATTGTGCCACTGCACTCCAGTCTGAGTGAAAGAGTAAGACCCTGTCTCAAAAACAAAGAAAAGTCCCCCCCACCCAAAAAAAACCCACCCAATATCATTCTCTAGCATGGTAACAGCTAAATTCCCATAAATGTGTGTATATGCATGCATGTGTGTAGGGTAGTGTTTGGGTACTAAATTTTAACATTTTCTGTCACAAGTAGATGTCAGAGGAAGAGTCATTAAATAAAAAATATATCCTGCTTTTCAATGAAATGCATTATTGTCTTTTAGTGAGCCTGTCACTTTGACCGAAATACCATTTTTCTGAAACTCATACAATTTGTATTTCTGGTAAGAAATAAGATGGGAAAAAAGCTGAATAAAATTCATTTCTTTATTAAAGAGTGTCTGCTCTGTGCCAAGCACTGGGACTGGAGCCAATGACATATTCATGTAAGAATAAGCTATAGCCTCTGCTCTCAAAGATACAGCACTGTAAGCATCCTAGTAGTCAAAATGCTAGAAGAGTTGAGAGAAAGGAACAATCACGTATGATGTGGTTATCAGAGACTGCTAAAAGGAGGAAGTAAGACTTGAATTGGTCTTTTGATTGAAATGGAAGGGATTACATTTGATTGAAATGGAAGGGATTACATTGCATGTAAAAGCATAGACGTGAATCTGACAAAGACATAACAAAAGAAGAAAACTACAGGCCAATATCCCCAATAAACACAGATGCAAAAATCCTCAAAAAACACTACCAAACCAAATCAAAAAGTTAATTCACCATGATCAAGTGGGCTTTATTCCTTGGATGCAAGAATGGTTCAGCATATGCAAATTAACAAATGTGCTTCACCACATAAACAAAATTTAAAACGAAAACCATATGATCCTTTCAACAGACACAGAAAAAGCATTTGATAAAATTCAACATTCCTTAATAATAAAAACCCTCAACAAACCAGTCATTAAAAGACCGTATCTCAAAATAATAGGAGCCATCTATGACAAACCCACAGCCAACATCATGCTGAATAGGCAAAAGTTGGAAGCATTACCTCTAAGAACTGGAACAAGACAAGGATGCACACTCTTGCCACACCTATTCAACATAGTACTATAAGTCCTAGCCAGAGGAATCAGGCAAGAGAAAGAAATAAAAGGTGTCAGCCAGGCGTGGTGGCTCACGCCTGTAATCCCAGCACTTTGGGAGGCCGAGGCGGGTGGATCAAGAGGTCAGGAGATGGAGACCATCCTAGCTAACACAGTGAAACCCCGCCTCTACTAAAAATACAAAAAATTAGCTGGGTGTGGTGGCAGGTGCCTGTTGTCCCAGCTACTCGGGAGACTGAGACAGGAGAATGGCATAAACCCGGGAGGTGGAGCTTGCAGTGAGCAGAGATCATGCCACTGCACTCTAGCCTGGGAGACAGCCAGACTCTGTCTCAGCAAAAAAAAAAAAAAAGAAAAGAAATAAAAGGTGTCTAAATAAAAAAAGAGGAAGTCAAATTCAAATTATCTCTTTGCTAATGATATAATTCTATACCTAGAAAATCCTAAATATTCCCCCCAAAAACTCCTAGGCCTGATAAATGACTTCTGTAAAGTCTCAGGATACAAAATCAATGTACAAAAATCTATAGCATTTCTATATACCAATAATGTTTAAGCTCAGAAACAAATCAAGAATGCAATCCCATTTACAATAGGCACACACACATATACAACAATACATAGGAATACACCTAACGAAGGCAGTGAAAGATCTCCATGAGAAGAACTACAAAACACTGCTGAAAATAATCACAGACAGCACAGACAATTGGAAAAGTATTCCATGCTCATGGGTTGGAGGAATTAGTATCATTGAAATGTCCATATTGCCCAAGGCAATATAGAGATTCAACACTATTCCTATCAAATAGCCAATGTCGTTTTTACAGAATCAGGAAAAACCTATTCTAAAATTCATATGGAACCAAAAAAGAGCTGGAATAGCCAAGCCAATTCTATGAAAAAGAATAAAGCCGGAGGGAGGCGGAGCTTGCAGTGAGCCGAGATCGTGCCACTGCCCTTCAGCCTGGGCGACAGAGTGAGACTCCGTCTCACACAAAAAAAATAAATAAATAAAATAAAAAGAATAAAGCTGGAGGGATCACACTACCCAACTTCAAACAATACTACAAGTAACCAAAAACAAATGGTACTGGTACGAAAATAGACACATGGACCAATAGAACATAATAGAGAACCCGGAAATAAAGTCACATAGCTACAACCAACTGATCTTTGACAAACTCAACATGTATAAACAATGGGGAAAGGACACCCTATTCAATAAATGGTGTTGGAAAAACTGGGTAGCCATATGCAGAAGATTGAAACTGGACCCCTATCTATCAGCATGTATGAAAATTAGCTCAAGATAGATTAAATACTTCAATATAAGATCTAAAATTATAAAAATCCTGGAAGAAAACCTAGGAAATACTCTCTTTGATATTGGTCTAGGCAAAAAAAAAAAAAAAATTATCACTAGGTTCTTAAAAACAAATGCAATAAAACCAAAAATTGAACAAGTGGGACCTAATTAAACTAAAGAGCTTCTGCACAGCAAAATAAATTACCAACAGAGTAAACAGAAAAAATGGGATAAAATATTTACAAACTATGATTCTGGCAAAGGACTAATATCCAGGATCTATAAGAAACTTAAATCAACAAGTAAAAGACAACCCCATTAAAATGTGGGCAAAAAACATGAACAGACCCTTCTCAAAAGAATACATTCAAGTGGCCAGCAAACATATTAAAAAAAGTTCAGGCCAGGCGCGGTGGCTCATGCCTGTAATCCCAGAACTTTGGGAGGCCAAGGTGGGCGAATCACGAGGTCAAGAGATCCAGTCCATCCTGGCCGACATGGTGAAACCCCATCACTACTAAAAATACAAAAATTAACAGGGTGTAGTGGCTCATGCCTGTAGTCTCTGCTACTCGGGAGACTGAGGCAGGAGAATCACTTGAACCCAGGAGGCAAAGGTTGCAGTGAGCCAAGATCGCACCACTGCACTCCAGCCTGGTGACAGGGCAAGACTCGGTCTAAAAAAGAAAAAACAACAAAGTTCAACATCACTAATCATCAGAGAGATACAAATCAAAATGACAATGAAATACCAGCTCACACAAATCAGAATGGCTATTAATTATTAAAAAGTAAAAAGGTTGTAGAGAAAGGGAGTGCTTATACACTGTTGGTGGGGATGTAAATTAGTTTAGCCACTGTGGAAAGTATTTTGGAGATTTCTCCAAGTAGAAAAAAATAGGACTACCATTCGAGCCAGCAATCCATTAATGAGTATATACCCAAAGGAAACAAATCATCTACCAAAAAGACACCTGCACTCATATGTTTATCTCAGCACTATTCACAATAGCAAAGACATGGGATCAACCTAGGTGCCCATCAATGGTAGATTGGATAAAGAAAATGCACATATACACCATGGAATACTATGCAGCCATATAAAAGAATAAAACCATGTCCTTTGCAGCAATATGGATGCAGCTGGAAGTTAGGATTAGAGGGGTGAGTCACTGCTGCCAGCCAACATGCTTTTCTATGTAGAAAATTCCAAAGAATCTCCAAAAAATTTCATAGAATTAATGAGTTCAGCAATGTCACAGACTACAAAATCAACATACAAATATCAACTGAATTTCTACATACTGACAATGAATATGTAAATACTGAAATTAAAAACACAACATTTACAACCATTCCAAGGAAAATGAAATCACACTCACGTATAAACTTAACATGTACTGGACCTATATGCTGAAAATTAAACAATGCTGATGAAAGAAATTTTAAAAGAGCTAAATAATTAGAAACATTAACAATATTCATGAATTAGAAAATTCAACATAGTAAAGATGTCAATTATCCCCAAATTGATTTATAGGTTTAGTGGAATTCCTATCTTAACTCATTTCAGCATTAACTCAAAAGTCCGAAATCCAAAGTCTCATCTGAGACAAGGCAAGTCCCTTCCACCTGTGAGCCTATAAAATCAAAAGCAAATTAGTTACTTCCTAGATACAATGGGAGGTACAGGCATTGGATAAATACACCCATTCCAAATGGGAGAAATTGGCCAGAATGAAGGGGCTGCAGGCCTCATGCAAGTCTGAAATCCAATGGGGCAGTCAAATCTTAAAACTCCCAAATGATCTATTGTGGCTACATGTCTCATATCTAGGTCATGCTGATGTAAGAGGTGGGTTCCCATGGTCTTGGGCAGCTCAGTTCCTGTGGCTTTGCAGGGTACAGCCCCACTCCTGACTGCTTTCACAGGTTGCTGTTGAGTGTCTGTGGCTTTTCCAGATGCATAGTGCAAGCTGTTGGTGGATCTACCATTTTGAGGTCTGGAGGACGATGGCCCTCTTCTCACAGCTCCACTAGGCAGTTCCCCAGTGGAGACTCTGTATAGGGGCTCCAATCACACATTTTCCTTCTGCTCTGCCCTAGCAGAGGTTCTCCATGAGGTCCCCACCCTTGCAGCAAACTTCTGCCTGGACATCCAGGCATTTCCACACATCCTCTGAAATCTAGGCAGAGGTTTCCAAACCTCAATTCTTGACTTCTGTGCACCCACAGGCTCAACACCACATGGAAGCTGCCAAGGCCTGGGGCTTGCAGCCTCCAAAGCCACAGCCCAAGCTGTACCTTGGCCCCCTTTAGCCATGGCTGGAGCAGCTGGGACATGGGGCAACAAGTCTCTAGACTGCACACAGCAGGGGGCCCCTGAGTCCAGCCCATGAAACCATTTTTTTCTCCTAGGCCTCTGAGCCTGTGATAGGAGGGGCTACTGCAAAGGTATCTGGCATACTCTGGAGACATTTTCCCCATTGTCTTCATGATTAGCATTCGGCTCCTTGTTATTTATGCATATTTCTGCAGCAGGCTTGAATTTCTCCCCAGAAAATGGGTTTTTCTTTTCTATTGCATTGTCAGGCTGCAAATTTTCCAAACTTTTATGTGCTGCTTCTTCTTGAATGCTTTGCTGCTTATACATTTCTCCTGCCAGATAATCTAAATCATCTCTCTCAAGTTAAAAGTTCCACAGATCTGTAGGGCAAGGGCAAAATACTGCTAGTCTTTTTGCACAGCAAGAGTGGCCTTTACTCCAGTTCCAAACGAATTCCTCATCTCCTTCTGAGACCAACTCAGCCTGGACTTTATTGTCTATATCACTGTCACTATTTTGGTTAAAGCCATTCAACAAGTCTCTAGGAAGTTCCAAACTTTCCCGCTTCTTTCTGTTTACTGAGCCCTCCAAGTCTCTAGGAAGTTGCAAACTTTCCCACATTTTCCTGTCTTCCTCTGAGCCCTCCAAACTGTTCCGACCTCTGCTTGTTACCCAGTTCCAAAGTCTCTTCCACATTTTCAGGAATCTTTATAGCAGCACCCCACTCTACTGGTACCAATTTACTGTATTAGTCCATTTTCATGCTGCTAATAAAGACATACCTGAGATCGGGTAATTTATAAAGGAAAGAGGTATAATTGACTCATAGTTCCACATAGCTGGGGAGGCTTCACAATCATGGCAGAAGGCAAATGAGGAGAAAAGTCGCATCTTACATGGTGGCAGACAAGAGAGCATGTGCAGGGGAACTCCCCTTTATAAAACCATCAGATCTTGTGAGACTTATTCACTATCATGAGAACAACATGGGAAAAACCTGCCCCCATGATTTAATTACCTCCCATTGTGTCTCTCCCAGGACACGTGGGGATTATTACAACTCAAGGTGAGATTTGCATGGTGACACAGAGCCAAACCATATCACCTCCAATGTTGGAGGTGGGCCTAGTGGAAGATGTCTGGGGTCATGGGGGTGGAGTCCTCATTTATGGCTTGGTGTTTTCCTCATGGTAATGAATGAGTTCTCACTCTGAATTCATGTGAAAGCTGGTTGTTTAAAGGGGCCTGACACCATCCTCTCCCTCTCTCGCCATTTGATGCTGGCTCCCTTTCACTATTTGCCATGATTGTAAGCTTCCTGAGGCCCTCAGCAGGAGCAAATGATGACACTATGCTTTATGTACAGCCTGCAGAACTGACAGCTAAACAAACCTCTTTTCTTTATAAATTACCCAGCTTCAGGTATTTCTTTTTTTTTTTTTGAGATGGAGTCTCGCTCTGTCGCCCAGGCTGGAGTGCAGTGGCACCATCTCTGCTCACTGCAAGCTCCGCCTCCTGGGTTCACGCCATTCTCCTGCCTCAGCCTCCTGAGTAACTGGGACTACAGGCGCCCGCCACCACACCCGGCTAATTTTTTGTATTTTTAGTAGAGACGGGGTTTCACCGCATTAGCCAGGGTGGTCTCAACCTCCTGACCTCGTGATCCGCCCGCCTCTGTCTTCCAAAGTGCTGGGATTACAGGCGTGAGCCACTGCGTCTGGCCAGCTTCAGGTATTTCTTTACAGCAACACATAAATGAACTGATACGGTTTCCAAGACCAAAACCAGAAGTCTCTGTCAAATGTTTTTTTCAAATTACTGGTTGGGGGAGGAGCTTTGGCCATAGTTTATCTTGGCACCAAAAAAGGAACTGGATTGGCTTGATTACAGAAAGGGAGGTCTTGTGATACTTTTACATCTTTCTGAGAACAGAGTGCATGACTGCTCCCACACAAAGCCATAACTGCCTGGTTCTTTTTGAACTTTGAGCATCTCAAGTAGCCATGGGGAATCATTTTGCCTATCAGCTGGAGGCATACTTTAACATCTGTTAGGTCTAGACCTGACCTAGCTTTCAGGGTCCTGGAGTATCCTATGATCAGGAGTCCAATCCTAGAGATGTGTTTATTTAAATTCACTATATGTAACTGGAATGAAATACAAACTCTGGCTGGGCACAGTGGCTCATGCCTGTAATCCTAGCACTTTGGGAGGCTGAGGCAGGTGGATCACGAGGTCAGGAGTTCTAGACCAGCCTGGCCAACATACTGAAACCCTGTCTCTAATAAAAATACAAAAATTATTTGGGCATGGTGGCACACGCCTGTAGTTCCAGCTGCTCGGGAGGCTGAGGCAGAAGAATCGCTTGAACCCAGGAGGTGGAGGTTGTGGTGAGCCGAGATTGCACCACTGCACTCCAGCCTGGGCAACGGAGGGAGACTCCATCTCAAAAAAAAAAAAAAAGACAAACTCTGGAGTTATAGGAGGTGGGAGACAGGAACACCAGTAATAAGGACAAAAACTTATAAAAAGCGTCAAATTCCATACTGACTACCTTTGTGATGTATGCTATTCTGATGCAGAATACATATTATACATGTTATATATATATATTTATAGATATATAAATTTCTTTCAAACCCTGAGTGTGGGTGTTTATTTATTTATTTGTGTGTGTGTGTGTGTGTGTGTGTGTGTGTGTGTGTGTCCTCTTCAATTTCTTTCATTCAAGCTTTTGTAGTTTTCATTGTAAAGTTCTTTCTCCTATGTATAGTGGGGTTTAAAAATTGTCTTTAGGCTGGGTGTAGTGGCTCACACCTGTAATCTCAGCACTTTGGGAGGCCGAGGCAGGCAGATCACCTGAGGTCAGGAGCTCGATACCAGCCTGGCCAACATGGTGAAACCCTCTCTCTATTAAAAATACAAAAATTAGTCAGGTGTGGTAGAGCATGCCTGTAATCCCAGCTACTTGGGAGGCTGAGGCAGGAGAACCACTTGAACTCAGGAGATGGAGACGGAGGTTGCAGTGAGCCGAGATCCCACCACTGCACTCCAGCCTGGGAGACAGAGTAAGACTGTCTCAAAAAAAAATGTTTTTATTATGATAAATACACATAACAAAATTTATAATCTTGTGTGGTACAACGTAAGCAAATCAATAAATGTGGTACATCACATCAACAGAATAAAGGACAGAAACTAAATGATTTTCTCAATAGATGCAGAAAAAGCATTTAATAAAATTCAACATTCCTTCATGATAAAAACTCTTCATAAACTAGGTATACAAAGAACATTCCTCAGCCGGGCGAGGTGGCTCGCGCCAGTAATCCCAGCACTTTGGGAGGCCGAGGCAGGCGGATTAACTGAGGTCAGGAGTTTGAGCCCAGCCTGATCAGCATGGAGAAAACTGTTTCTACTAAAAATACAAAATTAGCCGTGTGTGGTGGCACATGCCTGTAATCCCAGCTACTCGGGAGGCTGAGGCAGGACAATCGCTTGAACCCAGGAGGCAGAGGTTGCAGTGAGCCGAGATCACACCATTGCACTCCAGCCTGGACAACAAGAGCGAAACTCCATCTCAAAAAAAAAAAAAAAAAAAAAAAAAGAAAGAAAAAGAAAGAACATTCCTCAAAATAATGATTGTATATGACAAACCCACAGCTAACACCACACTGAAAGGGGAAAAGATGAAAGTCATTCCTCTGAGAACTGGAAGAAGAAAAGGATGTCCACTTTCACCACTTTTATTCAATATACTGCTTGAAATCCTAGCCAGAGCCACTAGGTAAGAGAAAGAAATAAAGGGCATCCAAATTGGCAATGAGAATTGTTTCTCTTTGAAGATTACATGATCTTATATCTAGAATAACTGAAAGACTCCACCAAAAATGTCTTAGAAGTGATTTTAAAAATTTAGTAAAGGAACACGATACAAAATTAACATACAAAAATCACTAGTGTTGGCAAGGCGCAGTGGCTCTCGCCTGTAATCCCAGCACTTTGGGAGGCCGAGATGGGTGTATCACCTGAGGTCAGGAGTTTGAGACCAGCCTGACAAACATGGTGAAACTTGTCTCTACTAAAAGATACAAAAAAATAGCTGGGTGTGCTGGTGGGCACCTGTAATCCTAGCTACTTGGAGGCTGAAGCAGGAGAATCGCTTGAACCCAGGAGGTGGAGGTTGCAGTGAGCCGAGATCGCACCATTGCACTCTAGCCTGGCCAATGAGAGTGAAACTCTGTCTCAAAAAAAAAAAAATCACTAGTGTTTCCATATATCAATAATAATCAATAGCAAACTAGCCGAAAAGCAAATCAAGAAAGCAATACCATTACAGTAGCTCTAAAAAATTAAATAGCTAGGAATAAATTCAACCAAGGAGGTGAAAGAACTTTACAATAAAAACTACAAAACCCTGATGAAAGAAATTGAAGAGTACACACACACACACACACACACACACACACATACACAAATAAAAAGACGTTCCATGCTCCTGGTTTGAAAGAAATAATATTGTGATAATGTGCTGCAATAAACATGTGAGTGCAGGTATCTCTTTGATGTAGTGATTTCTTTCCCTTTGGTTAAATACCCAGTAGTGGGATTGCTGGATCAAATGAAAATTTTATTTTTTGAGAAATCCCCATGCTGTTTTTCACAGTGGCTGTACTAGTTTACATTCCCAATAACACTGTATAAGTGTTTCTTTTCTCCACATATTAATCAACATTTTTAAATTTTTTGTCCTTTTCATAATAGCCATTCTGAATAAGATAAGATAATATCACATTGTGGTTTTGATTTGTATTTCTCCGATAATTAGTGATGTTAAACTTTTTTTTTCTTGAGATGGAGTCTCAGAGTCTCCCTCTGTAGCCCAGGCTGGAGCGCAGTGGCACAGTCTAGGCTCACTGCAACCTCTGCTTCCCGGGTTCAAGCGATTCTCCTGCCTCAGCCTCCTGAGTAGCTGGGATTACAGGTGCACGCCACCACATCCAGCTAATTTTTGTATTTTTAGTAGAGTTGGGGTTTCGCTATGTTGGTCAGGCTGCTCTCGAACTCCTGACCTGGTGATCCGCGCCCCCTTGGCCTCCCAAAGTGGTGGGATTACAGGCGTGAGCCACCACGCCTGGCCAAACATTTTATCATATACCCATTGATTGTGTGTCTTCTTTTGAGAAATGTCTATTTATGTCTTTTTCTTTTTTCTTTTTTCTTTTTTTTTTTGTTGAGACTGAGCCTCACTCTGTCGCCCAAGCTGGAGTGCAGTGGCTCCATCTCGGCTCACTGTAACCTCTGCCTCTGGGGTTCAAGCAGTTCTTGTGCCTCAGCCTCCCGAGTAGCTGGGATTACAGGCGCCCACCACCACACCCAGTTAATTTTTGTATTTTTAGTAGAGATGAGATTTCACCATCTTGGCCAGGCTGGTCTTGAACTCCTGACCTAGTGATCCACCCGCCTCGGCCTCCCGAAGTGCTGGGATTACAAACGTGAGCCACCATGCCTGGCCTGTGTTTCCATTTTCATTCGTTTCAATAAACTTTTTGATTTTCATCTTTTTAAAAATTTTAGATTCAGCAAGTACCCATCATATTTGTTACATGGGTATATTGCATAATTGTGGGGATTGGGCTTCTAGTGTACTCATTACCCAAATATTGAACATTGTATCCAACAGGTAACCTTTCAATCTTTATCCCTCCCACTCTCCCCTTTTTTTTGAGCCCCCAGTGTCTATTATTTCCATCTTTATGTCCATGTGTATTCATCGTTTAGTTCCTGCTTATAACTGAGTACATGTGATATTTGATTTTCTGCTTCAGAGTTAGTTTACTTAGGATAATGACCTCCAGGTATAACCAGGTTGCTGCAAAAGACATGAATTTATTGTTTTTATGGCTGCATAATATTCCATGGCATATATGTACCACATTTTCTTTATCTAGTCAACCACTGATGGACACTTAGGTTGGTTCTATGACTTTGCTATTGTGAATAGTTCTGTGATACACATGTCAGTGTAGGTGTTTTGGGTTTTTTAAATTAAAAAATTTTTTTTGATGGAGTTTTCGCTCTTGTTGCCTAGGAGTGCAATGTTGTGATCTCAGCTTACTGCAACCTCCGCCTCCCAGGTTCAAGTGATTCTCTTGCCTCAGCCTCTTGAGTAGCTGGGATTACAATAATGTGCCACCACGCCTTGCTAATTTTTTTTTTTTGTATTTTTAGTAGAGATGGGGTTTCTCCATGTTGGTCAGGCTGGTCGAACTCCTGATCTCAGGTGATTCGCCCACCTTGGGCTCCCAAAGTGCTGGGATTACAGGCGTGAGCCACCATGCCCAGCAGGTGTGTGTGTGTGTGTGTGTGTGTGTTTTCTATTTTCCTCCAACATTTATTATGAAAATGGGCAAACATATAGAAAATTCAATAAAAACTCTATAGTGAATATCCATAAACTCAGCTCCTAGATTTTACACTAACATTTTGCTGTATTTGTGATAATATCTCTATCTGGGTCTCACTCTGTCACCCAGGTTGGAGTACAATGGTGTGGTCTTGGCTCACTGCAACCTCTGCCTCCCAGGTTCAAGCAATTCTCCCTCCTCAGCCTCCTGAGCAGCTGGGACTGCAGGCACGTGCTACCACACCTGACTAATTTTTGTATTTTGTTAGCAGAGACCGGGTTTCACTATGTTGGCCAGGCTGGTCTCGAATTCCTGATCTCGTACTCTGCCTGCCTCGGCCTCCAAAAGTGCTGGAATTACAGGCGTGAGCCACCGTGCCCGGCATCATTCTATTTTCTTATTACTATGTTTTTTTTTTTTTTACTTACAAAAGAATACTTTAATATAAGTATATAATACAAGGAGTATGTTTTAATCAAGATGGAGTCTCACTCTTTTGCCCAGGCTGGAGTGCAATGTCAAGATCTCGGCTCAATGCAACCTCCGCCTCCAGGTTCAAGCAATCCTCTCACCTCAGCCTACAGGATAGCCAGGATTACAGGTGCGCCACCATGTCCAACTAATTTTAGTATTTTTAGTAGAGACAGGGTTTCATCATGTTGGCCAGGCTGGTCTCGAACTCCTGACCTCAGGTGATCCGCCTGCTTCGGCCTCCCAAAGTGCTGGGATTACAGCTGTGAGCCACTGTGCCCGGACTGATTCTGTTTTATTATTACTGTAGTTTATTAAACTTTAAGTTCTGAGATACATGTGCAGAACATGCAGGTTTGTTACATAGGTATACATGTACCATGGTGGTTTGCTACACCCATCAACACATCATCTACATTAGGTATTTTTCCTAATGCTATCTCTCCCCTAGCTGCCCACCCCCTGACAGGACCTGGTGTGTGATATTCCTCTCGCTGTGTCCATGTGTTCTCATTGTTCAACTCCCACTTATGAGTGAGAACATGCAGTGTTTGGTTTTCTGTTCCTGTGTTAGTTTTCTGAGAATGATGGTTTCCAGCTTCATCCATGTCCCTGCAAAGGACATGAACTCATCTTTTTGAAGGCTGCGTAGTATTCCATGGCATATATGTGCCACATTTTCTTTATCCAGTCTATCATTGATGGGCATTTGGGTTGATTCCAAGTCTTTGCTATTGTGAACAGTGCTGGAATAAATATACGTGTGCATGTGTCTTTATAGTAGAATGATTTATAATCCTTTGGGTATATACCCAGTAATGGGATTGCTGGGTCAAATGGTATTTCTGGTTATGGATCCTAGAGGAATTACCACACTGTCTTCCACAATGGTTGAACTAATTTACACTCCCACCAACAGTGTAAAAGTGTTCCTATTTCTCCATATCCTCTCCAGCATCTGTTGTTTCCTGAGTTTTTAATGATCACTATTCTAACTGGCGTGAGATGGTATCTCATTGTGGTTTTGATTTGCATTTCTCTAATGACCAGTGATGATGAGCTTTTTTTCATATGTTTGTTGGTTGCATAAATGTCTTCTCTTGAAAAGTGTTTGTTCGTATACTTTGCTCACTTTTTGATGGGGTTGTTTGTTTTTTTCTTGTAAATTTGTTTAAGTTCCTTGTAGATTCTAGATATTAGTCCTTTTTCAGATGGATAGATTGCAAAAATTTTCTCCCATTTTATAGGTTGCCTGTTCATTCTGATAATAGTTTCTTTTGCTGTGCAGAAACTCTTAGGTTTAATTAGATCCCATTTGTCCATTTTGCCTTTTGTTGCCATTGCTTTTGGTGTTTCAGTCATGAATACTTTCCCCATGCCTATGTCCTGAACGGTATTGCTTAGGTTTTCTTCTAGGGTTTTTATGGTTTTAGGACTTAAGTTTAAGTTTTTAATCCATCTTGAGTTAATTTTTGTATAAGGTGTAAAGAAAGGGTCCAGTTTCAGTTTTCTGCATATTGCTAGGCAGTTTTCCCAACACCATTTATTAAATAGGGAATCCTTTCCCCATTGCTTGTTTTTGTCAGGTTTGTCAAAGACCAGATGGTTGTAGATGTGTGGCATTATTTCTGAGGCCTCTGTTCTGTTCCATTGGTCTATATATTTGTTTTGGTACCAGTACCATGCTGTTTTGGTTACTGTAGACTTGTAGTATAGTTTGAAGTCAGGTAGTGTGATGCCTCCAGCTTTGTTCTTTTTGTTTAGGATTGTCTTGGCTATATGGGCTCTTTTTTGGTTTCATATGAAATTTAAAGAAGTTTTTTTTAATTCTGTGAAGAATGTCAATGGTAGCTTGATGGAGATAGTATTGTAAAGTTCTCCTTGAAGAGGTCTTTCACATCCTTTGTAAGTTGCATTCCTAGGTATTTTATTCTCTTTGTAGTAATTCTGAATGGAAGTTTGGTCATGATTGGGTCTCTGTTTGTCTATTATTGGTGTATAGGAATGGTTGTGATTTTTGCACATTGATTTGTATCCTGAGACTTTGCTGAAGTTGCTTATCAGCTTTAGGAGATTTGGCGCTGAGATGATGGGGTTTGCTAAATAGACAATCATGTCATCTGCAAACAGGGACAATTTTACTTTCTCTCTTCCTATTTGAATACCGTTTATTGCTTTCTTTTGCCTGATTGCCCTGGCCAGAACTTCCAATACTATGTTGAATAGGAGTGGTAAGAGAGAGCATCATTATCTTGTGCCAGTTTTCAAAGGGAATGCTTCCAGCTTTTTCCCATTCAGTATGATATTGGTTGTGGGTTTGTCATAAATAGCTCTTGTTATTTTGAGATACGTTCCATCAATACCTAGTTTATTGAGAGTTTTTAGCATGCAGGGGTGTTGAATTTTATCTAAGGCCTTTTCTGCATCTATTGAGATAATCATGTGGTTTTTGTCATTGGTTCTGTTTATGTGATGGATTACATTTATTGATTTGCATATGTTGAACCATCCTTCCATCCTAGGGATGAAGCTGACTTGATCATGGTGGATAAGCTTTTTGATGTACTGCTGGATTTGATTTGCCAGTATTTTATTGAGGATTTTCGCATCGGTGTTCATCAGGGATATTGGCCAGAAATTTTCTTTTTTTGTTGTGTCTCTGCCAGGCTTTGGTATCAGGATGATGCTGGCCTCATAAAATGAGTTAGGGAGAAGCCCCTCTTTTTCTATTGTTTGGAATAGTTTTAGAAGGAATGGTACCAGCCCCTTTTTGTACCTCTGGTAGAATTTGGCTGGGAATCCATCTGGTCCTAGGCTTTTTATGAGTGGTAGGCTACTAATTACTGCCTCAATTTCAGAACTTGTTATTGGTCTATTCAGGAATTCAACTTTTTCCTGGTTTAGTTTTGGGAGAGTATGTGTCCAGGAATTTATTTCTTTTAGAGTTTCTAGTTTATTTGTATAGAGGTGTTTATAGTATTCGCTAATGTTAGTTGGTATTTCTGTGGGATCAGTGATGATATCCCCTTTATCATTTTTTATTGTGTCTATTTGATTCTTCTTTCTTTTCTTCTTTATTAGTTTGCCTAGCAGTCTATCTATTTTGTTAATCTTTTCAAATAACCAGCTCCTGGAATCATTGATTTTTTTTTTTTTTTGAGACAAGGTCTCACTCTGTCACCCAGGGTGGAGTGAAGTGGCACAATCTCAGCTCGCTGCAACCTCTGCTTCCTGGGTTCAAGCAGTTCTTCTGCCTTAGCCTCCCGAGTAGCTGGGACTACAGGCACGTGCCACCACGCCCAGTTAATTTTTGTAATTTTAGTAGAGACAAGGTTTCACCATGTTGGTCAGGCTGGTCTCGAACTCCAGACCTTGTGAACTGCCCGCCTTGGACTCCCAAAGTGCTGGGATTACAGGCATAAGCCACCACGCCTGGCAATTCATTAATATCTTGAAGGGTTTTTTTGTGTCTCAATCTCCTTCAGTTCTGCTCTGATCTTAGTTATTTCTTGTCTTCTGCTAGCTTTCAAATTCGGTTGCTCTTGCTTCTCTAGTTCTTTACATTGTGATGTTAGGGTGTTTAGATCTTTCCTGCTTTCTCCTGTGGGCATTTAGTGCTACAGATTTCCCTCTAAACACTGCTTTAGCTGTGTCCCAGAGATCCTGGCACATAGTGTCTTTGTTCTCATTGGACTTATTTATTTCTGCCTTAATTTCGTTATTTATCCTGTAGTCATTCAGGAGCAGGTTGTCCAGTTTCCATGTAGTTGTGTGGTTTTGAGTGAGTTTCCTAATCCTAAGTTCTAATTTGATTGCACTGTGCTCTGAGAGACTGTTATGATTTCCCTTCTTTTGCATTTGCTGAGGAGTATTTTACTTCCAATTATGTGGTCAATTTTAGAATAAGTGCAATGTGGTGCTGAGAAGAGTGTATGCTCTGTTGATTTGGGGTGGAGAGTTCTGTAGATGTCTATTAGGTCCACTTGGTCCAGAGCTGAGTTCAAGTACTGAATATCCTTGTTAATTTTCTGTCTCGTTGATCAGTCTAATATTGACAAAGGGGTGTTAGTTTCCCACTATTATTGTGTGGGAGTCTAAGTCTCCTTTTAGGTCTCTAAGAACTTGCTTTATGAATCTGGGTGCTCCTGTATTGGGTGCATATATATTTACAATTGTTAGCTCTTCTCGTTCCATTGTTCCATTTACCATTATGTAATGCCCTTCTTTGTCATTTTTGATCTTTTTCGGTTTAATATCTGTTTTATCAGAGACTAGGATTGCAACCCCTGCTTTTTTTTTTTTTTTTGCTTTCCATTTGCTTGATAAATACTCCTCCACCCCTTTATTTTGAGCCTATGTGTGTCTTTGCTCATGAGATAGATCTCCTGAATACAGCACAATGATGGTTCTTGACTCTATCCAATTTGCCAGTCTGTTTTTTTAAATTGGGGCATTTAGCCCATTTACATTTAAGGTTAATATTGTTATATGTGAATTTTGGCAGTCATTAAGATGCTAGCTGGTTATTTTGGCTGTTTGTTGATGCAGTTTCTTCATAGTGTCAATGGTCTTTACAGTTTGGTATGTTCTTGCAGTGGCTGGTACCAGTTGTTCTTTCCATGTTTAGTGCTTCTTTCAGGAGCTCTTGTAAGGCAGGTCTGGTGGTGACAAAATCCCTCAGCATTTGCTTATCTGTCAAGGATTTTATTTCTCCTTTGCTTATGAAGCTTAGTTTGGCTGGATATGAAATTCTGGGTTGAAAATTCTTTTCTTTAAGAATGTTGAATATTGGCTTCCACTCTCTTCTGGCTTGTAGGGTTTCTGCAGAGAGATCCACTGTTAGTCTGATGGGCTTCCCTTCGTGGATAACCTGACCTTTCTCACTGGCTGCCCTTAACATTTTTTCCTTCATTTCAACCGTGGTTGAAATGTCAGACACATCTGACAACTATGTGTCTTGGGGTTGCTCTTCTCGAGGAGTATCTTTGTGGTTTTCTCTGTATTTCCTGAATTTGAATGTTGGCCTGTCTTGCTAGGTTGGGGAAGTTCTCCTGAAGAGTGTTTTCCAACTTGGTTCCATTCTCCCCATCACTTTCAGGTACACCAATCAAACGTAGGTTTGGTCTTTTCACATAGTCCCATATTTCTTGGAGGCTTTCTTGGTTCCTTTTCATTTTTTTTTTCTCTAATCTTGTCTTCTCACTTTATTTCATTAAGTTGATCTTCAATCTCTGGTATCCTTTCTTCCACTTGATCAATTCGGCGATTGATATTTGTGTATGCTCACGAAATTCTCATGCTGTGTTTTTCACCTCCATCAGGTCATTTATGTTCTTCTCTAAACTGGTTATTCTAGTTAGCAATTCCTCTAACCTTTTTTCAAGGTTCTTAGCTTCCTCGCATTGGGTTAGAACATGCTCCTTTAGCTTGGAGGAGTTTGTTATTACCCACCTTCTAAAGTCTACTTCTGTCAATTCGTCAAATTCATTCTCCATCCAGTTTTATTCCCTTGCTGGCGAGGAGCTGTGATCCTTTGGAGAAGAGGCATTCTAGTTTTTGGAATTTTCAGCCTTTTTGCACTGGTTTTTCCTCATCGTTGTGGATTTATCCACCTTTGGCCTTTGATGTTGGTGACCTTCAGATGGGGTTTCTGTGTGGACATCCTTTTTGTTGATGTTGATGCTATTCCTTTCTGTTTGTTAGTTTTCCTTCTAACACTCAGGCCCCTCTGCTGCAGGTCTGCTGTAGGTTGCCTTAGGTCCACTCCAGAGCCTGTTTGCCTGGATATCACCAGCAGAGGCTGCAGTACAGCAAAGATTGCTTACTGTTTCTTCCTCTGGAAGCTTCGTCCCAGAGGGGCACCTGCTAGATGCCAGCTGGAGCTCTCCTGTATGAGGCATTTGTCAACCCTTGCTGGTAGGTGTCTCCCAGTCAGGAGTTATGGGGGCAGGCCGTCTGTCTTTTAGCAGAGCTCGAGCGCTGTGCTGGGAGGTTTTCTGCTCTCTTCAGAGCTGGCAGGCAGGAACGTTTAAGTCTGCTGAAGCTGCTGCCACAGCTGCTCCTTCCCACAGGTGCTCTGTCCCAGGGAGATGGGAGTTTTATCTATAAGCCGCTGACTGAGGCTGCTGTCTTTCTTTCAGAGATGCCCTGCCCAGAGAGGAGGCATCTAGAGAGGCAGTCTGGCTATAGTGGCTTTGCTGAGCTGTGGTGGGCTCCGCCCAGTTTGAACTTCCTGGTGGCTTTGTTTACACCGTGAGGGGAAAACCGCCTACTCAAGCCTCAGTAATGGCGGATGCCCCTCCCCCTACCAAGCTTGAGCATTTCACGGTGACTTCAGACTGCTGTGCTGATAGCGATAATTTCAAGCCAGTGGATCTTAGCTTGCTGGGCTCTGTGGGGGTGGGATCCGCTGAGCTAGACAACTTGGCTCCCTGGCTTCAGCCCCCTTTCCAGGGGTGTGAACGGTTCTGTCTCGCTGGCATTCCAGATGCCACTGGGGTATGAAAAAAACCTCCTGAAGCTAGCTCGGTGTCTTCTGAAACGGCCACCCAGTTTTGTGCTTGAAACCCAGGACCCTGGTGGCATAGGCACCGGAGGGAATCTCCTGGTCTCTGGGTTGTGAAGACCGTGGGAAAAGCATAGTATCTGGGCCAGAATGCAATGTTCCTCACAGCACAGTCCCTGAAGGCTTTTCTTGGCTAGGAGAGGGAGTTCCTCAACCCCTTGCACTTCCCAGGTGAGGCAATGCCCCATCCTGCTTCGGCTCATACTCCATGGGCTGAACCCACTCTCTAACCAGTCCCAACGAGATGAGCCAGGTACCTCAGTTGGAAATGCAGAAATCACCTGTCTTCTGCATTGATCTTGCTGGGAGCTGCAGACTGGAGCTGTTTCTTTTCAGCCATCTTGCCAGCCATCCCTCAGTGTGTTTGTTATATAATGATTTATTTTGGGTAGATATACAGTAATAAGGATGCTGGGTTTAATGGTAGCTCTGTTTTTAGTTCCTTGAGATATATTTATTCTGTTTTTCATAGCAGTTGAATAAATCTACATTCCCACTAGCAGTGTATAAGCATTCCCTTTTCTTTGCATATTCACCCTGAATGGGGTGTTATTTCCACATTGCTTATGTTTGACAGTTTTGTCAAATATTAGTTGGTTGAAGGTATGTGGCTTTATTTCCATTTACTCTCCTCTGTTCCTTTGATCAATGTATCTATTTTGGTAACAGTACCATGCTGTTTTAGTTTCCATAGTTTTGTAGTATAATTTGAAGTCAGGCCATGTAATGCTTCTGGATTTGTTCATTTTGCTTATAATTGCTTTGGCTATTTGGCCTCTTTTCTGGTTCCATATGAACTTTAGGATTGTTTTTTATAATTCAGTGAAAAAAATGAAATTAGTAATTTGATGGTGATAGCATTGAATCTGTAGATTGCTTTGGAAGATATGGTCATTTTAATCATATTAATTCTTCCAATACATGGAATATTTATCCATTTGTTTCTCATCTACAATTTCCTTCTTTTTTTTTTTTTTTAAGACAGAGTCTCACTCTGTTGACCAGGCTGGAGTGCAGTGGCACGATCTTCGCTCACTGCAACCTCTGCCTCCTGGGTTCAAGAGATTCTCCTGCCTCAGCCTTTCGAGTAGCTGGGATTACAAGTGCCTACCAGCATGCCTGGCTAATTTTTGTATTTTTAGTAGAGACAGGGTTTCACCACGTTGGCCAGGCTGGTCTCAAACTCCTGACCTCAGGTGATCCACCAGCTCGAACTCCCAAAGTGTTGGGATTACAGGTGTGAGCCACTGCACCCAGCCTACAATTTCTTTTTTTTTTTATTTTTAATTTTTTTATTATACTTTAAGTTTTAGGGTACATGTGCACATTGTGCAGGTTAGTTACATATGCATACATGTGCCATGCTGGTGTGCTGCACCCACTAACTCGTCATCTAGCATTAGGTATATCTCCCAATGCTATCCCTCCCCCCTTCCCCCACCCCACCACAGTCCCCAGAGTGTGATATTCCCCTTCCTGTGTCCATGTGATCTCATTGTTCAATTCCCACCTATGAGTGAGAATATGCGGTGTGTGGTTTTTTGTTCTTGTGATAGTTTACTGAGAATGATGATTTCCAATTTCATCCATGTCCCTACAAAGGACACGAACTCATCATTTTTTATGGCTGCATAGTATTCCATGGTGTATATGTGCCACATTTTCTTAATCCAGTCTATAATTGTTGGACATTTGGGTTGGTTCCAAGTCTTTGCTATTGTGAATAATGCCGCAATAAACATACGTGTGCATGTGTCTTTATAGCAGCATGATTTATAGTCCTTTGGGTATATACCCAGTAATGGGATGGCTGGGTCAAATGGTATTTCTAGTTCTAGATCCCTGAGGAATCGCCACACTGACTTCCACAATGGTTGAGCTAGTTTACAGTCCCACCAACAGTGTAAAAGCGTTCCTGTTTCTCCACATCCTCTCCAGCACCTGTTGTTTCCTGACTTTTTAATGATTGCCATTCTAACTGGTGTGAGATGGTATCTCATAGTGGTTTTGATTTGCATTTCTCTGATGGCCAGTGATGATGAGCATTTTTTCATGTGTTTTTTGGCTGCATAAATGTCTTCTTTTGAGAAGTGTCTGTTCATGTCCTTTGCCCACTTTTTGATGGGGTTGTTTGTTTTTTTCTTGTAAATTTGTTTGAGTTCATTGTAGATTCTGGATATTAGCCCTTTGTCAGATGAGTAGGTTGCGAAAATTTTCTCCCATTTTGTAGGTTGCCTGTTCACTCTGATGGTAGTTTCTTTTGCTGTGCAGAAGCTCTTTAGTTTAACTAGGTCCCATTTGTCAATTTTGTCTTTTGTTGCCATTGCTTTTGGTGTTTTGGACATGAAGTCCTTGCCCATGCCTATGTCCTGAATGGTAATGCCTAGGTTTTCTTCTAGGGTTTTTATGGTTTTAGGTCTAACGTTTAAATCTTTAATCCATCTTGAATTCATTTTTGTATAAGGTGTAAGGAAGGGATCCAGTTTCAGCTTTCTACATATGGCTAGCCAGTTTTCCCAGCACCATTTATTAAATAGGGAATCCTTTCCCCATTGCTTGTTTTTCTCAGGTTTGTCAAAGATCAGATAGCTGTAGATATGCTGCGTTATTTCTGAGGGCTCTGTTCTGTTCCATTGATCTATATCTCTGTTTTGGTACCAGTACCATGCTGTTTTGGTTACTGTAGCCTTGTAGTATAGTTTGAAGTCAGGTAGTGTGATGCCTCCAGCTTTGTTCTTTTGGTTTAGAATTGACTTGGCAATGTGAGCTCTTTTTTGGTTCCATATGAACTTTAAAGTAGTTTTTTCCAATTCTGTGAAGAAAGTCATTGGTAGCTTGATGGGGATGGCATTGAATCTGTAATTTACCTTGGGCAGTATGGCCATTTTCACGATATTGATTCTTCCTTCCCCCTGAGCATGGAATGTTTTTCCATTTGTTTGTATCCTCTTTTATTTCCTTGAGCAGTGGTTTGTAGTTCTCCTTGAAGAGGTCCTTCACATCCCTTGTAAGTTGGATTCCTAGGTATTTTATTCTCTTTGAAGCAATTGTGAATGGGAGTTGACTCATGATTTGGCTCTCTGTTTGTCTGTTGTTGGTGTATAAGAATGCTTGTGATTTTTGTACATTGATTTTGTATCCTGAGACTTTGCTGAAGTTGCTTATCAGCTTAAGGAGATTTTGGGCTGAGACAATGGGGTTTTCTAGATATACAATCATGTTGTCTGCAAACAGGGACAATTTGACTTCCTCTTTTCCTAATTGAATACCCTTTATTTCCTTCTCCTGCCTAATTGCCCTGGCCAGAACTTCCAACACTATGTTGAATAGGAGTGGTGAGAGAGGGCATCCCTGTCTTGTGCCAGTTTTCAAAGGGAATGCTTCCAGTTTTTGCCCATTCAGTATGATATTGGCTGTGGGGTTGTCATAGATAGCTCTTATTATTTTGAAATACGTCCCATCAATACCTAATTTATTGAGAGTTTTTAGCATGAAGGGTTGTTGAATTTTGTCAAAGGCTTTTTCTGCATCTATTGAGATAATCATGTGGTTTTTGTCTTTGGCTCTGTTTATATGCTGTGTTACATTTATTGATTTGCGTATATTGAACCAGCCTTGCATCCCAGGGATGAAGCCCACTTGATCATGGTGGATAAGCTTTTTGATGTGCTGCTGGATTCGTTTTGCCAGTATTTTATTGAGGATTTTTGCATCAATGTTCATCAAGGATATTGGTCTAAAATTCTCTTTTTTTGGTTGTGTCTCTGCCCAGCTTTGGTATCAGAATGATGCTGGCCTCATAAAATGAGTTAGGGAGGATTCCCTCTTTTTCTATTGATTGAAATAGTTTCAGAAGGAATGGTACCAGTTCCTCCTTGTACCTCTGGTAGAATTCGGCTGTGAATCCATCTGGTCCTGGACTCTTTTTGGTTGGTAAACTATTGATTATTGCCACAATTTCAGCTCCTGTTATTGGTCTATTCAGAGATTCAACTTCTTCCTGGTTTAGTCTTGGGAGAGTGTATGTGTCGAGGAATTTATCCATTTCTTCTAGATTTTCTAGTTTATTTGCATAGAGGTGTTTGTAGTATTCTCTGATGGTAGTTTGTATTTCTGTGGGATCAGTGGTGATATCCCCTTTATCATTTTTTATTGTGTCTATTTGATTCTTCTCTCTTTTTTTCTTTATTAGTCTTGCTAGCGATCTATCAATTTTGTTGATCCTTTCAAAAAACCAGCTCCTGGATTCATTGATTTTTTGAAGGGTTTTTTGTGTCTGTATTTCCTTCAGTTCTGCTCTGATTTTAGTTATTTCTTGCCTTCTGCTAGCTTTTGAATGTGTTTGCTCTTGCTTTTCTAGTTCTTTTAATTGTGATGTTAGGGTGTCAATTTTGGATCTTTCCTGCTTTCTCTTGTGGGCATTTAGTGCTATAAATTTCCCTCTACACACTGCTTTGAATGTGTCCCAGAGATTCTGGTATGTTGTGTCTTTGTTCTCGTTGGTTTCAAAGAACACCTTTATTTCTGCCTTCATTTCGTTATGTACCCAGTAGTCATTCAGGAGCAGGTTGTTCAGTTTCCATGTAGTTGAGCAGCTTTGAGTGAGATTCTTAATCCTGAGTTCTAGTTTGATTGCACTGTGGTCTGAGAGATAGTTTGTTATAATTTATGTTCTTTTACATTTGCTGAGGAGAGCTTTACTTCCAACTATGTGGTCAATTTTGGAATAGGTGTGGTGTGGTGCTGAAAAAAATGTATATTCTGTTGATTTGGGGTGGAGAGTTCTGTAGATGTCTATTAGGTCCGCTTGGTGCAGAGCTGAGTTCAATTCCTGGGTATCCTTGTTGACTTTCTGTCTCGTTGATCTGTCTAATGTTGACAGTGGGGTGTTAAAGTCTCCCATTATTAATGTGTGGGAGTCTAAGTCTCTTTGTAGGTCACTCAGGACTTGCTTTATGAATCTGGGTGCTCCTGTATTGGGTGCATATATATTTAGGATAGTTAGCTCTTCTTGTTGAATTGATCCCTTTACCATTATGTAATGGCCTTCTTTGTCTCTTTTGATCTTTGGTGGTTTAAAGTCTGTTTTATCCGAGACTAGGATTGCAACCCCTGCCTTTTTTTTGTTTTCCATTTGCTTGGTAGATCTTCCTCCATCCTTTTATTTTGAGCCTATGTGTGTCTCTGCCCGTGAGATGGGTTTCCTGAATACAGCACACTGATGGGTCTTGACTCTTTATCCAATTTGCCAGTCTGTGTCTTTTAATTGGAGAATTTAGTCCATTTACATTTAAAGTTAATATTGTTATGTGTGAATTTGATCCTGTCATTATGATGTTAGCTGGTGATTTTGCTCGTTAGTTGATGCAGTTTCTTCCTAGTCTCGATGGTCTTTACATTTTGGTATGATTTTGCAGCGGCTGGTACCGGTTGTTCCTTTCCAGTGAGATGGAGTCTCGCACTGTCACCCAGGCTGGTGTGCAGTGGCTCGATCTCCGCTCACTGCAAGCTCTGCCTCCCAGGTTCACGACATTCTCCTTCCTCAGCCTCCAGAGTAGCTGGGACTGCAGGCACCTGCCACCACGCCCGGCTAATTTTTTTATTTTTTTATTTTTAGTAGAGATGGGGTTTCACCATGTTAGGTGAAACCAGGATGATTTCGATCCCCTGACCTTGTGATCCGCCGCCTCGGTCTCCCAAAGTACTGGGATTACAGGCGTGAGCCACCGTGCCTGGCCTACAATTTCTTAATTAGGATTTTGTAGTTATCTTTTTAGAGAGCCTTCACCTTTTTAGTTAAATGTATTCCTCAGTATTTTATTTTTTGTGGCTATTGTAAATGGGATTGATTTCTTGATTTCATTCTCAGCTTGAAGATTATTGGTGTATAGAAATGTTACAAATTTTTGTACATAACTTTTTTTTTTTTTTTTAGATGGAGTCTTGCTCTGTCACCCAGGCTGGAATGCAGTGGTATGATCTCAGCTCACTACAACCTCCGCCTCCAGGATTCAAGTGATTCTCCTGCCTCAGCTTCCCAAGTAGCTGGGACTACAGGTGTCTGCCACTACCCTCGGCTAATTTTTGTATTTTTAGTAGAGGCGGGGTTTCATCATGTTGGCCAGGCTGGTCTTGAACTCCTGACCTCAAGTGATCCACCTGTCTTGGCCTCTCAAAGTGCAGCGATTACAGGCATGAGCCACCACACCCAGCCTAAGGTGGTTTCTTTTTGTTTTTTATTTATTTATTTTTTTTCAGACAGTCTTGCTCTGTCACCAAGGCTGGAGTACAGTGGCCCCATCGCGGCTCACTGCAACCTCTGCCTCCTGGGTTCCATCAATTCTGCTGCTTCAGCCTCCTGAGTAGCTGGGATTACAGGCATGCTCCACCATGCCCAGTTACTTTTTGTCTTCTTAGCAGAGACGGGGTTTCACTATGTTGGTCTCGAACTCTTGACCTCATGGTCTGCCTGCCTTGGCCTCCGAAGGTGTTGGGATTACAGGCGTGAGCCACTGCACCCGGCCTATTACTTTTGTATTCTGCAAATTTATTGAAGTAGTTCATCAAGTCTAGAAGTCTTTTAGAGGAGTCAATTTATAGGTATAAAATAATGTCATCAACAAAGAGATACTTTGACTTCCTCTTTTCCAATTTGAATGCCATTTATTTCTTCCTCTTTCCTGATTTCTCTGGCTAGGACCTACAGAACCATGTTGAAAAAGTGTGGTGATAGTGTAGATCTTCATCTTGTTTCAGATCTTGGGGGAATTGCTTTCAAGTTTTCCCCATTGAACATAATATTGTCTGTGGGTTTATCATATATGGCTCTTATTATTTTGAAGTATGTTCCTTCAATGCTTAGTTTGTTGTGGACTTTTATCATGAAGGGATATTGGATTTTATCAAATCCTCTTTTACATCTATTGAGATGATCATATATGGTGTTTGTTCTCAGTTCTGATTATGTGGTGAATCATATTTAGTGATTTGCATATGTTGAACAGTGCTGGCATCCCTGAAACAAATCCACGGGATCATGATGAATTATCTTTTTGATGTGCTGTTGGATTTGGTTTGCTTGAATTTTGTTGAGGATTTTTGCATCTATGTTTATCATGCGTATTGGCCTGTAGGTTTCTTTTTTTTTTTTTTTTGAAACGGAGTCTCGCTCTGTCGCCCAGGCTGGAGGGCAGTGCCGTGATCTCGGTTCACTGCAAGCTCCGCCTCCTGGCTTCAAGCCATTCTCCTGCCTCAGCCTCCCGAGTAGCTGTGACTACAGGCGCCTGCTACCGCGCCCGGCTAATTTTTTGTATTTTTATTAGAGACGAGGTTTCACCGTGGTCTCGATCTCCTGACCTCGTGATCCGCCCGCCTTGGCCTCCCAAAGTGCTGGGATTAGAGGCGTGAACCACTGCACCTGGCCTGTAGGTTTGTTTTTTTTTACTGTGGCCTTGCCTGGCTTTAGTGTCAGGGTGACCCTGGATTCATAGAATGAATTAGGGAGGGATCTCTTCTCAAGTTGTTGATATAATTTCATTAAGATTGGTACGAGGTGTTCTTTGTATGTCTGGTAAAATTCAGCTGTGAATCCATCTAGCCTTGGGCTTTTGTTGTTGTTTTTGGAAGATTTTTTTTTTTATTACTATTTCAATTTCATTACTTGTTATTGGTCTGTTCAGGATTTCTATTTCTTCCTGGTTCAATCGTGGGACTCTGTATGTTTCCAGGAATTTATCCATTTCCTCTAGGTTATCTAGTTTGTATGCATAGGGGTGTTCATAGTAGTTTCTGATGATCTTTTGTATTTTTGTGCTACCAGTTATAATGTCACCTTTATCATTTCTAAATTTGATAATTTGAATCTTCTCTCCTTTTTCCATGATTAGCCTAGCTAATGGTCTCTCAATTTTTAAAATTCTTTCAAGGAATCAACCTTTCATTTCATTGATTCTGTGTATCATTCTTTTTTGGCTTCAATCTCATTTAGTTTTGCTCTGATCTTTCTCATTTATTTTCTGCCAGCTTTGATTTTGATTGGTTCTTGTTTTTCTTGTTCCTTGAGGTGTAATACTACATTGTTACTATAAGCTCTTTCTAATTGTTTTATGTTTTTGTTTTTGTTTTACTTTTAAGTTCAGGGGTACATGTGCAGATTTGTTACATAGGTGAACTTGTGTTATGGGGGTTTGTTGTACAGATTATTTCATCACCCAGGTATTAAACTAGTACCCATTAGTTATTTTTCCTGAACTTTTCCCTCCTCCCACCCTTCGCCCTCTGATAGGCCCCAGTGTGTGTTGCTCCCCTCTATGTGTTTATGTGTTCTGATCATTTAGCTCCCACTTATAAGTGAGAACATGCGGAATTTTGTTTTCTGTTCCTGTGTTAGTTTGCTAAGGATAATGGCCTCTAGCTCCATTCATCTCCCTGCAAAGAACATGAGATGTACGTGCTTAATACTATAAGCTTTCCTCCTATTACTGCTTTTGCTACATTGCAGAAATTTTGGTATGTTGTATCTCTATTTTTTCATTCATTATAAAGAACTTCTTTTTATTTCTTGTTTGTTTTTATTGTTTATCCAGGAGTCACTCTAAAAAAGTTGTTTAGTTTCCATGTACTTGCATAATTTTGAACATTCCTCTTGGTATTGGTTTTTAATTTTATTCCACTGTGGTCTGAGAAGACGCTTGATATAAGTCTGATTTATTTGAATTTGTTGAGACTTGCTTTGTAATGAGGCATGTGGTCAATCTTAGACAATGTTACATGCACAAATGAGAAGAATGTATATTCTGAAGTCATTGGCTGAAATGCTCTGTAAATGTCTATTAGGTCCATTGGGTCTATAGTTTATGTACAGAGTTTCTTTGTTGATTTTCTTTTCTTTTTTTTTTTTTCTTATTTTTTGAGACGGAGTTTTGCTCTTGTTGCCCAGGCTGGAGTGCAATGGCGCGATCTCGGCTCACTGCAACCTCTGCCTCCTGGGTTCAAGCGATTCTCCTGCCTCAGCCTCCCGTGTAGCTGGGATTACAGGCACATGCCACTATGGCCGGCTAATTTTTGTATTTTTAGTAGTGACGGGGTTTCATCATATTGGTCAGGCTGGTCTCGAACTCCAGACCTCAGGTGATGCACCCACCTCGGCCTGCCAAAGTGCTGAAATTACGGGCATGAGCCACCACACCTGGCCTTCTTTGTTGATTTTCTACCTTGATGATTTGTGTAGTGATGTTAGTGAGGTGTTGATGTCCCCCACTATTATTTTATTCCTATAAATCTGTTTTCTTAGGACTATTAGTATTTGCTTTGGGAATCTGGGTGCTCCAGTATTGGATGAATATATATTTAAAATTGTCCAATCTCCTTGCCATGCTGAAACCTTTAGTATTATCTAATGCCTCTCTTTGTCTTTTATTTTTTAGTGTTCTTGTTTTAAAGTCTCTTTTACATGGTATGAGAATGGTTTTTCCTGCTTTCTTTTTTTTTTCATTTGTGTGATATCTTTTTCCATCTGTTTTTTTGTTTTGTTTTGTTTTTTTGTTTCTTTATTTTAATTTTTTTTTTTTTTTGAGACAGAGTCTTGCCCTATCGCCCAGGCTGGAGTGCAGTGGCGCCCTCTTGGCTCACTGCAACCTCCGCCTCCCAGATTCAAGCAATTCTCTTGCCTCAGCCTCCCAAGTAGCTAGGATTACAGGCATGTGCCACCACACCTGGCTAATTTTTTTTTTTTCCCAAGGCAGAAGAATTTTTCTTAGTACAGAACAAAATGGAGTCTCCTATGTCCACTTCTTTCTACACAGACACAGTAACAATCTGATCTCTCTTTCTTTTCCCCACATTTCCCCCTTTTCTATTTGACAAAACTGCCATTGTCATCATGGCCCGTTCTCAATGAGCTGTTGGGTACACCTCCCAGATGGAGTGGCAGCTGGGCAGAGGGGCTCCTCACTTCCCAGACGGGGTGGCCGGGCAGAGGCGCCCCCCACCTCCCAGATGGGGCAGTGGCCAGGCGGAGGCGCCCCCCACCTCCCTCCCGGATTGGGCGGCTGGCCGGGCGGAGGGGCTCCTCACTTCCCAGATGGGGCGGCTGTGAGGCGGAGGGGCTCCTCACTTCCCAGATGGGGCGGCTGTGAGGCGGAGGGGCTCCTCACTTCTCAGACGGGGCGGCCGGGCAGAGACGCTCCTCACCTCCCAGACGGGGTGGCGGTCGGGCAGAGACACTCCTTAGTTCCCAGATGGGGTCAAGGCCGGGCAGAGGTGCTCCTCACATCCCAGACGAGGTGGTGGGGCAGAGGCGCTCCCCACATCTCAGACGATGGGCGGCCGGGCAGAGACGCTCCTCACTTCCTAGACGGGATGGCGGCCGGGAAGAGGCGCTCCTCACTTCCCAGACTGGACAGCCGGGCAGAGGGGCTCCTCACATCCCAGACGATGGGTGGCCAGGCAGAGATGCTCCTCACTTCCCAGACGGGGTGGCGGCCGGGCAGAGGCTGCAATCTTGGCACTTTGGGAGGCCAAGGCAGGCGGCTGGGAGGTGGAGGTTGTAGCGAGCCGAGATCACGCTACTGCACTCCAGCCTGGGCAACATTGAGCACTGAGTGAGCGAGACTCCATCTGCAATCCTGGCACCTCAGGAGGCTGAGGCAGGCAGATCACTCGTGGTCAGGAGCTGGAGACCAGCCCGGCCAACATGGCGAAACCCCGTCTCCACCAAAAAATGCAAAAACCAGTCAGGTGTGGCGGCGCGCGCCTGCAATCCCAGGCACTCTGCAAGCTGAGGCAGGAGAATCAGGCAGGGAGGTTGCAGTGAGCCGAGATGGTGGCAGTACAGTCGAGCCTCAGCTTTCACAACTTTGATGGCATCAGAGGGAGACCGGGGAGAGGGAGAGGGAGAGGGAGAGGGAGAGGGACTAATTTTTGTATTTTTAGTAGAGACAGGGTTTCACCATGTTGACCAGGCTGGTCTTGAACTCCTGACCTCAGATGATCTGCTGGCCTCGGCCTCCCAAAGTGCTAGGATTACAGGGGTGAGCCACCACGCTCAGCCTAAATTTTTTTTAAATTATACTTTAAGTTCTGGGGTACATGGGCAGAATGTGCAGGTTTGTTACATAGGTATACACGTGCCATGGTGGTTTGCTGCACCCATCAACCCATCATCTACATTAGGTATTTCTCCTAATGCTAGCCCTCCCCTAGCCCCTCACCCCTCAACAGGCCCTGGTGTGTGATATTCCCCTCCCTGTGTCCATGTGTTCTCATTGTTCAACTCCCACTTATGAATGAGAACATGCGGTGTTTGGTTTTCTGTTCTTGTGATAGTTTGCTGAAAATGATGGTTTCCAGCTTCATCCATGTCCCTGCAAAGGACATTAACTCATCCTTTTTTATGGCTGCATAATATTCCATGGTGTATATGTGCCACATTTTCTTTATCCAGTCTATCATTGATGGGCATTCGGGTTGGTTCCAAATCTTTGCTATTGTGAACAGTGCTGCAATAAACATATGTGTGCATACTATCATCAGAGTGAACAGGCAACCTACAGAATGGGAGAAAATTTTTGCAATCTATCCATCTGACAAAGGGCTAATATCCAGAATCTACAAAGAACTTAAACAAATTTACAAGAAACAAACAAACAATCCCATAAAAAAGTGGGTGAAGGAAATGAACAGACACTTCTCAAAAGAAGACATTATGCAGCCAATGAACATATGAAAAAAAGCTCATCATCACTGTTTATTAGAGAAATGCAAATCAAACACAATGAGATACCATCTCACACCAGTTAGAATGGCGCTCATTAAAAAGTCAGGAAACAACAGATTCTGGAGAGGATGTGGAGAAATAGGAATGCTTTTACAATGCTGGTGGGACTGCAAATTAGTTCAACCATTGTGGAAAACAGCGTGGCAATTCCTCAAGGATCCAGAACTAGAAATACCATTTGACCCAGCAATCCCATTACTGGGTATATACCCAAAGGATTATAAATCATTCTACTTTTTCCATCTTTTTACTTACAGACTGAAGGTATCTTTGGCCAGTAAGTGGGTCTCTTGTAGGCAGAAGATAGTTAGGTCTTGTTTTATTATCCAATTTGCCACTTTGTATATATATATATATATATGCCACTGTGCCCGGCCCACTCTGTATATTTTAAGTGGAGCATTCAACCCTTTAAGGTTGAATTTACATTTAAGGTTAGTATTGATATATGACATTTTGTTTTTGTCATAGTGTTGTTAGTTGTTTTGGAGTTTTAATTTTTCAATTGTTTTATGAGATCTGTGAGCTTTGTGGTTATGTGTCCTTTTATGATGGTATCATCCTTTCATTTCCATGTTTAGAACTCCTTTGAACACTTCTTGTAGGACCAATCTAGAGGTGACAAATTCCTTTAGTGTTTGCTTTTCTGGGAAAGACTTGATTTCTCCTTCATTTGTGATGTTTAGTTTGGAAGGATATAAAATTCTTGCTTGTTTTTTATTCCTTAAGGAGGGTAAAAATAGGCCCACAGTGTTTTCTGGCTTGTAGGAGTTCAACTGAAAAGTTGGCTGTTGGTATGATGGGTTTTCCTTTAAGGTGATTTGACTCTTCTCTAGCTGCCTTTAAGATTTTTTCTTGGGCTGGGCATGGTGGCTCATGCCTGTAATACCAGCAATTTAGGAGGCTGAGGCGGGCAGATCACGAGGTCAAGAGATTGAGACCAGCCTGGCCAACATGGCGAAACCCCATCTCTACTAAAAATACAAAAATTAACTGGGCATGGTGGTACACGCCTGTAATCCCAGCTACTTGGGAGGCTGAGGCAGGAGAATCGCTTGAACCCAGGAAGCAGAGGTTGCAGTGAGCCATGATTGTGCCACTGCACTCTAGCCTGGGTAACAAAGCGAGACTGTGTCTCAAAAAACAAAAACAAAACAAAAAAAAGATTTTTTTCTTTAGTGTTGGCTTTGGATAGTCAGATAACTATACGCCTTGCTAATGTTTCCCCTTGTATAGTATTTCATAGGTGTCCTCTGAATTTCCTGTATCTGGCTGTCTACCTCCATAGAAAGGTGAAGGAAGTTTTCTTGAATTATACATAATTCCATATTTCTCAAAGGCTTTGTTTGTTTTATAAAATTACTTTTTCTTTATTTTTGTCTGACTGGGTTAATTTGAAAGACCTATCTTTTGCCAGGTGTGGTGGATCATGCCTGTACTGCCAGCACTTTGGGAGGCTGAGGCAGGAGGATCTCTTGGGTCCAGGAGTTTATGCCTAGCCTGGGCAACATTGTGAAATCCCATCCCTATAAAATTAAAAAAAAAAAAAAACCTATCTTCCTCTTCTGCTTGGTCTAGTCTATTGTTAAAGCTTTCAATTGCATTTTGAAATTCCTTAAGTGAATTTTTCATTTTTAGAAGTTCTGTTTTTTTTTTAAAGATATTAATATCCTCCTTCATTTTCTGGATTGCTTTCACGGTTTCATTGTGTTGATTTCCAATCTTCTCTTGGATCTCATTGAACTTCCTTGCAAAACCATGCTTTGATCTCTTTATCTGTCATTTTATCTTTAAAATGTCTTTATCTGTCTTTATCTTTAAAATGTCTTTATCTGTCTTTATCTGTCATTTTGAGTTTCCACTTTCCTTAGTGACTGTTTCTAGAGAGCTAGTGTGATCCTTTGGTGGCATTACAACATTCAGATTTTTCATGGTGACAGAATTCTTATGCTGGTTCCTTCTCATCTAGAGAGGCTGCCACTTCTTTATGAATTTATTTTCATTCAGGTGGGATTTTTTTCATATATATATGTGTATACACATCTATATATCTATACACATATAGATGTGTATACACATCTATATATCTATACACATATATGTATATGTGTATATACATCTTTATATCTATACACATATATATGTGTATACACATCTATATATCTATACACATCTATATATCTATACACATATGTGTATATATGTGTATACACATATATACACATATACACATATATACATACATACACATATATACATATATACACGTATATACGTGTATATACGTGTATATACACATATATACGTGTATATACGTATATATACACATATATACGTATATACACATATATACGTATATACGTGTATATATGTGTATATATACATACGTATATATGTATGTTTACATATATGTATGTATACATGTATACACATATATATGTATACACGTATACACATATATGTGTATACACATATATATATACACACACATATATATATTTCCTCTAGAGAGTGTAACTGTAGTGTATGTTGGGTAAATTCTTTGCCTTTGGTTGTGCACTTTTGTTATTAGGTTTTACATTGGGCTGTGCAGTCAGACCTGCAGGCCAGTAAGTGGCACTAACAAAGACCCAGCTGGGGCACAAGCTGCTGTGTATGTAATCACTCCTGACTTGCCCATAAATACCCCAATGACAAGCAAAGGCACCAGCCCTGCCTTGCCCATAAATATCCCAATGACAAGTGAAGGCACCAGCCCTGACTGGGGTGGCTGGGGGAGCTCCTAGTGAGATGCACCAAGGTCTCTGCAGGGGGTAAGGGAGCTGCACTGACTTCACACCCTAGATATGCAGGAATGTGATCTGTTTCTCCTTTACACCCCTGTCCTGGTGCTAATGACTCTCCTTTCAGATGCACTGTTTTCTATCTCCAGGCCACAGTGTAGCTGAGAGCCATGGAAATTACCTGACTCACAGTTCTCCACTGGAGTGGTTTGGGGATGGAACCTCTTCACTCAGCTCAATACAGACAGATTTATGGCTTGCCTGTTCTCTGATGGAGCAACCCTGCTGCTTCATGTAGAAAGGAGTAGGGGCTCTGTCATTTGGCCTGTGTATGTGGGTGTCAGTTGTGGTGATATTGGCTGGTTGGGCTGGTCCAACCTCCGACCCTGGGGGTGGGGGTGGTCAGGTGCCAGCAGTGGTGGACTAGAGTAGATGACTCCTCTATTCTCAGGCCCCTATATGGCCCATTGAATGTCATGTATGAGTCTGAAAGGGGCTGGACCAGGACTGTGTCAGCCCACATTTCAGGTGCTTGATGTGATTGAGAATGGTAGTCTGGTCCCTGGGTCACTGGCAGAACTCTTAGGCAGGGGCAGGGAGACAACAGGCTTATGGGGGCTGGGCTGCAGTTGAAATGGTCTGGCAAGAGCAGGGTAGCTGTGCTGTCAGACTTTCACTGGGGAGGGCAGGCCCCCTCTTCTGAGGCAGTAAAGACTGGCAGCTGTGGAGCATGCGGCCTGCTTGCACTTTCCTCCACAGAAGCAGTTCTGGATTTCACTGTTGGGGCCTATGAAGGTGCCTGCTGCCCTGGCCTGTGGGCAGCAGGGGCAGAAGCAGCAGTGGCAGAGGGTGTGGAGGGCCTATCAGCGGCCTCTGGGAGTTGGCAGCCTCTGGGAGTTCACCCAAAGCCACAGCATTCAGGCAAGGGTGGGGCAGGTACATGTGGGGCCTGTTACTGAAACAGGCAAGCCTTAGCTTGCATGGAGCCATGGAAGCATGGGTTCACACTGTGTGTATTCTGCCTGCTCCTTTGCATTGTGGCTGCAGGTTGTGTCTTTCTTTTGGAAACAATATTTTATGTCTTTTTTCTGTTGTTGAGAGGATAGATCACAATAGAGAGAACAGCAGTATGGTCATAGCAGCAGTTTGGTTTCCACAGGAACATGGAGGACAGTAGGGGCAGAAACTGGTTTGAGTTACTGTTCTTATTGTAACCTCTGACCTCTTGCTGTTCCCTCTGCAGCAGGGCTATACAGAGTCTTCCAGATCTCTAACCTTCCTCACTCACAACTCTGAATACTGACAGGCAAAGCAAAGGATGCAGGATTTGTCTCTGTTGTCTGACCAAGGGAACATGGGCAGAGAATCAAAGGACCCCTACTCTCACTCTGCCCATCCCAGTGTGTTGGCCCCAACAGAATGGGGGTCCCTCAGCCATCACCTGCCAGTTACCCAACTTTAGGGATAGGAGTCTGCATCCTGATGAGCTGGCTTGTAGATTGAAATCTCAGAAGCAGGGAAGGTTGAAGAGGGGTACAGTCCCAGAGCCCATGGGGTTATTGCTGAGAAGATACGCAAGGGTCACATTCCCCAGGGGTAGAGTAGAAGCCCTTAGCCTAAAATCACTGGGAACTCTGCAGAAGGGCAGGGTTGATGCAGACTTCTCAGTGGAGGCCTCCTGGAAAAAAATGATCATGAAAGGGAGTAGCTTGCCTGAAGGCAATGGCTGGGCTCACCAGCTTCTTGCTTTGAATCTCCAATTATTAATACTAAGAGACCTTCAGGATAGACTCATGTGAGGGTGAAATAAGGAAGCGAGTTTCTTGTAGAGGAGTGAAGAGGGTCCATGAGGAACTATAATGACGGTGATGCAAACCTCCCCAGGTCCTAGGATAATTGGAGATTCCTGCCCATGCTCCTACCCAAACCCATCCCTAAATCAACAAAAGGGGTTGGTCTCTCAGGGAATAAGTGGACTCCTAGAAGCAGGAGATGATGGAGACTCGTGGTGGCAGGGAGGGATCAGTGGTGACATGGCTCCGCTCCTGCCTGGAAAAGTGAGTCTCCACAGTTCACTAACACAATATCATCCATGAACAAGTAGCCACAAAGACCACAGTCGACAAACACGCACATACACAGACACGTAACAGGAGCTGGGCAAGACCACAGGCTGCATGAGGGAGGCAAATGTTAGTTGCATCATTAGGTTGAAGAATGTTGTTAGAAGAGATAGGGATGGGCACAGGGAGATGCACAAGTTCTTGCCTTCTCCTGGGAAAATATCTGTTGCTAAAGTGGCCGGTTTTCTTAAGCATCGATATTTGCATCTAAAGGTTCAAGCAGCTACCTTCCAGTTCCAGAGGCTGCCTACCTGTGGGCTGCACTTCAGTTTTTTGCTTTCTGGGGCTCTTTTGCATTTGCAGTGATGAAGTTTTCCACCTGAGCTTCCTTATCTCCTGGATCCTGGGGCTTCTGATTGAAACTGCACTTGCACCTGTGACTTAGAAGATGGCAGCTCGGCTGGGCACGGTGGCTCACACCTGTAATCCCAGCACTTTGGGAGGCCGAGGCGGGCAGATCACTTGAGGTCAGGAATTCAAGACCAGCCTGGCCAACATGGTGAAACCCTGTCTCTTCTAAAAATACAAAATTAGCGGGGCATGGTGGTGCATACCTGTAATCCCAGCTACTTGGGAGGCTGAGGCACGAGAATTGCTTGAACCCAGAAGGCAGTGATTGCAGTGTGAGATCCTGCCACTGCACTCCAGCCTGGGCAACAGAGCAAGACTCTATAGAGGCTCACAACCAGGAAGAGGACCACATCAAATACCAATCCTCCAATCCTCAGGGTCTGGTAGTTATAATGAAAAGGATCTATTTCCTTCTCCTTAGCTGCACTGGCCAGGACCACCGGGACGAGCAGGCTGTATACAAAGATCAGTACCACCTCCATGGTATCTGCACAGCTGGTCCCTTCCAAAACAATCCTAGAAGGACATGCTAAGTCCTGAGGAGCCTTGGTTCTGTCTTAGGGGTGTTCAATATTGCCCCACCTCCCCATTCCCTCCCTGGCCTGCAGGCAGCAGGAGCAGAGGCAGCAGTGGCAGCAACTTGGAAGGGCCTAACAGTGACCTCTAGGATTTGGGCCCTCAGAGGAATGCCAAGATATAGCCACAGTGTTCAGGCAAGAGCAGGGCAGTTGTGCTGTGCTGGGAGACTTTCATTGAAGCAGGCATATCATGTCTGGTGGGGAGCCATGGAGGTGAGGGATCATGCAATGTGCAGCCTGACCACTCCTCTGTATCATGACTGGGGTGCACAAAAGTTTCCTCCCTCCTCATTTCTTCCCTGGCCTGTGGGTGGCAGGAGTTAAGGACGCAGTAGCAGAGGCTACAGAGGGCCTTTAGATGGCTTCTGGGAGCTGGGGGCCTTTGGGAGTTGAACTGTGCCTGCAATGTTAAGGTGGGGGCAGGGTTGGTTTGTTGGTGTTCTGCCCCAAAAGCAGGCAAGCCCTGTTTGGCAGGGTGCAGCAGAGGTGGGAGCCATATGGTTTGTCATGTACCCATTCCTTCTTACCATGGCCATGGTATCTCTCCTAGGAGCATGTGAAAATGCCTGACCTCCCTCCTTGGCCAGGGCAGCAGCACCTGGCTCAAGGCTGCTTGGGGATCAAAAGTCTGTTGAATTCCACGTGGGCTTGAGTGGTACCTCTGCTCAGTCTCCAGGTGGCTCCCTGTGTTAGTCTGGAGACCTAAGGGGAGTCAAGGGGGCTCTTCCATGACTTGGATTGTAATGGTCCGTGTTGGAGATGTGGAACCCCTTGAATCTCTCACTCACTCACCTGTCTCCCATGTTAGGAAGCCTCTCCTAGCTCCACACCCATCCTGGCTAAGCACAGTGCCTAGCTTCATTCTCCTGTGTTCTCCATGGTTCCTATTGTTTCTCTGGTGAATTTCAGCATGCTCTCTTACATGATCCACTCGAAATGTTAGTATTTACTCACTATTTTAACTCCTGTCCATGAGAGAGGTGCCCACTAGCTGCTTCTAGTCAGCCATCTTGAACCAGAACCTGATTTTCATCTTAATTTCTTTGTTGATGCAATGGTTATTCAGGAGCATTGTGTTTGATTTACATGTATTTGTATAGTTTCCAAAGTT
The DNA here is from genome assembly GCF_000001405.40 of Homo sapiens. NCBI lineage: Eukaryota > Metazoa > Chordata > Mammalia > Primates > Hominidae > Homo > Homo sapiens. Next base: position 73,873,860 of record NC_000023.11, on the reverse strand, counting down.
CCTCCTGGTATTGATTTCTAGTTTTATTCCATTGTGGTCTAAGAAGATACCCAATATGATTTCGATTTTTAAAAAATTTGTGGAGTCTTGCTTTGTGGCCTACCATATGGTCTATCCTAGAGGATGTTTTATGTACTGATGAAAATAATATATATTCTGCAGTTGCTAGATAGAATGTTTTGTAAACATCTGTTAGGTCAATTTGGTATAGAGTGCAGTTGAAATCCAATGCTTCTTTGTTGATATTCTGTTTAGATAATCTGTCTAATGTTGAGAATGGATTGTTTAATTTCCCCACTATTATTGTATTACAGTCTCTTTATATCTAGTAATATTTTATTTATTTATTTATTTATTTATTTATTTATTTATTTTGAGACGGAGTTTCACTCTTGTCACCCAGGCTGGAGTGCAGTGGCGCGATCTTGGCTCACCACAACCTCTGCCTCCTGGGTTCAAGCGATTCTCCTGCCTCAGCCTCCCGAGCAGCTGGGATTACAGGCATGCATCACCACCCCGGCTAATTTTGCATTTTTTAGTAGAGACGGGGTTTCTCCATGTCAGGCTGGTCGTGAACTCCCGACCTCAGGTGATCCACCCACCTCGGCCTCCCAAAGTGCTGGGATTACAGGCATGAGCCACCACGCCCGGCCAATATTTGATTTATGAATCTTGGTGCTCTAGTGTTAGGTGCATATATATTTACAATTATTATATCCTCTTGCTGGATGGATCCCTTTGTTATTATATAATAACAATAAGACAGGGTGCCCAGGCTGGAATGCAGTGATGTGATCATGGCTCACTGCAGCTTTGAACTCCTGGGCATAAATGGTCGGTACCTTAGCCTCCTGAGTAGCACATGCCACCACATCTGGCTAATTTTTTAATATTTATCTTGTCAACACAGGGTCTCACTATTTTGCTCAGGTTTGTCTCAAACTCCTGGCCTCAAGTGATCCTCCCACCTTGGCCTCCGAAACTGCTGCGATTACATGTATGAGCCTCCATGCCTGGCCTGTTCTTGACTTAAAGTCTGTCTTATCTGATATAAATATAGCTACTTCTGCTTGCTTTGGGTTTCAATTTGTGTGAAATATTTTTTTCCATCTCTTTTAGTCCATATGTGTCTTCACTGGTCAAGTAGAGAATTTAATCCATTTACATTCAAGGTTATTTATTTATTTATTTTTTTGAGACGGAGTTTCGCTCTTGTTGCCCAGGCTGGAGTGCAATGGTGTGATCTTGGCTCACTGCAACCTCCGCCTACCAGGTTCAAGTGATTCTCCTGCCTCAGCCTCCTGAGTAGCTGGGATTACAGGCATGTGCCACCATGCCTGGCTAATTTTTTGTATTTTTAGTAGAGATGGGGTTTCTCCATGTTGGTCAGGCTAGTCTTGAACTCCCAACCTCAGGTGATCTGCCCACCTCAGCCTCCTAAAGTGCTGGCATTACAGGCGTGAGCCACCGCACCCAGCCTCAAGGTTATTTTTGATGCTTGAGGTTTTGTTCCTGTCATACTGTCAATTGTTTTCTGGTTGTTTATATATTCTTTGTTCCTTAGGTTTTCTCCTATTGCTTATTGTTGGGGTTTGGTGGATTTCTGTAATGGTAAAATTTGAGGTTTTCTTCTTCCTTCTTTGTGTGATGATTGCTTTACCAGTGAGTTTTATCCTTTCATGTTTTTATGATGGCAAATGTCTTTTTTTTTTTTCTAGGTTTAGAACTTCCTGACAATTACTTTTAAGGTTGATCTAGTGGTTAACAAGTTTCCTCAGAGATTGCTTATTTGGGACAGGCTTTGCAGATAACATTTTGATGACATCTACCTTTCTCCAGGAACACAGGTATGCCATTACAGTAATGACATCCTTTTTCAAGGAGATTCATCTGACACACTCAATAAGTACATATAAGTCCAATGTCTTTTTTTACTTATAAATTAAAATTAACCATCACTCCTGTTAGTACTTTCAAAAAACTTGTTCACAGCAACCTTTTTCATGCCTCCTGGAATCTCTGGACCACTCATGATAGTCATTAGTTACTTCAGGGCTTCCAATGCAAGAAATTCTCATGTTATGCACCATTAAAATAACACATGGCTGGCTAACTGGGTTGTCCTAGAAATAAAGGCTTTCACTGGGTGCGGTGGCTCACGCCTGTAATTCCAGCACTTTGGGAGGCCGAAGCAGGCAGATTACTTGAGGTCAGGAGTTCGAGACCACCCTGGCCATCATGGTGAAACCCCATCTCTACTAAAAATGCAAAAATCAGCCAGGCATGGTGGTGTACGCCTGTAGTCCCAGCAACTTGGGTGACTGAGGCACGAGAATCACTTGAACCCAGGAGGCAGGGGTTGCAATGAGCCAAGATTGAGCCACCGAACTCCAGCCTGGGTGGCAGAGCAAGAGTGTCTCAAAAAAATAAAATAAAATAAATAATAACTGGGCACAGTGGCTCACGCCTGTAATCCCAGCACTTTGGGAGGCTGAGGCGGGCAGATCACGTGAGGTCGGGAGTTCGAGACCAGCCAGACCAACATGAAGAAACCCTGTCTCTTCTAAAAGAATACAAAATTAGCTGGGTGTGGTGGCGCATGCCTGTAATCCCAGCTACTCGGGAGGCTGAGGCAGGAGAATCGCTTGAACCCGGGAGGCGGAGGTTGCGGTGAGCCAAGATCATGCCATTGCACTCCAGCCTGGGCAACAAGAGTGAAACTCAGTATCAAATAAATAAATAAATAAAATAAAATAAAAAATAAAACAAAAGATAGATTCCAAATAACTGATTTAATTGGGAGATACAATGATATCTTCAAACAATTTCTTTTTTCTTCTTTTTTTTTTTTTGAGATGGAGTTTCATTCTTGTTACCCAGGCTGGAGTGCAATGGCATGATCTTGGCTCACCGCAACCTCCGCCTCCAGGGTTCAAGTGATTTTCCTGCCTCAGCCTCCTGAGTGGCTGGGATTACAGGCACCCACCACCATGCCTGGCTAATTTTTTACATTTTTAGTAGAGGCAGACTTTCACCAAGTTGGCCAGGCTGGTCTCAAACTCCTGACCTTAGGTGATCCGCCCGCCTCAGCCTCCCAAAGTGCTCGGATTACAGGCGTGAGCCACCGCACCTGGCAACAATTTCTTTTCAAATTCCAGTCCAACAAATACACTCCTAAAGCTCTCTAATTTGCCCCAGGCCTTAATCTATTTTTTGAAATAATTTTTTGATCTTACTCCCATCCCATAAAGGCTGGAGACCAGATCAAAGACACTTACTCTCCTCAGATTCATTAACCATAGCTTTTCCCATAGACCAGACAGCTTCTCATATGATAAGGTACCATTTGAACCTAAATTTCCACCTAAAACAAAACTCTATCAGGTGCAACTGCATTCTATTCTGTTGATCGTTGGTCTTCTTACCAGTGGTTTGGGTGCTTTAATTGGTTTAGAACCAGAGGCCCAAACCCTCCAGTAGTTGATTGTTTCAAGTAAACATGAAAAATGCTGAGGCCCACATCTACTTGAGTGGGTACCCACTTGTAAAGGATACCCAGTCCCATATCCTAGATGACATTGTCTTGGCCCAAAATCTCACCTATGGAGATGACATAGCTTCAGAGGATATTGCCCCAACTCAAAACTTTACTGCTGGGTATGACATTGCCTCAGACAATATCACCCAACCCAAGACGTTGGTGTTGGGAATGACTCTGCCTCTGTGCTGCAGAGGACATCCCCACTTGCACTAAATCTGCACTCTAGTGATGTCCATGGACTGCTTCTCCTAAGACACAAATGGACACAGGACTTTTTTTGCTTAGCCCATGATTCTGGTACATTTCTTGCTCTCTGTTACCCTCACATCCCACACCTACAAGGGACTCTGATACATGTTACTAAAATTAATGGAGATTAGTACTTTCCCCAGGAAACACCAGCCCCTATATTCATCAACCCCTTGACACCCTAGGGGAGGACTACCCACTCCCTGATGTCTTTTTCTACTACGACCCCCAGCTTTCCACCACAGTTTCTCACCTTGCGAATATAACCACCACAACCTCTCTTTCTCTTTAAAGTTAATATATCTTCACCATTCAACCACAGCTGCTTTAGACTTAAAATATAATGCTGAGGCACCAATGGGTGGATTGTAGAAAATTCTTAAAATTTTATGTTGCCTCAATATCCATTTTGAATACAATTTTATTTTAATATTATTATTATTTTTTGAGACGGAGTCTCACTCTGTCACCCAGTCTGGACTGCAGTGGTGCAGTCTCGGCTCACTGCAGCTTCTGCCTCCCGGGTTCAAGCGATTCTCCTGCCTCAGCCTCTTGATTAGCTGGGACTACAGGCGTGCGCCACCACACCTGACTAATTTTTGTATTTTTAGTAGAGATGGGGTTTCACCATGTTGACCAGGCTGGTCTTGAAATACTGACCTCAGGTGATCCGCCTGTCTCGGTCTTCCAAAGTGCTGGGATTACAGGTGTGAGCCACCATGCCTGGCCACCTGACCAGAATCTAAGTAAAAATCTTTGAACTTGTTTCCTATTGTGGTACATATTGATTTTTTACCTTTCACCTGAAGAACTCGGGGCTGCTCCAGGCTGAGTTTTGCCCAGAATGCTGGTGAGAAAATCATGTCTGGCTCCCAGTGGCAGAGTGATGGCAAGCATGGCATAAATTGGACACAAGTCAGACAAAAGTCACAGTGATCTGGTCTCTGCCAGTATAAACAAGTTTCCTGTGTGAGGGCACTCTCCTGGTTACAGGTCAGACAGCTAGGCATTAGGCTGTCAACCAGGTAAAAGAAGTATCCCATGAAAGGCACACTGTAAACACCCATGTCTAACTCCCTTTCATGTTCCCCTAGGTCAAGGTTGCTAGCCACTCTAGTACTGGAACCTTAATTTAACTGGGGGGTCTCAAAACAACGTCCTATGTTTCCTCATTGATTTACTTTCTATAGAATGTGTTCATTGTTGAAAGTGAGTTATTGAAGTTCCCTACTTTTATTATATTATAGTTTGTCTCTCTCTTCAGATCTATTAACATTTGCTTTATATATTTAAGTGCTCCAATGTTAGGTGCGTGTGTGTGTGTATATACATATATATATATATACACACATATACATATACACATATATACATATACACACATATACATATACACATATATACATATACACACATACATATATACATATACACATATGCATATATACACACATATATATACACACAAACATATATATATATACTTTTTTTTTTCGAGACTGAGTCTTGCTCTGTCACCCAGGCTGGAGTGCAGTGGTGAGATCTCGCCTCACTGCAAATTTTGCCTCCCAGGTTCAAGCAATTCTCCTGTCTTACCCTTCCAAGTAGCTGAGATTACAGGTGTGAACCACCACACCTGGCTAATTTTTGTATTTTTGGTAGAGATGGGGTTTCACCATGTTGGCCAGGCTAGTCTCGAACTCTTGACCTCAAGTGATCTGCCTGCCCTGGCCTCCCAAAGTGCTGGAATTAGAGGCATGAGCCACCATGCCCGGCTGGTACATGTACATTTATATTTGTTATGTCTTTTTAATGAACTGACCCCTTTATCATTATAGTGTGATCTCCCTTGTCTCTTTTTATGGTTTTTGACTTAAAGTCTATTTTGCCTAATATAAATACAATGTACTCCGCTCTCTTTTGATTCCATCTGCATAGAATATCTTTTTCCATCCTTTTACTTTGTGTGTTTTCCTACAGGTGAAGTGCATTTGTTGTAGGTAGCCTATAGCTGAGGCTTTTTTTTTTTTTTTGGCTATAAAAAAACTCGTTCAGCCACTCTTTCTTTTGACTGGAGAATTTAATCCAATTACAGTAAGGTAATTATTCATAGGTAAGGACTTACTACTACCATTTTGTTAGTTATTTTCTGGTTATTTTGTAGACCTTTTGTTTCTTTCTTCCTGTCTTTTCTTCCTTTGTAATTATATGATTTTATCTATTAGCATGCTTTCATTCCTATTTATTTATTTATTTATTTTTTGAGACAGGGTCTTATTTTGTTTTCCAGGCTGGAGTGCAGTGGCATGCTCATGGCACACCGCAGCCTCCACCTCTTGGGCTCAAGTGATTCTCCCACCTCAGCTTCCTGAGTAGCCAGGACTACAGGTATGCACTACCAAACCTGGCTAATTTTTAAAAAAATTTCTGTAGAGATGGGGTCTTACTGTGTTGCCCAGGCTGGTTTCAAACTCCTGGCATCAAGGAATACTCCCACCTCAGCCTCCCAAAGTGCTAAGATTAGAGATGTGAGCCACCATGTCTGACTCATTTCTTACTTTTTATATTTTGTGTATCTACTATAGGTTTTTGCTTTGTCCTTACCATGAGGCTTACATAAGGCTTCTTATAGTTATAATAGTCTATTTTATGCTGATAACAGCTTATCTTAGATACATAAAAATACTCTACGTTTGCCAGGTGCGGTGACTCACACCCGTAATCCTAGCACTTTGGGAGGCCGAGACAGGCGGATCACTTGAGGTCAGGTTGGAGACCAGCCTGGCCAACATGGTGAAACTCCATCTCTACCAAAAAATACAAAAACAATTAGCTGGTCATGGTGGCATGTGCCTGTAATCCCAGCTACTCAGGAGGCTGAGGCATGACAGTCGCTTGAACCCAGGAGGTGGAGGTTGCAGTGAGCTGAGATTTTACCACTGCACTCCAGCCTGGGTGACAGAGTGAGACCTTGTCTCAAAAAAACACAAAAAAACAAAAAAAACAAAAACTTTACATTTTATTCTGTTCCCTCCCTCATTTAAAATTTTTGATGTCACAATTTACATATATTTATATTGCGTATCCCTTAACAAATTATTGTAGCTATTATTATTTTTATTATTTTTCAGAAAGAGTCTCACTGTCACCCAGGCTGCAGTGCAGTGGTGCCATCATGGCTCACTGCAGACTCTACCTGTTGAATTCAAGCAATCCTCCCACCTCAGCCTCCCAAGTAGCTAGGACCACAGGCATGTGCCACCATTCCATCTAATTTTTTAAAAATTTTCTTGTAGAGACAAGGTCTCTTTATGTTGCCCAGGCTGGTCTTGAACTCCTGAGCTCAAGCGAGCCTCCCACCTCAGCCTCCCAAGGTGCTACTATTATTTTAATAGCTTTGTCTTATAACCTTCATACTAAAAATAAAAATGATTCACAAACCACCACCATTACACTATTAGAGCATTTGACCTTTCACTTATTTTTGTTTTGGTTTGTTTTGTTTTTGAGATGGAGTCTCACTCTGTTGCCCAGGCTGGAGTGCAGCAGCACAATCTTGCCTCACTGCAGCCTCCGCCTCCTGGGTTCAAGCAATTCTCTTGCCTCAGCATCCCGAGTAGCTGGGATTACAGGCGTGTGCCACCATGCCTGGCTGATTTTTTGTACTTTTAGTAGAGACGGGGTTTCACCATGTTGGCCAGGCTGGTCTGGAACTCCTGACCTCTAGTGATCTGCCCGCCTTGGCCTCCTAAAGTGCTGAGATTACAGGTGTGAGCCACTGTGCCCAACCTCATCTTTATTTCTAAAGGACAGCTTTTCCAAGTACAGTATTGCTGGTTGGCAGTTTTCTTCCTGCACTTTGAACATCTCATCCAAGTTTCTTCTGGCCTATAAGGTCTCTGCTGAGAAATCTGCTAGCCTTATTGGAAAAACCATTATATATTATTTGGTTCTTTTTTCCTGCTGCTTTTATAATTTTTTCTTTGTTTTTGATTTTTGACAGTTTCATTATAATATGTAATATGTTTTGATGTAGTCTTATTACATTCGGATTGAATCTGATTGGAAACTTTTGACCTTCCTGTATTTGGATATTTACATCTTTCTCCAAATTTGAATTTTTTTTCTGCCATTATTTCTTTAAATAAGCTTTCTTCCCCTTTGTTCTTCTCTTTCTCTCTCTCTCTCTTTTTTTTTTCATTTGAGACACAATTTTGCTTTTGTTGCCCAGGCTGGAGTGCAATAGAGTGATCTTGGCTCACTGCAACCTCCACCTCCTGGGTTCAAGCGATTCTCCTGCCTCAGCCTCCCAAGTAGCTGGGATTACAGGCACCTGCCACCACACTCAGCTAATTTTTGTATTTTTAGTAGAGACGGGGTTTCACCATGTTGGCCAGGCTGGTCTTGAACTCCTGGCCTCGGGTGATCCACCCACCTCGGCTTCCCAAAGTGCTGGGATTACAGGTGTGAGCCACTGCGCCCAGCCTGTTCTTCTCTTTAATGAACTTCCATAACTTGAATATTTGTTCTGTTGATGTTATCTCATAAATGAAGTAAGCTTTCTTCATTCCTTTTCTTCTTTAGCCTCTGATGATATATTTTCAAATTGCTAGTCTTATGAGTTCACAGATTTCCTCTTCATTTCATTCCTTTTACTTTTCAGCTTCAGAATTTCTGTTTGATTTTTTTAAAAATTAATTTCAATCTCAGTTAAATTTGTTCTTTTAGTCATTATTATTACTTTTAATTGTTTTATTTAAGCTGTTGAACTTTTTTTTTTTTTTTTGAGACTGGGTAGGTCTCACTCTGTCACCCAGGCTGGAGTGCAGTGGTGAGATCTCAGCTCACTGCAACCTCCACCCCCAGGGCTCAAGTGATCCACCTCAACCTCCCAAGTAGCTGGGACTACAGGTGTGCACCAATAAACCCGACTAATTTTTTTTGTATGTTTAGTACAGACGGGTTCTCACCATGTTGTCCAGGCTGGTCTTGAATTCCTGAGCTAAAGCAATTGACCCTCCTCAGCCTCCCAAAGTGGTGGGATTACAAGCATGAGCCACTGCGCCAGCCTGAACTTTCTTAAATAATTATTTTGAATTATTTGCCAGGCAGTCTGTACATCTCCATTTCTTTGGGGTCAGCTACTGAGAGATTATTATTATTATTATTATTATTTTTGAGATGGATTCTTCCTCTGTTGCCCAGGCTGGAGTGCAGTGGCACGATCTTGGCTCACTGCAACCTCCAACTCCCAGGTTCAAGCAATTCTCTGTCTCAGCCTCCCGAGTAGCTGGGATTACAGGCACCCGCCACCATGCCCGGCTAATTTTTGTTTTTTTTTTTTTTTTTTTTAGTAGAGATGGGGTTTCACCATCTTGGCCAGGCTGGTCTTGAACTCCTGACCTCGTGATCCACCAGCCTCGGCCTCCCAAAGTGCTGAGATTATAGGCGTGAGCCACCGTGCCCGGCCTACTGAGAGATTATTGTGTTTTTTTGGTGATGTTATGTCTCCTTGGTGTTTCATGTTTCTTGTTGCCTTAAGTTGATGTCTGTGGATTTGAACAATTTGGGACTTGTTTCAGTTTTTATAGAATGCTTTGCCTGGGAAAGCCCTTCACCAATCAGCTCATCCAAATATTCTTGGCAGGCTCTCAGGCGTGATTTGAAGAAAACCTTGTTGCTGGAGTCCTTGAACAAGCTGGCCTACGCCTGGGTCAGTAGGTAGACAGGCCTGACTCCTAAACTGCAGGGTTGAGTCTGGACCTGCATCCACTTGGGTGAACCTGTTAATTGGGACTGCACTGATGAGCCCAGAGCCTGGGTCCATGAGTCTGAGGCTGAGACCTGTGTCTCCAGAGGCAAGCCTGAAGCCTGGTCCACAGAGGCTGATCTAGCACTTGATGGGGTGGGCCTTAGACCTACATCTACAGGGGCTGGGCAGGTGCTGGGATGATCCTGGAGCCTGAGTCCACAAGCACTGGCTTGGCACTGGGGCTGGCCTGGACCCTGAGTCCATAGTGCAGGTCTGGGTCCTGGGCCCACAGGGCCTGGCCTGGATCCTATGTCTGCAGATATAGTCTTGAAGCCTCAGTCCATGGGATCTAGCCCGCCATTGGCGTCTACTACAGTGGGCCTTGACCCTGCGTCTGCTGGAACAAGCCTGGATCTTGTGTTTTCTGGAGCCTGTTTCCACTGGGATCAACCTAGGCTAACCTGGTGCTAGGGCTGGTGTAAAGCCTGGGTTCACAGGGTCTAGTCTGAAGCCTAGGTCTATGGGAACTGACTTTGTGCCTGGAGATCCTGGGGCTGGTCTTAAGCACGGGGCTGTCAGGCTCAGCCTAGAGCTCATGTCCACTTGTCCCAGCCTGGAGGCTGGGTGTGTAGGTGCTGGCCTAGAGGCTAAGACTGTGAGGGCTGGCCTGGGTTTGGATGACTTGAGGGTTCCTGTGACCTGAGTACACTGGGGCAATCTTTAAGCTTGTGTCTGTAGTGGCAAATCCAGCACAGGGGTCTACTGGGACAGGCCTGGACCCTGGGTCTGCTGAAGCTATGAAGCCACAGGGTCCAGCTAGAGTGTGAGGTCATGGGGACTGGCCTGGTGCTGGGCAGGCCTGGAGCCTGTGTCTGTGGGTGCCTGCCTGGTGTTTAAGTCCAGCATTGCTGACATGGTGCTGGAGCAAGCCTGAAACCTGGCACCACAGGGGCTGGCCTGGAGATGGGTTTGTGGGTGTCAGCCTAATGACTAGAGTTGCAGGGAACAGCTGATTGCTGGGGTAGAACTGAAGATTGGGACTGTGGGGGCTGGCCTAGTGGTGAGCTGGTCTGGAGCCTGGGGCTGTTGGGGTTGGCCTGGCTCACTGAGGTTTTTTTAATGTGTAGATTAATGTGTCTTATCAAATTTGGGAAGTTTTTTTAACCATTATTTCTCCCTTTTTTTTAATGCTAGTTCACTCTATCCCCTCCTGAAACTTCCATAATGTGTGTGTTGGCATCTTGATGGTGTTCCATAGGTCCCTCACATTCTCTTCATTTCTCTTAATTATTTGTATTTGTGCCCCTTAGACTGAATAATTTCAATTGACCTATTCAAGTTGTTTCTTTCTATTGGCTGCTCAAATTTTCTGTTGAATGCCTGGAATGAATTTTTTTGTTTCAGTTATTGTATTTTCAGCTCCAGAATTTCTATTTGGTTCCTTTTTATAAGTGCTATTTCTAATGTATAATTTCTGTTTGTTGAGACATTATTCTCTCTGTGTTTTTTAGTTCTTTGTCTATTGTTTCTTTTATGTCTTTGAGCATATTTGAAATATTTAATTTAAACTCCTTGTCTAGTGGAGTGAGGTCAGCATGATGTCAGAGTAGGAGATTCAGCCTTCCTCTCCCTGTGAAGAACAATTCTGCAACTATCCATGAACCAAAATATCTCTGGAAGAGGCTAGGATCCACTTAAGGTGACACAACAATACAGTAGAAGAGAAAACCCAAGAAGAGCCACACAAAAATGGTAATAAGAACAAGTTCATTTCACCTCCATCACTGCATCCTTCATGCTGACACTGCTCAGCATGGAGAGGGACCTCCCTAGCTTAAGTTTGCCTTGCAAGACAAAGCAGAGCAAGGTATAGAACCAGTTTTGCCAGTATTTTAGGACACTGCCTATATGACTAGCTTCAGTTTCACCCCACCCAGATCTCTGGGGGTAACCTGCATAGCTGAGATATCTGGAGACAGCTGAGAACAAAGACAAGGGATGAGGGTTTTTTTTTTTTTTTTTTTTTTTTTTTGAGACGGAGTCTTGGTCTATCGCCTAGGCTGGAGTGCAATGGCGTCATCTCGGCTCACTGCAACCTCCACCTCCTAGGTTCAAGCGATTCTCCTGCCTCAGCCTCCTGAGTAGCTGGGATTACAGGTGCCCACCACCATGCCTGGCTAATTTGTGTATTTTTGGTAGAGACAGGGTTTCACCATGTTGGCCAGGCTGGTCTCGAACGCCTGACCTCAGGTGATCCACCCGCCTCGGCCTCCCAAAGTGCTGGGATTACAGGGGTGAGCCACCGCGCCTGGCCTGGATGAGCTCTTTTAGAATCAGCCAAAAGGTGGAAGTTACTGTGACCCCCAGTGGCCTACCTGACATGGGAAAGCAGCAGACTTCTCCACTGAGGACCCAAACAGCCCCTGGAGCTGCTGTGTAGACCCCACAGCCTTAACTGCTGAGGATTCCTCAGTGTTTGAAATTGTGGAGCCCAGCAGCTTGTCCTGCAGAGGAACATAGCAGCTTTTACTACTGAGAAAAACAAATGCCAGCACACCAGCAATAACCCCCCTGCCACTTTTGCTACTGAAGGCCTTGCAGTTTTCTTCACCTTCATAGTCTTAGGTGCTGGCGTTACCTCCCCTCCCCATTCCCAGGAGCCATGTAGGGCAGGATTGCTATTGCTGCAGTTTCCTCAGCCTGGTGACACAACCCAGGAGCCTTGAAGTCTTTAGGTGCCTAACCAACCACCCTCCTCCCCAAAGCCACCTGAACTGCTTCTGTTGTGGTTGTCCCAGCCCAGGGTACTACTGCAGTGGCCTTCATATACCGCAGGTGCCTAAGACAACCATCCTTTCCAAAGCCACCCCTGATGTTGCTTACATGGGTGCTCTGGCCCAGAGGCCCAGTGCAGCTGTTGCACCTGTGCCTGCAAAGAGCCCCAAAGCCCCTCACCTCAGAAATTGACCCCACATACACTCAAGGCTGATCTCTGCAGGACTACTGCATGCTGCCAGCCCTGGTTCCTGTAGTGGTGCATGCATAAGCCACTGGTCCTGCCCCATGGGTCCTGCATTTATCACCATGCTGCACATGCCTACCCACCTCCAGTTGAGCCCTGCAGTTGCCACACACACACAAACACACACATGCAGACAGCCTGACCCCTGTTGCCACCATGCATCTGGCCCTTGTGATCAGGCATGGGCAACCTGCAGCACCTACCACCACATCTATGCTCACATTCAGGCCCAGCTTCGGCATATGACCCAAGCTCTTGCTACCATGTGTGAGACTACAACAGGCTGCTGCTGCAACCAGACTCCACAGTGGAGCATGTGTACACTTTCAGCTCTGGCCTCCACTGCTGCCAGTCCCAGACCCTAGCTGTTTGTCACATATACATAGCTGAGGACCCCAACAGCCCTCATAATCTTTGCGAAACTCCCACAGCTCTTGACACAAAGGACCATGCAGTTGCCAATGTTGTAGGCATGCCTGAGCTGACTAGACTCGGCCCCTATCTGCCGCCACACCACCAGACCCAGAGCCACACTATGCCCCTGCATTTGGTTTCCTATGGTCTAGACCCAGTGCCACAGTGCACCTAGTATGTCTCCCTTTTTCCTCCTTAGGTAAAGGGCTTTCCTTGCCAAAGCCAGGCCATAATGTCTGAAAGAGGTGACTGCTGCTTCAAAAGTGCAGACACCTTTGCAGGACTACAAGGATGAGGAAGAATCAGGGAAACATTATATTGCCAGAAAAACACAAGAAGCTTTCCAGTGTGTGACCACGAAGAATTGGAGGTACATGAATTGCCTGACAAAGTATTCAAAATAATTGTTCTAAAGAAGCTCAGCAAATTACAAAAAAACAAATATTTTTAAAAGATCAGGAAGACAGAATATGAACAAAACAAGAAGGTAAGCAGAGATTCAAAACTTGAAAAAAGAACCAGATAAATTTTCAAGCTGAACAGTATGATGACTGAAGTAAAAAATACCAAAGATGCTTCAATAGCAGATTACATCAAGCAGAATAACAAATAACTGAATGCAAATATAGATGATTGGAAATCATCCAGTCAGAGAAGAAAAAGAAAAAAAATGAAAAAGTATTAAGAAAGCCTACAGGTCTATGGGACACCACCAAGAAAACTACTATTTGGATACTAAAACTACAGATGGTGAAGAGTGCAAGAAAGAGGCAGACAGCTTATTTAAAGAAATAATGGCCAAAAAGTTCCCATCTGGGAAAAGAGAATATTGAATTACAAGAAGCTCAGGAATATGCAATTAAATTCAACCCAAAGAAGAGTTCATCAAGACACATTACAATCAAACTATCAAAATTCAAAAACTAAGAAAGAATTCTCAAAGCAGCAGAAGAAGCATATCACATACAAGGAAGCTTTAATATGGCTACCATTAGATTTCTCAGCAGAAACCTTACGGGCCAGGAAAGAGTGTGAGGATATATTCTAAGTGCTAAAGTAAAAAATCTGTCAACTAAGACTACTATAATCAGCAAATCTGTCTTTCAGAATTGAATGAGAAATAAAAACTTTCCCAGACATAAGCTGAGGGAATTCATCAAACAAGGCCTGCCTTAGAAATGCTAAACAAAGTTTTCCAATCTGAAAGAACAAGATATTAATGAATGAAATGAAAAGATATGAAAGTATAAAACTTACCAGTAAAAGTAAACACATGGTCAAATTCAGAATACTCTTACACTGTAATCATGGTTCCAAAGTTTTATCATATTGGTGTGGGCAATAATGTTTTAGATATGAACACAAAAGCAGAGGAAATAAAAGTGAAAATAGACAAATGGGATTACATGTAACTAAAAAGCTTCTGCATAGGCAAGGAAACAATGAACAGAGTGGGAGACAACCTTTGGAATAGGAGAATATATTTGTAAACCATACATCCAGTAAGGGGTTAATATCCAGTATACAGAAAGAACTCAAAGAACTCAATATCAAGAAAACAAATAGCTCAATTAAAAAATGGGCACAGGACCTGGATAGACATTTTTCAAAATAAGACTTAGAAATGGCCAACAGGCTGGGTGCGGTGGCTCACATCTGTAATCCCAGCACTTTGGGAGGCCAAGGTGGGCAGATCCCTTGAGGTTAGGAATTCGATACCAGCCTGGCAAGCATGGTGAAACCCCGTCTCTGCTAAAAATACAAAAATTAGCCAGGCATGGTGGCACACGCCTGTAATCCCAGCTACTCGGGAGGCTGAGGCAGGAGAATCACTTGAACCCGGGAGGCAGTGGTTGTAGTGAGCCGAGATTGTGCCACTGCACTCTGGCCTGGGCTACAGAGTGAGACTCTGCCTCAAACAAAAAACAATCAAACAAAAACCAAATAGCAAACAGATATATGAAAAAGTGCTCAATATCAATAATCATCACAAAAATGCACATCAGGCTGGGTGTGGTGGCTCACACCTATAATCCCAGCACTTTGGGAGGCCAAAGCGGGTGGATCACTTGAGGTCAGGAGTTCAAGACCAGCCTGCCCAATATAGTGAAACATCTTCTCTACTAAAAATACAAAAATTAGCTGGGCATGGTGGTGGGTGCCTGTAATCCCACCCGCTCAGGAGGCTGAGGCAGGAGGATCACTTGAACCCGGGAGGCAGAGGTTGCAATGAGCCGAGATGGCACCACTGCACTTTCTGTAGCCTGGGCAACAGAATGAGACTGTGTCTAAAAACATAAATAAATAAGGCCAGGCGCAGTGGTTCACATCTGTAATCCCAGTGTGATTACAGATCACACTGTGGGAGGCCAAGGCAGGCAGATCACCTGAGCTCAGGAGTTTGAGACCAGCCTGGTCAACATGGTGAACCCCCGTCTCTATTAAAAATATACAAATTAGCTGGGCATGGTGGCAGATGCCTATAATCCAAGCTACTTGGGAGGCTGAGGCATGAGAATTGCTTGAACCCAAGAAGTGGAGGTTGCAGTGAACCGTGATCACACCACTGCACTCCAGCCTTGGCGACAGAGAGAGATTCTGTCTCAAAAAAATAAAAATTAAAAAAAAAAAAGAAAGAAAGAAAAAAAAAAGAAAAATGCAAATCAAAACCACAATGCAATATTGCCTCACACCTGTTAGAATGGCTATTTTCAAGAAGACAAAAGTTAAGGATTGGTGAGGGTGTGGAGAAAAGGGAACATTTATACAGTGTTGGTGGAAATATAAATTAGTTCAACCATCATGGAGGCTTCTGAAAACACTAAAAATACAACTACCTTATGATCCAATAATCCCACTTGTGGGTGTTGTTCAAAGAAATTGAAATCAGTGTGTTGAAGAGACATTTGTCCTCCTATGTTTATTATAGCATTATTCACAATAGTCAAGATATGAAATCAAGGTAAGTCCCCATCAACAGATGAATGTATAAAGAAAATGTGGTATACATACACAATGGAACACTAGTCAGCCTTAAAAAGAAGGAAAATCTGTCATTTGCAACAACATATATGAACCTGGAGGACATTATGCTAAGCCAGGCACAGAAAGATGAATACTATATTATCTCACTTGTATGTGTAATTTTCAAAACTTGAACTTGTAGGGAGTAGACTGGTGGTTAATAATCTGAAGGGAGGGTAAAAATGTGTTGATCAAAGGATAAAAATTTTAGTTAGAGAGAAGGAATAAGTTTTTGAGATATATTGCAGAGCATGATGACAATAGTGATAAGGTATTGTACATTTCAAAAACTGCTAAGTAAATTTTAAGTATTCTCATCACAAAATAAGTATGTGAGCTGAGATATATAGTAATTAGCTTGATTTAATTATTCTACAATGCATGCATATATCAAAATACCACATTTTACTCCATGAATATATACAATTATTTGTGAACTAAAAATACATTTGAAAAAGAACTACTAGAAAAACTAAAAATGAGAAAATAAATAAGCACATTAATTAATTAATTAAAATCCTTGTCTAGTAAGTTTAATGTTGGTACTTTCTCAGGGACCATTTTTTGTTAATTACCTTTTTTTCTATATATTAGCTATAATTTCCTGTTTTTTGTATGCCTTGTAATTTTTTAATAAAAACTGCACAGTTTTAATATTATAATGTGATACCTTGGGAAATAAAATTCCTCCCTCTCCCTAGTGTTTGCTGGTGATTTTTTTTTTTTTTTTTTGAGATGGAGTCTTGCTCTGTCACCAGGCTTGGCGCGGTCTCAGCTCACTGCAACCTCCGCCTTCCGGGTTCAAGCGATTCTCCTGCCTCAGCCTCCCGAGTAGCTGGGATTACAGGCGTGTGCCACCATGTGCAGCTTATTTTTGTATTTATAGTAGAGATGGGGTTTCACCATATTGACCAGGATGGTCTTGATTTCCTGACCTCATGATCTGTCTGCCTCGGCCTCCCAAAGTGCTGGGATTACAGGCATGAGCCACCGCACCCGGCCACTGGTGATGTTTTTAATAGATTGTAATTTTTTTTGAGGTAGCGTTTGCTTTCTCACCCAGTCTGGAGTTCAGTGGGGCAATCACAGCCCACTGTATCCTTGAACTACTGGGCTCAATCAATCCTCCTGCTTCATCCTCCTGAGAAGCTAGAACTACGGGTATGCACCACCACGCCTGGCTAATTTTTATATTTTTTATTTTTGTAGAGACAGAGGTCTCTCTATTTTGCCCAGGCTGATCTCGAACTCCTGGCCTCAAAAGATCCTCCTGCCTTGGCCTCCTAAAGTGCTGAGATTAAAGGTGTGAGCCAACGTACCCAGCCCATTTACAGTATTTTTAATGTTGACGTGAACTATGTATACAATTGTTAAGCATATACTCACTGAGCTTTAATATGTATAACCCCGTGTTCTCTTTTGATAAACTAGAAAACCTTTCCCAACATCCTAATACACTTTTGAAGGATATCATAAATAGTGTGTTTGAGGGCTAGAGGAATGGCCCAAGTACTGTGATGAGGTTCATAGGATTTGGGGCTATTTGGAAGACCCTTACAAGGCATATAGCACAACTTTTCTATCTGTTGATTGTCTCTGTAGCATCCTCACAAAATCCACTATTGGCTTGCAGGTCTTCAGAGACTGGCATTCACCAGTTCTGGAGGTGTTAACTGTTCCATCTTTGGACAGCTCAGAGTATTCAGACGTCTTTATTTATTAGAACTACACACAACAGGACTATTCATCAACTTCCCCCATTGCAGACAGCCCTTTGAGTTGTAAAGAGCCCTTCCCCAGGTCTTTTATTTTCTTTTCCATAATATGTCCTGGTCCCTTTAACTGCTTTTCACTGGTGATGATTTGGAGGGCCCCCACCAGCCTGCTAATTAGATCCTGAAGGCTTTATCAAAGTCCTCTTTAAATGGCATAGCCCTGAAGCCAAGGACAGACTCCTGTTTAGTGGGGGGAGGGGCTCTTCAAATTAGAGGGGGTTGAGCACTTTTCTTTGACCCTTTCTTCTGATACTGACCTTGTATGAATCAGACTTTCCCCCCTTTATATCAGATTCTGGTCCTGCCCTGTATACAACTTTGGCTCCTTTCCTGCAGACAGGCTCAGTGCTTCTTTGGTGATTTTATGCTGCCATCTGGTGGCTAAGTCGACAGTGCCGGCTTTTTTTGGGCCTAATTTAGCAGAGGAGAGGATGTACAGATGAACATAGTGACAATCCTAGAACTGGAATAATCTGAATCTTTAAAAAGAGGACCTGATTTCTTCCTATTGTGTGCCATGTGATTGGGAGCCCAAAGAAGAGGATGCTAACACAGCTATGGCATGGCCACAGAAAATATGCCTGAAATATCCCCATCAGAGCCCAACTCTTACTAGCTAATTGACTTTGAGCAAGTCACTTTTCCTTCTAGTGTCTCAGTTTCCATACTTCTGATCCTAACAGGTTTATAAAATGGAGCCAAGCAGTAGTGAAGGTGAGGCCAGGTCGGGAAGAGGAGGAAGTAAAGTGAATTGAAAGCTAGTGAGGGCAGGGGAGTAAGTAAAACCTGAAGGTGATAAATGGCAGAAGAGGGCAGGACTGCTCTAGGGCAAAGGCCTAGGCAAATATTTTTCAGAAGTTCCTTTTAATGTAAACAGTTTGATTAAAAATATATTACAAATACATGGGCCCATGTGAGGTGTAGTGATTTATCAATGAAAATTTAGAATACCAGGTGGAGAAGAGATGCTTACGTATTTGTTTATTCAACAGTTCACATATCAATTTTTATAATGACCTTGCACCATATCTTCCTTTTTAGGTCCAGAAATCATCTCTTTGTGTTTATTGTCAAATGCACCATTCCTGGCTAATTTCACATCTCCCTCTATGAGAAAAACATAGCAACACTGTACTACTTCCATTTTTGCAATGGCACTCTGGAACCTCTTTGTATTGAAATTATAAATTTCTTGCTTTTGCAGTTTCTTTAGCCTAAGGGTCAACAGTGGATTTAGGTAGGCCACAGCTCTGAACATGTCCTGTGTCCAATGTGAGTGTCACCCCATAACGGCACATCAGCACCATTTTGCATGCCTAGCCTTAAGAGTTACCATTTAAAAAACTCCAATGACAACCAATGAGAGTGATCTGCTAGCGTGGCTGCCCACCTGGAACCAGGGCCTGGTCACAGAAACCCAGGACAACCAGTTTATAAATTGTCTTTTTGCCTTTTTATTTGAAAAGGTATTTTTGTGAAACAAAAGGTTTTAATTTCAGAGTCAAATTTATCAATCTTTTATATTTGATGCTACTTGAGTCTTTAGAAAATTTTTCCCCAACTAAATTTCTTTTTTCTTTTTTTGAGATGGAGTCTTGCTCTGTCGCCCGGGCTGGAGTGCAGTGGCACCATCTCGGTTCACTGCAACCTCCGCCTCCTGGATTCAAGTGATTCTCCTGCCTCAGCCTCCCAAGTAGCTGGGATTATAGGTGCCTGCCACCATGCCCGGCTAATTTTTGTATTTATAGTAGAGACGGGGTTTCGCTATGTTGGCCAGGCTGGTCTCAAACTCCTCACCTCAGGTGATCCAGCCACCTCGGCCTCCCAAAGTGCTGGGATTACAAGCATGAGCCACCGCGCCCGGCCAACCAAATTTCTTAAAAGTATAGAACATTTCCACACTTGTAGAAACTTCTAGTAGATAAAGTTGTATTAGAGGTTTGGTAATCCAGTCTTTCTGATAGCTGCTTCATAGGTGTCACTGTAGGTAGTTTCTCTCTTTGTTAAGCATTGTTTTCTCAAAGGTACCATTGTATTGCACCACTTTACAATACAATAACCCTCATTTGGAATGACAAGTCAGATTACTTTTTTTGTTTGATCCAAGGACACTTAGAAGATGGAAGGTATTTCTTAAGGAAGAAAATTTGCATACTTTATTATTTTTCTGGAAACTGAAGAGCAAGCTTACCTGATAGATTTGGGTCGATAGTTACACTTTCCAGTTCAGCCAGTGGGAGGGTAATGTATCCTTTGACTTTCTAGAAGTTGCTCTATAATACTTAAGTTGCCATTGTCTCCCTTCTGGTTCTCTGTTGTTTCTCGAATGACATAGAAGAGTTTATGAGATTAATTGCTTCCTACTGAAATAGCCAGGTTTCTGAGGGCAGCTTTGGCTTTTATATGAGCTTTTTCTTCCTACCACTTATCAGTTACTGACAGAGGGTCAACTTCACTACTGTGTCATATGGTTGGTCCAATGTTGGGTTCCTCAGATTCATGGAGGAAATAGGAAAATAGTAAAGATTAAGGAGTCATAGTTAAAAAATTACAAACAGGTCACAAACAGTACTCTTTCTTGATTATTTAGGAACCAAATAGCCATTCTATGAAATGTCTTTCTTTCCTTTTTCTCTCTTGCTCACCAATTGACTCGTAAGCACTTCCGTTCTCTTATGGTTGGGAGCCATACAAGGTAGAGTGTTGGAGTAAAAACTACATTGACTCTGAATCATGGTGTGTGACCTCGGGCACATGATGTAACCTCTATAGGACTCTATTTTAATGTATAAAACAGGAATAATCCTTTATTATTATCTATGCAATACATATTCCATTATCTATTACATGGGATAATGGAATGGGAAGTCCCTTGAAGATGGTACTAACCTCAATGTATTACTCCTTTCTAGCTTCTTTGGTTCAAAAGTTTGGTGGAGGAGTTACAAATTCTGGTTTGAATGATATATTTGGATACTTTATCAACACATCAAAGCTCTACCTATCCCTTCCCCCATTCTCAAAACCAAGCTGAATTAACATCTTTACATTTATTATGCAGTTTATGGAGGATTTTAGCATTAATTATTGCTTGATTTACTCAATGTCCCCATGTTATAGATGAGAACTGGAAAACCCATTGAAGTTGTGACTCCTGGTCTAGAAATGAAGTCTACTTCCAGTTAATGTTCTTTCTGGTATGTCTTTGCTTTCTTGAAATTTCCCTTTTTTGTCCTTACTGGGTAAATTTTGAACCAACCAAATCACAAAGATGTCCGGCTTTCAATCTTCTAGGCCACGCCTCTTATGCTCTCTCCGCCCTCAGCCCCCCCTTCAGTTCTTAAAGCGCTGCAATTCGCTGCTGCAGCCATATTTCTTACTCTCTCGGGGCTGGAAGCTTCCTGACTGAAGATCTCTCTGCACTTGGGGTTCTTTCTAGAACATTTTCTAGTCCCCCAACACCCTTTATGGCGTATTTCTTTAAAAAAATCACCTAAATTCCATAAAATATTTTTTTAAATTCTATACTTTCTCCTAGTGTCTTCTTGACACGTCCTCCATATTTTTTTAAAGAAAGTATTTGGAATATTTTGAGGCAATTTTTAATATTTAAGGAATTTTTCTTTGGAATCATTTTTGGTTGACATCTCTGTTTTTTGTGGATCAGTTTTTTACTCTTCCACTCTCTTTTCTATATTTTGCCCATCGGGGCTGCGGATACCTGGTTTTATTATTTTTTCTTTGCCCAACGGGGCCGTGGATACCTGCCTTTTAATTCTTTTTTATTCGCCCATCGGGGCCGCGGATACCTGCTTTTTATTTTTTTTTCCTTAGCCCATCGGGGTATCGGATACCTGCTGATTCCCTTCCCCTCTGAACCCCCAACACTCTGGCCCATCGGGGTGACGGATATCTGCTTTTTAAAAATTTTCTTTTTTTGGCCCATCGGGGCTTCGGATACCTGCTTTTTTTTTTTTTATTTTTCCTTGCCCATCGGGGCCTCGGATACCTGCTTTAATTTTTGTTTTTCTGGCCCATCGGGGCCGCGGATACCTGCTTTGATTTTTTTTTTTCATCGCCCATCGGTGCTTTTTATGGATGAAAAAATGTTGGTTTTGTGGGTTGTTGCACTCTCTGGAATATCTACACTTTTTTTTGCTGCTGATCATTTGGTGGTGTGTGAGTGTACCTACCGCTTTGGCAGAGAATGACTCTGCAGTTAAGCTAAGGGCGTGTTCAGATTGTGGAGGAAAAGTGGCCGCCATTTTAGACTTGCCGCATAACTCGGCTTAGGGCTAGTCGTTTGTGCTAAGTTAAACTAGGGAGGCAAGATGGATGATAGCAGGTCAGGCAGAGGAAGTCATGTGCATTGCATGAGCTAAACCTATCTGAATGAATTGATTTGGGGCTTGTTAGGAGCTTTGCGTGATTGTTGTATCGGGAGGCAGTAAGAATCATCTTTTATCAGTACAAGGGACTAGTTAAAAATGGAAGGTTAGGAAAGACTAAGGTGCAGGGCTTAAAATGGCGATTTTGACATTGCGGCATTGCTCAGCATGGCGGGCTGTGCTTTGTTAGGTTGTCCAAAATGGCGGATCCAGTTCTGTCGCAGTGTTCAAGTGGCGGGAAGGCCACATCATGATGGGCGAGGCTTTGTTAAGTGGTTAGCATGGTGGTGGACATGTGCGGTCACACAGGAAAAGATGGCGGCTGAAGGTCTTGCCGCAGTGTAAAACATGGCGGGCCTCTTTGTCTTTGCTGTGTGCTTTTCGTGTTGGGTTTTGCCGCAGGGACAATATGGCAGGCGTTGTCATATGTATATCATGGCTTTTGTCACGTGGACATCATGGCGGGCTTGCCGCATTGTTAAAGATGGCGGGTTTTGCCGCCTAGTGCCACGCAGAGCGGGAGAAAAGGTGGGATGGACAGTGCTGGATTGCTGCATAACCCAACCAATTAGAAATGGGGGTGGAATTGATCACAGCCAATTAGAGCAGAAGATGGAATTAGACTGATGACACACTGTCCAGCTACTCAGCGAAGACCTGGGTGAATTAGCATGGCACTTCGCAGCTGTCTTTAGCCAGTCAGGAGAAAGAAGTGGAGGGGCCACGTGTATGTCTCCCAGTGGGCGGTACACCAGGTGTTTTCAAGGTCTTTTCAAGGACATTTAGCCTTTCCACCTCTGTCCCCTCTTATTTGTCCCCTCCTGTCCAGTGCTGCCTCTTGCAGTGCTGGATATCTGGCTGTGTGGTCTGAACCTCCCTCCATTCCTCTGTATTGGTGCCTCACCTAAGGCTAAGTATACCTCCCCCCCCACCCCCCAACCCCCCCAACTCCCCACCCCCACCCCCCACCCCCCACCTCCCCACCCCCCTACCCCCCTACCCCCCTACCCCCCTCTGGTCTGCCCTGCACTGCACTGTTGCCATGGGCAGTGCTCCAGGCCTGCTTGGTGTGGACATGGTGGTGAGCCGTGGCAAGGACCAGAATGGATCACAGATGATCGTTGGCCAACAGGTGGCAGAAGAGGAATTCCTGCCTTCCTCAAGAGGAACACCTACCCCTTGGCTAATGCTGGGGTCGGATTTTGATTTATATTTATCTTTTGGATGTCAGTCATACAGTCTGATTTTGTGGTTTGCTAGTGTTTGAATTTAAGTCTTAAGTGACTATTATAGAAATGTATTAAGAGGCTTTATTTGTAGAATTCACTTTAATTACATTTAATGAGTTTTTGTTTTGAGTTCCTTAAAATTCCTTAAAGTTTTTAGCTTCTCATTACAAATTCCTTAACCTTTTTTTGGCAGTAGATAGTCAAAGTCAAATCATTTCTAATGTTTTAAAAATGTGCTGGTCATTTTCTTTGAAATTGACTTAACTATTTTCCTTTGAAGAGTCTGTAGCACAGAAACAGTAAAAAATTTAACTTCATGACCTAATGTAAAAAAGAGTGTTTGAAGGTTTACACAGGTCCAGGCCTTGCTTTGTTCCCATCCTTGATGCTGCACTAATTGACTAATCACCTACTTATCAGACAGGAAACTTGAATTGCTGTGGTCTGGTGTCCTCTATTCAGACTTATTATATTGGAGTATTTCAATTTTTCGTTGTATCCTGCCTGCCTAGCATCCAGTTCCTCCCCAGCCCTGCTCCCAGCAAACCCCTAGTCTAGCCCCAGCCCTACTCCCACCCCGCCCCAGCCCTGCCCCAGCCCCAGTCCCCTAACCCCCCAGCCCTAGCCCCAGTCCCAGTCCTAGTTCCTCAGTCCCGCCCAGCTTCTCTCGAAAGTCACTCTAATTTTCATTGATTCAGTGCTCAAAATAAGTTGTCCATTGCTTATCCTATTATACTGGGATATTCCGTTTACCCTTGGCATTGCTGATCTTCAGTACTGACTCCTTGACCATTTTCAGTTAATGCATACAATCCCATTTGTCTGTGATCTCAGGACAAAGAATTTCCTTACTCGGTACGTTGAAGTTAGGGAATGTCAATTGAGAGCTTTCTATCAGAGCATTATTGCCCACAATTTGAGTTACTTATCATTTTCTCGATCCCCTGCCCTTAAAGGAGAAACCATTTCTCTGTCATTGCTTCTGTAGTCACAGTCCCAATTTTGAGTAGTGATCTTTTCTTGTGTACTGTGTTGGCCACCTAAAACTCTTTGCATTGAGTAAAATTCTAATTGCCAATAATCCTACCCATTGGATTAGACAGCACTCTGAACCCCATTTGCATTCAGCAGGGGGTCGCAGACAACCCGTCTTTTGTTGGACAGTTAAAATGCTCAGTCCCAATTGTCATAGCTTTGCCTATTAAACAAAGGCACCCTACTGCGCTTTTTGCTGTGCTTCTGGAGAATCCTGCTGTTCTTGGACAATTAAAGAACAAAGTAGTAATTGCTAATTGTCTCACCCATTAATCATGAAGACTACCAGTCGCCCTTGCATTTGCCTTGAGGCAGCGCTGACTACCTGAGATTTAAGAGTTTCTTAAATTATTGAGTAAAATCCCAATTATCCATAGTTCTGTTAGTTACACTATGGCCTTTGCAAACATCTTTGCATAACAGCAGTGGGACTGACTCATTCTTAGAGCCCCTTCCCTTGGAATATTAATGGATACAATAGTAATTATTCATGGTTCTGCGTAACAGAGAAGACCCACTTATGTGTATGCCTTTATCATTGCTCCTAGATAGTGTGAACTACCTACCACCTTGCATTAATATGTAAAACACTAATTGCCCATAGTCCCACTCATTAGTCTAGGATGTCCTCTTTGCCATTGCTGCTGAGTTCTGACTACCCAAGTTTCCTTCTCTTAAACAGTTGATATGCATAATTGCATATATTCATGGTTCTGTGCAATAAAAATGGATTCTCACCCCATCCCACCTTCTGTGGGATGTTGCTAACGAGTGCAGATTATTCAATAACAGCTCTTGAACAGTTAATTTGCACAGTTGCAATTGTCCAGAGTCCTGTCCATTAGAAAGGGACTCTGTATCCTATTTGCACGCTACAATGTGGGCTGATCACCCAAGGACTCTTCTTGTGCATTGATGTTCATAATTGTATTTGTCCACGATCTTGTGCACTAACCCTTCCACTCCCTTTGTATTCCAGCAGGGGACCCTTACTACTCAAGACCTCTGTACTAGGACAGTTTATGTGCACAATCCTAATTGATTAGAACTGAGTCTTTTATATCAAGGTCCCTGCATCATCTTTGCTTTACATCAAGAGGGTGCTGGTTACCTAATGCCCCTCCTCCAGAAATTATTGATGTGCAAAATGCAATTTCCCTATCTGCTGTTAGTCTGGGGTCTCATCCCCTCATATTCCTTTTGTCTTACAGCAGGGGGTACTTGGGACTGTTAATGCGCATAATTGCAATTATGGTCTTTTCCATTAAATTAAGATCCCAACTGCTCACACCCTCTTAGCATTACAGTAGAGGGTGCTAATCACAAGGACATTTCTTTTGTACTGTTAATGTGCTACTTGCATTTGTCCCTCTTCCTGTGCACTAAAGACCCCACTCACTTCCCTAGTGTTCAGCAGTGGATGACCTCTAGTCAAGACCTTTGCACTAGGATAGTTAATGTGAACCATGGCAACTGATCACAACAATGTCTTTCAGATCAGATCCATTTTATCCTCCTTGTTTTACAGCAAGGGATATTAATTACCTATGTTACCTTTCCCTGGGACTATGAATGTGCAAAATTCCAATGTTCATGGTCTCTCCCTTTAAACCTATATTCTACCCCTTTTACATTATAGAAAGGGATGCTGGAAACCCAGAGTCCTTCTCTTGGGACTCTTAATGTGTATTTCTAATTATCCATGACTCTTAATGTGCATATTTTCAATTGCCTAATTGATTTCAATTGTCTAAGACATTTCAAATGTCTAATTGATTAGAACTGAGTCTTTTATATCAAGCTAATATCTAGCTTTTATATCAAGCTAATATCTTGACTTCTCAGCATCATAGAAGGGGGTACTGATTTCCTAAAGTCTTTCTTGAATTTCTATTATGCAAAATTGCCCTGAGGCCGGGTGTGGTGGCTCACACCTGTAATCCCAGCACTTTGGGAGGCTGAGGTGGGAAGATCCCTTACTGCCAGGAGTTTGAGACCAGCCTGGCCAACATTAAAAAAAAAAAAAAGTAAGACAATTGCCCTGGAATCCCATCCCCCTCACACCTCCTTGGCAAAGCAGCAGGAGTGCTAACTAGCTAGTGCTTCTTCTCTTATACTGCTTAAATGCGCATAATTAGCAGTAGTTGATGTGCCCCTATGTTAGAGTAGAATCCCGCTTCCTTGCTCCATTTGCATTACTGCAGGAGCTTCTAACTAGCCTGAATTCACTCTCTTGGACTGTTAATGTGCATACTTATATTTGCTGCTGTACTTTTTTACCATGTAAGGACCCCACCCACTGTATTTACATCCCAGCTGGAAGTACCTACTACTTAAGACCCTTAGACTAGTAAAGTTAGCGTGCATAATCTTAGGTGTTATATACACATTTTCAGTTGCATACAGTTGTGCCTTTTATCAGGACTCCTGTACTTATCAAAGCAGAGAGTGCTAATCAATATTAAGCCCTTCTCTTCGAACTGTAGATGGCATGTAATTGCAGTTGTCAATGGTCCTTCAATTAGACTTGGGTTTCTGACCTATCACACCCTCTTTGCTTTATTGCATGGGGTACTATTCACTTAAGGCCCCTTTCTCAAACTGTTAATGTGCCTAATGACAATTACATCAGTATCCTTCCTTTTGAAGGACAGCATGGTTGGTGACACCTAAGGCCCCATTTCTTGGCCTCCCAATATGTGTGATTGTATTTGTCGAGGTTGCTATGCACTAGAGAAGGAAAGTGCTCCCCTCATCCCCACTTTTCCCTTCCAGCAGGAAGTGCCCACCCCATAAGACCCTTTTATTTGGAGAGTCTAGGTGCACAATTGTAAGTGACCACAAGCATGCATCTTGGACATTTATGTGCGTAATCGCACACTGCTCATTCCATGTGAATAAGGTCCTACTCTCCGACCCCTTTTGCAATACAGAAGGGTTGCTGATAACGCAGTCCCCTTTTCTTGGCATGTTGTGTGTGATTATAATCGTCTGGGATCCTATGCACTAGAAAAGGAGGGTCCTCTCCACATACCTCAGTCTCACCTTTCCCTTCCAGCAGGGAGTGCCCACTCCATAAGACTCTCACATTTGGACAGTCAAGGTGCGTAATTGTTAAGTGAACACAACCATGCACCTTAGACATGGATTTGCATAACTACACACAGCTCAACCTATCTGAATAAAATCCTACTCTCAGACCCCTTTTGCAGTACAGCAGGGGTGCTGATCACCAAGGCCCTTTTTCCTGGCCTGGTATGCGTGTGATTATGTTTGTCCCGGTTCCTGTGTATTAGACATGGAAGCCTCCCCTGCCACACTCCACCCCCAATCTTCCTTTCCCTTCCGGCAGGGAGTGCCCTCTCCATAAGACGCTTACGTTTGGACAATCAAGGTGCACAGTTGTAAGTGACCACAGGCATACACCTTGGACATTAATGTGCATAACCACTTTGCCCATTCCATCTGAATAAGGTCCTACTCTCAGACCCCTTTTGCAGTACAGCAGGGGTGCTGATCACCAAGGCCCCTTTTCTTGGCCTGTTATGTGCGTGATTATATTTGTCTGGGTTCCTGTGTATTAGACAAGGAAGCCTTCCCCCCGCCCCCACCCCCACTCCCAGTCTTCCTTTCCCTTCCAGCAGGGAGTGCCCCCTCCATAAGATCATTACATTTGGACAATCAAGGTGCACAATTATAAGTGACCACAGCCATGCACCTTGGACATTATTGGACATTAATGTGCGTAACTGCACATGGCCCATCCCATCTGAATAAGGTCCTACTCTCAGATGCCCTTTGCAGTACAGCAGGGGTACTGAATCACCAAGGCCCTTTTTCTTGGCCTGTTATGTGTGTGATTATATTTATCCCAGTTTCTGTGTAATAGACATGAAAGCCTCCCCTGCCACACCCCACCTCCAATCTTCCTTTCCCTTCCACCAGGGAGTGTCCACTCCATATACCCTTACATTTGGACAATCAAGGTGCACAATTGTAAGTGAGCATAGGCACTCACCTTGGACATGAATGTGCATAACTGCACATGGCCCATCCCATCTGAATAAGGTCCTACTCTCAGACCCTTTTTGCAGTACAGCAGGGGTGCTGATCACCAAGGCCCCTTTTCCTGGCCTGTTATGTGTGTGATTATATTTGTTCCAGTTCCTGTGTAATAGACATGGAAGCCTCCCCTGCCACACTCCACCCCCAATCTTCCTTTCCCTTCTGGCAGGAAGTACCCGCTCCATAAGACCCTTACATTTGGACAGTCAAGGTGCACAATTGTATGTGACCACAACCATGCACCTTGGACATAAATGTGTGTAACTGCACATGGCCCATCCCATCTGAATAAGGTCCTACTCTCAGACCCCTTTTGCAGTACAGTAGGTGTGCTGATAACCAAGGCCCCTCTTCCTGGCCTGTTAACGTATGTGATTATATTTGTCTGGGTTCCAGTGTATAAGACATGGAAGCCTCCCCTGCCCCACCCCACCCTCAATCTTCCTTTCCCTTCTGGCAGGGAGTGCCAGCTCCATAAGAACCTTACATTTGGACAGTCAAGGTGCACAATTCTAAGTGACCGCAGCCATGCACCTTGGTCAATAATGTGTGTAACTGCACACGGCCTATCTCATCTGAATAAGGCCTTACTCTCAGACCCCTTTTGCAGTACAGCAGGGGTGCTGATAACCAAGGCCCATTTTCCTGGCCTGTTATGTGTGTGATTATATTTGTCCAGGTTTCTGTGTACTAGACAAGGAAGCCTCCTCTGCCCCATCCCATCTACGCATAATCTTTCTTTTCCTCCCAGCAGGGAGTGCTCACTCCATAAGACCCTTACATTTGGACAATCAAGGTGCACAATTGTAAGTGACCACAACCATGCATCTTGGAAATTTATGTGCATAACTGCACATGGCTTATCCTATTTGAATAAAGTCCTACTCTCAGACCCCCTTTGCAGTATAGCTGGGGTGCTGATCACTGAGGCCTCTTTGCTTGGCTTGTCTATATTCTTGTGTACTAGATAAGGGCACCTTCTCATGGACTCCCTTTGCTTTTCAACAAGGAGTACCCACTACTTTTTAAGATTCTTATATTTGTCCAAAGTACATGGTTTTAATTGACCACAACAATGTCCCTTGGACATTAATGTATGTAATCACCACATGGTTCATCCTAATTAAACAAAGTTCTACCTTCTCACCCTCCATTTGCAGTATACCAGGGTTGCTGACCCCCTAAGTCCCCTTTTCTTGGCTTGTTGACATGCATAATTGCATTTATGTTGGTTCTTGTGCCCTAGACAAGGATGCCCCACCTCTTTTCAATAGTGGGTGCCCACTCCTTATGATCTTTACATTTGAACAGTTAATGTGAATAATTGCAGTTGTCCACAACCCTATCACTTCTAGGACCATTATACCTCTTTTGCATTACTGTGGGGTATACTGTTTCCCTCCAAGGCCCCTTCTGGTGGACTATCAACATATAATTGAAATTTTCTTTTGTCTTTGTCAGTAGATTAAGGTCATACCCCATCACCTTTCCTTTGTAGTACAACAGGGTGTCCTGATCAACCAAAGTCCTGTTGTTTTGGACTGTTAATATGTGCAATTACATTTGCTCCTGATCTGTGCACTAGATAAGGATCCTACCTACTTTCTTAGTGTTTTTAGCAGGTAGTGCCCACTACTCAAGACTGTCACTTGGAATGTTCATGTGCACAAACTCAATTCTCTAAGCATGTTCCTGTACCACCTTTGCTTTAGAGCAGGGGGATGATATTCACTAAGTGCCCCTTCTTTTGGACTTAATATGCATTAATGCAATTGTCCACCTCTTCTTTTAGACTAAGAGTTGATCTCCACATATTCCCCTTGCATCAGGGGCATGTTAATTATGAATGAACCCTTTTCTTTTAATATTAATGTCATAATTGTATTTGTGGACCTGTGTAGGAGAAAAAGACCCTATGTTCCTCCCATTACCCTTTGGATTGCTGCTGAGAAGTGTTAACTACTCATAATCTCAGCTCTTGGACAATTAATAGCATTAATAACAATTATCAAGGGCACTGATCATTAGATAAGACTCCTGCTTCCTCGTTGCTTACATCGGGGGTACTGACCCACTAAGGCCCCTTGTACTGTTAATGTGAATATTTGCAATTATATATGTCTCCTTCTGGTAGAGTGGGATATTATGCCCTAGTATCCCCTTTGCATTACTGCAGGGGCTGCTGACTACTCAAAACTTCTCCTGGGACTGTTAATAGGCACAATGGCAGTTATCAATGGTTTTCTCCCTCCCTGACCTTGTTAAGCAAGCGCCCCACCCCACCCTTAGTTTCCCATGGCATAATAAAGTATAAGCATTGGAGTATTCCATGCACTTGTCTATCAAACAGTGGTCCATACTCCCAACCCTTTTGCATTGCGCCAGTGTGTAAAATCACAGGTAGCCATGGTGTCATGCTTTATATACGAAGTCTTCCCTCTCTCTGCCCCTTGTGTGCCCTTGGCCCCTTTTTACAGACTATTGCTCACAATCTCAGGTGTCCATATTTGCAGCTATTAGGTAAGATTGTGCTGTCTCCCTCTTCCCTTCCCTCTGCCCTGCCCCTTTTGCCTCTTTGCTGGGTAATGTTGACCAGACAAGGCCCTTTCTCTTGGACTTAAACAATTCTCAGTTGCACTTTCCTTGGTCCCACCCATTATACATGAACCCCTCTACTTCCTTTCGCATTGCTTCTGAGTATGCTGACTACCCAAAGCCCCTTCTGTGTTATTAATAAACACAGTACTGATTGTCCCATTTTTCAGCCCATCAGTCCAAGATCTCCCTACCACTTTGGTGTGTTGGTGCAGTGTTGACTATGAAAAGCAGGCCTGAACTAGGTGGATAAGCCTTCACTCATTTTCTTTCATTTATTAATGATCCTAGTTTCAATTATTGTCAGATTCTGGGGACAAGAACCATTCTTGCCCACCTGTGTTACTGCTTTACTGTGCAAAATACTGAAGGCAAGTCAGACCCAGGGAGCTGGATTGCCATCCTTTATTTTGTGTTTCCAGTGTACACTATAAAATTGTCTCCCCAGGAAGGAAGGTTGGCACTTTCTCTGCATTCTTCTTTCCAGAGCAGATTGCCTGGTTAAGAATCTCTTGTTGTCCCCTTTGTATATTGTTATTGTAAAGTGCCAAATGCCAGGATACAGCCAGAAAAATTGCTTATTATTATTAAAAAAATTTTTTTAAGAAAGACATCTGGATTGTAGGGTGGACTCGATAACCTGGTCATTATTTTTTTGAAGCCAAAATATCCATTTATACTATGTACCTGGTGACCAGTGTCTCTCATTTTAACTGAGGGTGGTGGGTCTGTGGATAGAACACTGACTCTTGCTATTTTAATATCAAAGATATTCTAGAGTGGAACTCTTAAGACCAGTATCTTTGTGTGGGCTTTACCAGCATTCACTTTTAGAAAAACTACCTAAATTTTATAATCCTTTAATTTCTTCATCTGGAGCACCTGCCCCTACTTATTTCAAGAAGATTGCAGTAAAACGATTAAATGAGGGAACATATGCAGAGGTGCTTTTAAAAAGCATATGCCACCTTTTTTATTAATTATTATATAAAATGAAGCATTTAATTATAGTAATAATTTGAAGTAGTTTGAAGTACCACACTGAGGTGAGGACTTAAAAATGATAAGACGAGTTCCCTATTTTATAAGAAAAATAAGCCAAAATTAAATATTCTTTTGGATATAAATTTCAACAGTGAGATAGCTGCCTAGTGGAAATGAATAATATCCCAGCCACTAGTGTACAGGGTGTTTTGTGGCACAGGATTATGTAATATGGAACTGCTCAAGCAAATAACTAGTCATCACAACAGCAGTTCTTTGTAATAACTGAAAAAGAATATTGTTTCTCGGAGAAGGATGTCAAAAGATCGGCCCAGCTCAGGGAGCAGTTTGCCCTACTAGCTCCTCGGACAGCTGTAAAGAAGAGTCTCTGGCTCTTTAGAATACTGTAAGTACTACTTCGTAGCTATTAAGTAATCTTTTTCCTATTCTATTTTCTTTCTCTTAGATGCCACCTATAGAAAAGTCAGAGGGTCCAGTAAGTTTCTTTCCTTCTTCCCACCTCATCTGCAATATATATATATAGAGAGAGAAATAGATACATACATACATGCATAAATACACATATGTGAGTTAACCAGCAGAACTGTAGAATTAATATTGTGGACCCAGCTCTATGCTAGGTTACACTGATAACCTGGGTAGGAATGATATCATCCTATATAATTTCATTCCTGAGATGATTTTATCGTTGAGGAGCTAATGTGAGCACATTTGAAATAACTTTAGAAAATAATAAGTGCTGTTTTGTGTGAATCATAAGTAGTAGTTTTAGGAAGGGAACCCACAAGGATTTGAAGTTGATAGAATAAACTTAAGGAAGTGGGTTTGCTTTTTCTCTTTAAGCCAAGATAGGATTAATATTGCAGCCATCTGGATAGTCCAGTTGGTTTATTTTAATTTCATTTGTTTTTTACCTCTTTTGGAGCCATGGAAAGAGATGAAAGGGATAGAGCATAGCCATTGTGTTTGGCTATTTGCGAAGGTTGGCAAATTAGTGATTGCTAAATCTCATAAGCTTGAGTATTTTAAAGTTCAGAGATTGAGGGCATAAATCTAATACTTCGGCTCCTTCCACAATTTTACTACATTTCTGCCCAAGAACAGATGACCATGGATAATGCATATCGTAGATACTTTTTAAGTTTGGAACCTTTTTGCCAAGAGGGTAGTGGAGAAGTGAAGTCAAAACCTTGACCTTCCTTGCCTACTTTATGCTGTAGTTTATATACCTTCTTTCCTCCCACCTTTCGTAAAGCTAAAAGAAGCTTAGCCTCCTTAATGTTTTCCAGCTGACAAAATATTGTTTAACATAACATTCGAAACTTTTTTTCTGGTGCACATTCATGCATCACAGCAGGAGCAACAAGAACCATATAAGTGAACTGGCTTCACTTATAGCCCGTTTTAATTCATATCCATATTTCCTCAGGGCTTGTTTCCATGCCTCCCAGCCCCACTCCATATGCTTAACAACATTGTCTGGCTGACTGAGGGTTATATACATCATGGTCTTGAACCTTCTTGGAAACATGGTCTGTGCCATTGTTTCTCAAACCCAAGTAATGCTTCATGATGAAACACCTTCTAAAGGAACAAAATTTTCTGAGATCCTAAAAAAATGTGTTTTGAGGAACACTGACTTAACAAAGATATTTGAAATGTAAATATGTTTTCCAATTTCACGTTGTCTTTGTCAAAGATGTGTTTTATATAACTTATGTAGAACTTGGGGATCCATTAGAATATATTCACAAATCCCCAGGGTTATCACCCCAATTTGAGAAACCCTGGTCTATGCTTATGAAATCTTCTATTGGTAATTAAATTGTCATTCATTGTCAACATACAATTATAATTATTATTGGAATTTGTTTTAAATGAATGAATTTGGAGGTGATTCTGTACCTTAAGTCAAGAGGAAGGATGGCTTGATTTTAGGTGGATTGATTATACTAGATAGCATCCAAAGGTGAATCTTGAAGCTGTATTTAAATTCATTGCTTGAAATAATTTCCACCCTTAAGAAAAATCTCTAGCAATTGTAAAAAGGGATGCTCTGGAAATGTGGGCATCTTCAAAATAGAGATAATTCTTGTGTTAGTTCAACAAATATTATTGTACCAGGTGCTGGAATAAATAGCAAAACCAAAGACAGGATTTATATCAAGGAATTTGCTTTCTTATGGAGGATGCAGAAGGAAATCATTATGGTTTTGGGCAGAAATGCTTAGACTTTAGTCCTGGCTCTGAGTTTGGTTCAGATCACCATCAATCTGACCATCTCGAGACTGCTAGTGAAATAAGATAGGGGCTTATATCAAATACCTAAATCCCTGAAAATGACATTTTGTGATTTGGAAAATTTTCAAAAGTCTAATGAAGGAAACTTTTTTGGCATTTCTTTAAATGATTATTGTCATTTCTTTTCTGACTTTTCCCTTTATAAAACCTTAACATGTAGGATTGGAGGAAGTTTTCTGACCATTTTCTCATATCCTCTTTCAGCTTTATCTTTCTGTAACTTCCATTTCTCTAGCCACCTCCCTAAATTACAGAAGACTGTGAGACCCAGGGCTGCTGTGATTAGGCATTCATAATTTCTTTTCAGGGTGTTTGTGCCCTGATTATCAAATGTACAGCTTGAAGGGAGTTCATGTCTTAAAGTAATGAATTAAGAGTTGACCTTTGTTGACTGCTAAAATATTCTTATATGTGAAAGCATCCTGGAAAAATACGTTACCAGCTTAAAGAGAAAGAAACTAATGATTATATCTGAACTGAGCTAATGCCTCTTCTCTTCCCCCAAACCTTATCAGTTTGGATGGCAAAGAGTAATGATGTGTCAGTTAAACAGAGCTAATGCCTTCCTCTGCCTTGTCTTAAAGACTGGATTGGGAGAAAATTGATATTCTCACTACCATATTTTGGGCTGTAGGCAAGTAGCATTTTACACAGGTTTCCTTCAAAAATCCAACTCAAGTTGGAGCTCATGTATTTAAGACATAGCTGGCCTGCTGAATTTAACAAGTTAAACTTCAGTGGCCATGTACAGTTATATATCACTATATATATGTGTATTAGGCTGTCGAGTTGGTCATGTTTTTGTTGGTGACTTAGGCTTTACTTGATAGCTCTTCCTTGACCTTTCCAAATTGAGTACTGATACATGGAGCTTGGGCTTCTTCTGCATCTTATACAAATGAGTTTGGTAAAGAAGCCTCTCCTTTACTGTTTTGATGTTTATATTAGAAATAACTTTTGATTATTTTTTTTCATGTTAGGATGAGAAACTGAAACAAAATGTAAATTTGACCGGTGCTAGACTTCTTAAATTATGGGTAGACTTAAAGTATTATTTTCCTTAACCAATTAGAATGCTAGTCTTCTAGTGTTCCCGGAAACATGAGAGGTTATGCAGTAGACCCAAGCAATACCCTCTTATTACATAATCAAGTGCGTATAAGAATTTAAAAATAGGGATATGACTGGAACATCACTGTACTTTACCAGGTCCCATTATAAAATTATCTATGTTACTTTACCCATAGCTTTGAAAACTAGTGGCATAGTATATTTTATAGTATGCTGTTAGTGTGATTGGCATTGAACAGTGATGGGATATAATCACTCTACAATCTATATGTTATTAAAGTTTTCCAGCCTTATAGATCTCCCTTGACTGAAAATTAGCTACTAACTTACGACTTATTTTTTACAGCAGATTGACTAGGTCTTTCCAGGAAATCTGTTGATGTACAAAAACAAAGTTTAATTGCTAATGTTTTTTTAAAAAATAACTTTTTGATATTACGGATACCTGGTTATTTGGGCCTTGTATATTTTAACATCAAAATTACCTATTATAAATCCATATAAACAGAAAAGAAAGAGAGTAAGTCTTTAGATCAGATCTGCAAACAATGATGGTACGTACTGTAGAAAAATCTGGAACATAGACTTACCAGTTCTTAGGTTCCATTTTGCTTGCTTTTTAAAAACTGTGTCTTATAAGTCTTCAGCAACTGGTTGGGAGATTTTTAGAAAAAATAACCTTTTAATGTTAGAACAGTGTAGAGATTTACAGAATGATTCTGAAGATAGAGTTTCTGTGTACTTCACACCCAGTTTTTCCCAGTGTTAACATTTTACATTAGTTTGGTACATTTGTCACAACAAACCAATATTGATACATTATTATTAACTAGAGTCCATATTTTATTCAGATTTCCTTAGTTTTTCCTTAATGTTCTTTTTGTGTTCCAGGATCCCATTGAAGATACCACGCTGCATGTGTCCTTAGTAGTCATGTCTCCTTAGGCTCCTCTTGGTAATGACAGTTTCTCAGACTCTTTGTTTTTGATGAACTTCACAGTTTTGAGGACTAATGGTCCAGTATTCTATAGAATGTCTCTCTATTGGAATTTGTCTGATGTTCTTCTCATGACTAGATTGGGTTTATGAGTGTTTAGGAGGAAGACCACAAAGGTAGAGTGCCATTCTTATCACTTATCAAGAGTACATACTATCAACATGACTTATCACTGTTTATGTTATCCTTAATCACCTGTCTGAGGTACTATTTGTCAGGTTTCTCCAGCGTAAAATTAGTCTTTATTTCTCCATTTCCCTACTATACTGTTCACATAGGAAGTCACTATGTGCAGCCAGCACTTAAGGAATGGGAAATTACCTTCCACCTCATTGAGGGCAGAGTATTTACATAAATTATTTGGAATTCTTTTGCACAGGATGTCTTTTCTCCACAATGTATTGTGTTTATTCAGTCATTTATATCAGTATGATCTCAGGGATATTTTATACTCTGGGTTATAATACAGTATTACTTTATTCTGTTGTTCAAATTGTTCCAGCTTTGGCCATTGGGAGGTCTTTCATTTGGCTTTGATATAACCCCATGAATGTGGGTTTTTTGTTTGAGCACTTTCTTATTTTTGGAACTACAACATGCTTCAGACTCATTTGCATATCTCCTGCCTGGACCTAAAATGATGTATTTCTGCAAGGAGCCTTGATACTTTTTATTGGAGAGTAATATTAGAAATCAAGAAGTGAATGCTAGGTGCGCTCATTACTACTGGAGTGTCATTCCTTCAAGACCTTTTCAGTTGACAAGAGCAAGGAGATATATATTTGCATTCTAACGTGTGTATATGCACATAGCTATAAATATATATAACCATCTGTATCTATATTAAACTAAATGTGTTTATACCTACGTCTCCAACTCTAATCATTGCCACATGGATCATTATAGTCTCACCTCCTTGCTTATCTGTTACCTCCCATTTCTACAGTGAGAAACCTGGCTTGGTTGGGAAATTTTTCTGTTAATATTACGGTAGTGAGTGTTTGACATTTGCTTCTATGGTTAAGTTTAGGGAGAGTTTAGCTGTAGGGTATTCTTGAAACTAGAAATGACCCTTCTGCCCTAAATGTTTCTGCCAGTTTTGAAACGTAAAATAGGTTGCAGAAACAAACTTTATCTTAAGAACCAGAATTTACTTCAATCCACATTTTGACATTGATTTTCAGATTAAATTATTCTGATATCGCCAGGTAAGCTGTTCCTTGGGTATGCATTTCTTCTTTCCGTTTTTTTCTAAGAGCTAAAGGACCCTGAGAACACTGGAGGTGGGAAAGGAAGGGAAAGGCATGTTCACACGTGGGATAGGAAAGGTTCATTTACTGACCTCCAGCTAGCCTTCCAAAGTGCCTATTTAAGACCCAAGGAGTAGATGTCTTCCTTGGCAATTGTAACCCAAATATAATTTTTAACCTTTCAATTTTAGTCAAGAAAGTTGGTGTGCTGTTACAAAAAGTGCCCTGATTAACAGCATTGTCATGTGCATTGCATATTAATCAGCAATTTAAAATAACATGAAATTATGTTGAGTATAATTTTAATATTTTATATTAGATATTAGTTTGAGACAGTGTTTCTCAAGTCTGTATAATAAGTTTGATAGTAGGGAGGTTTTCTCTCAAGAAAAGAATTATTCAGTGTGCACCTACATAATCACTGCTTAGATTCTACAATTAATATTTTGCTATATTTGATTAAACGTTTTCTGTAAAAGAAAAATATTATTATGTACTATTTAGGTTTATGGGAATAATTGTTAAGTTAAAGTGTATGAACAAACCTGGAATGAAATCTGTTTGCCTACATCTATAATACAACTATAAAACATAGCAGATGTACAAATTAGTAGTTAATAGATAACTAAAATGCAAATATGGCACTACTATTATAGTATTATAGTTTCTTTTGAGTGGCGTGTCTGTAATATCACATGCTGTGTTGATGCACTTCACCAAACTGCTGTTTTCAAACTGCTTTAAATCCTGCCATTATAGCACATAGCAATGCTATTTCACTTTCATTTGGCACAAAACACATTTATATATTGTTTGCTTCTCTTCTTTTCTGTAATCCCCAGGCAACAAAACTAGAACATTTGCCACTAATCTGGCAACGTGGTCCTATATTATGAAGTAGTCATATAGCTGATCTAAACTATCCTTACAGTGAAATGAGAGTATTGTGAAAGTTTTGTAGAAAGCTCCCCATATGTCCTGAGAATCTATGCACAGACCCCACAGTTAAAAGACCTTTGAATTGTGGGAAGACATGGGTTTAAGTATCACTTGGTTACCTTCTATTTGTGTAACATTGAGGTAGTTTCATCTTCTGGGTTCCCAGTTTCCTTAGAGAATGAAAATGTTGAATTATGTGATTTTTTTTTTTTTTTGAGACGGAGTTTTGCTCTTTCGCCCAGGCTGGAGTGAAGTAGCACGATCTCGACTCACTGCAACCTCCTTCCCCCATGATCAAGCAATTCTCCTGCCTCAGCCTCCCAAGTAGCTGGGATTACAGGCACCCGCCCCCCACCCCCCGCCCCCAGCTAATGTTTGTATTTTTAGTACAGATGGAGTTTTGCCGTGTTGGCCAGGCTGGTCTCGAACTTCTGACCTCAGGTGATCCACTCGCCTTGGCCTCCCAAAGTGCTAGGATTACAGGCATGAGCCACTGCGCCTGGCCTATGTGATTATTAATATCACGTCTAGCTGTGACAATTCTGTCTGATGCTGGAGTATTTGAACCAGATGGCTGGCTGTGCCACTCAGTTATTCTCTCCATAAGACTTTGATATTTTGTTGGTCTGCAAGATGACGGATTCTCAAAATTCTTGTCAGTGAATATTGAACCCTAGTGAAATGTATGGTTCTGTATCAGTTCCAAAATGTAACCACTTTCTCTAGCCTTAGATTCCCAGTTCCAAAATGTAACCATTTTCTCTAGCCTTAGATTCCCGTTAAGGGAAAGGGAATGCTCTTTGAGTATGTCATCACCATAGTAACAGGCAAAACTAGAGGGCTTTGATGCTAAAGCAAGATACTCCATAAATATGCTTAAGAAGACTTGGGGAGACTGGAATAGTTGTTCCCTTTTAGATGCCAGTGTATAAATGAATTTGAGCTAGGATCCGTTTATTTAAAATTTCTTTAGGTGTATTTGCTTGCATATGGAGTGCACATTTACTCTCATTAATGGAGTTTTAGGAAGCAGTAGAGTAAATGCATAAACATGTATGAACCGCCATGTTTAACTGGAAGCCTGCATTTGGAAGTCAAGTATCTAATCTTAGATTAAATTAGGATGGGGAAGGATGTTGGCAAGAGATTTTGAAGCTTGTTCTGCTTATATTGAGAACATCATAGAACAGTTTGGCCTTTTTAAAGCTAGAGAATAGTGTTGAATAAGTGATGTTCCATATATTCCTGTTTGACATTGACATAAAGGTTTCCTCATGATACAGTAATCCCTGATCAGGGATCTGGAAGCCTGTATTCATTTAAGGTACTCAGGTTTAACATACTGGGTGCTTTTCACACCATACTATACAGTACCATGCAAAGTGCTTTCAAGACTGCAAATTTGGCTTAGATCCCCTTTAGTGAGCTCCTATGCTATAGTAAAGGTAGATAGCCAATTATTAAAAACAGTCAAGACAATTGCACCTCTAAGCAGTAGTAGCAGTTGCCACACCACCTTGAATCTTGAAGTATTTTCAGCAACAGGATGACCATTAGCCACAAATTTAGTGTCAGCCCTTAAGGTCGGTATTGGTTTGACCCATATTTTCATGTAGTTCTTTTTCTTCACTTGTCTAATCTTCCCGTGTACTGCCAGGGCTTGTCATTAGAGGACTTTAGGGAGACCAAGCAGGCTAGAAAGTAGAGACAGGAGATACCTATGTCTAATGCTTCAGTTTATACTTCCTAGGTTTTTTTCATTGGGGTTTTTGTAACTCTTTTGGTATCCTACCGGTGCTTTGGTAGCCTACTGAACCCTGTCTTTCTTCTTAAGGACATTCTGAGCATGTGAGACCTGAGGACTGCAAACAGCTATAAGAGGCTCCAAATTAATCATATCTTTCCCTTTGAGAATCTGGCCAAGCTCCAGCTAATCTACTTGGATGGGTTGCCAGCTATCTGGAGAAAAAGGTAGTTTGGGGAATTTATTGTTGTAGTGCTTCTGTCTTTGGATTGAACTTCCCACAACTCTCCTTTTTAAAGCAGAACACAGCTGGGCATGGTGGCTCCTGCTTGTAATTCCAGGGCTTTGGGAGGTTGAGGTGGGGGGATCACTTGAGGCCAGGAGTTGAAGACCCATGTCTCTACAATAAAATAAAATTAGTTGGGCATGGTGGTACGTGCCTGTAGTCCTACCTACTCTGGAGGCTGAGGCAGCAGGATTGCTTGAGCCCAGGAGTTCAAGGCTGCAGTGAGCCATCATTAGCCACTGCACTCCAGCCTAGGTGGCAGAGCGGGACCCAGTCTCTTAAAAAGAAAGAAAAGCAGAACGTGAGCCAGTTTTCATCAATTCCTATACTTTTTCTTTTGCATGTACACATACATTTTAACTTTACATAATGAGTTCGGCCTGTTTCATTTATCCCTCAGAGCTGGGCTCCAGTGAGGTCTGTAAGGGCAAGCATACTTGATCCCCAATGAAGAATGAGAGATGCAAAGCACTAAATTATTTCTTTTCTCACCACACAGCAAGATAGATTTAATGAACTTAACACCTTTTGATTAGTGGCCTTTTAAATTATTCCCACTTTCCTTTGGCAGATGGGTATTAAGTTCTCAGGATTTGTTTACAAATAAGACTAACTTCATCTGTATTAGCTCAGTTTTGGTAGGCCTAATTCCATTATCACTGCCATTTCCTTGTTTTAAGAAATCAAAATTTCTTAGCTTGAAAAACAATTGAAATTGTTAAAAAGTGGAATAGGAGAGCCCCGGGGGCCTGTATAAGGAATTTACTGAATCCCTGGTTTTCTGTACCTTGTTTTTCCTTCTGCATAGATTTGCTTAACTGTTTTTGTGGCGTGTATTTTTTTTTTTTCGCAGTTTCGCTCTTGTTGCCCAGGCTGGAGTGCAATGGCGCAATCTCAGCTCACTGCAACCTCTGTCTCCTGGGTTCAAGTTATTCTCCTGCCTCAGCCTCTCGAGTAGCTGAGATTACAGGCATGCGCGACCACGCCAGGCTAATTTTGTATTTTTAGTAGAGACGGGGTTTCTCCATGTTGGTCAGGCTGGTCTCAAACTCCTGACCTCAGGTGATTCACCCGCCTCGACCTCCCAAACTGCTGGGATTACAGGCGTGAGCCACCACGCCTGGCCAGCTGTTGTTATAACTGGAGTTCTATGTGCTTGTGACCATTCTTGGTTTCTCCGAATATCCTAGAACTTTGGTGGCGCCCTATTATACAGGTTGTTGAAGAAATGTTACCATGTGGATTGAGTAGGAAACAATTCTCTTTATCTTGGCAATATTATGGCATGGCACTACTTAAAGTACAAATTAAAAGAGGGGGATGCTACAGAACTAGCTGACAGGCACTTTGATAGAGGTGGATTTCTCAGTTCTTAAAATAGCTCTTTATAAAGGAAGCCAGAGGCATTGTGGAGGAGAATTCTTACATAACTCATAGGGTTAGACCACATCCGACCTTTTCTGTGTGGCTTCATGGCTCTCTTGGTTGAGAAAGCATTAGTTTCTCCTTCCATTAGTTTCAACCTCTTGATTTCTTGACCCCCCTACTATATTTTGTGCTGAGAACACAAGGGTATTAACAACCCACATTGTAGAGGATCGCTCAGTAATAAAGACTGGAGAATAAAATGCAGCATGGGAATATTGGCAATTACTCAGTTCTAAATTTCTCTTGGAAATGAGGGAAAGCATACAGAATAGAGCTGGAATGAATAGGATAATTTTTTTTTTTTTTGCTAAGTTGGTAGCCAGAATATAACAGCTCCGCACAACTGTAAATGTCCACTCTTCAATCCACATGAAGAAAAGGGTAAAAATATGGTTGAACTCAACCACTAGTTGCCCATTAGAACAGACTTTCCCAGTGTACTGCATTTCAATACTTTTTCTTTTATCTCTTTTCAGATCTTCCTCAGAAGAATAGGCTTGTTGTTTTACAGTGTTAGTGATCCATTCCCTTTGACGATCCCTAGGTGGAGATGGGGCATGAGGATCCTCCAGGGGAAAAGCTCACTACCACTGGGCAACAACCCTAGGTCAGGAGGTTCTGTCAAGATACTTTCCTGGTCCCAGATAGGAAGATAAAGTCTCAAAAACAACCACCACACGTCAAGGTGCGTAAGCTGTCCCTAAAAGCATAATAAGTAGTCTTAATTTTGATTTTGTTTTCCAGTATACATTGCACTTAGTGTTTCACTGAGGTCGTATTCATCATTATTCTGCATATGATTTGGTAAAAACAGCTTCCTAACTAACCTGGGAAGCAACTGGGTGTGAGATTAACTGGTTAAAGTGATGATGTAAAGAGGGTAGCGGGTTGCATGTGTTCGGGTGTTTGGAGTGGGACTATAGCACGTGGCAGAGGCTTACAGCTAAGTTGTTCTTTTAGGAGAACATGGACAACTGTCACATCAGTGACATTGATCACATGGGCAAATCATTCTGTTCCATGTGGTCCCCAAAGTCTCTCTTAAAGCCTTACAGAAGAACTTTGCCAATCATTTACATACTTCAGGATGGCTTGGGATGCCATGGTGTATAATACAACAAGTGAGAGGTGTGTCTTTTTATGCTATGGTTGCTGATTGATGGAAGCCGCATAAATACAAATGGAAACCTGACTAAAAATGGCACAAAGTTATCTGTCATCAGGCAGGAGCTAAAGAACCAGGACCCTACATTCTCTAGGTCAGTGTTGGGAGAGGCTGATTAGCGAGTGAGAATTGGCAGATAAAGGTGACCATTCGGTGCAATAAATCCTGAACGTATAGGCTTTGCCCAGCATTCTTCGTAAATAGTGGGTAGCTATAAATTTCATGAAATATTTTCATGGGTAAGAACTCTTGAAATGTTATAATTGACTAGAAATCTCTGTAGATTTAGAAATAGAGAGTTACTAACAAATTGTTAGAAAGTCTAGGAACTAGAAAGCTAAGTTGAGAGTTATCTAGGAAGATCTATCTATTGTACTCATAATCTTTAGATAAATTCTCCTAGGGCCAGTAGTCTATGTGAATTTTCTTTTTCTTCTTCTTCTTCTTCTTTTTTTTTGTATTTTAGCTGCAATGTTAAACAACCTATGTGAATTTTCTTATTGTGAGAATATTTGCCTTCCAGAGTGACTCACCTTTATCTCAAAGAGCAATATTGTGAGTTTTGAAAATGCTGCTCTAAGGCTGTGTTTTGTTAGTCCTGAGCCAGGAGACTTAAAGCAAACTTGAGGGGTCTTAAAACATCGAAGTGAGCCTTAAACATTGGGAAGACCTTATGTTTTTCCCTCTCATATCTATTATTTTTGTGATCTCAGTTATTAATCATTTAAAGGGACTCTTTCCTAGCTGATTGGCACTTAAAACAGGATGGAAGTCTTTTTTTTTTTTTTTTTTTTTGAGATGGAGTTTTGCTCTTGTTGCCCAGGCTGGAGTGCAATGGTGCAATCTCAGCTCACTGCAACCTCTGCCTCCCGGGTTCAAGCGATTCTCCTGCCTCAGCCTCCCAAGTAGCTGGGATTACAGTCATGCACCACCACGCCCGGCTAATTTTGTATTTTTAATAGAGACGGTGTTTCTCCATGTTGGTCAGGCTGGTCTCAAACTCCTGACCTCAGGTGATCCGCCCACCTCAACCTCCCAAAGTGCTGGGATTATGGGCGTGAGCCACCGCGCCCGGCAGTTCTGGTCTT
Source organism: Homo sapiens (assembly GCF_000001405.40). NCBI lineage: Eukaryota > Metazoa > Chordata > Mammalia > Primates > Hominidae > Homo > Homo sapiens. Next base: position 73,829,497 of record NC_000023.11, on the reverse strand, counting down.
TAACTAAGGTATAAGGCTATGACTGGTAGTGGTGTCTCTAGTGACTCATCAAGTGATATTTGGCAAGACATTTTCCCATTTATGCCAGTTTCCTATTCTGTTGAATGAGGAAATTTTCTCTCTAAAGACCTAAAAGTTTTGACTTTATAGGTTTCAAAGTTCTGTGGAAACATTTTCTATTGCTTATTAATTTGAATCTTATGTAACTCTAGCACAGTACTCAATATTTATGGCATTTACATGGTTTATCTCATGTTTTTTTATAGCTCTTCATTGTTCCTATCTGCCAAATCATTATACTTCCTACAAGCAGTGCAGAGAGCTGAGTCTTCAGCAGGTCCAAGAAATTTGAACACACTGAAGGAAGTCAGCCTTCCCACCTGAAGATCAACATGCCTGGCACTCTAGCACTTGAGGATAGCTGAATGAAGTAAGTTGTTGATGTTGCAGTCCTGTGAGGATCACTTCAGAACTGTTATAACAGCTGTTTTTTGGGAGCTGGTGTTGGATGGGGTGTGTTGGTCTAATGTGAAGTGGGGCTAAATGTGAGATGGAAAGATGACCAGTCTTCCATATTACTGACTGGGTTCACTGAAGCAACTCAAAGACATTATGGTCTTCTTACCAGTTGTATCACAGAAGAATTTAGCCTTTGCTTGTGTGTTCTATGTCTTCACTGTATAGGCCCTCTGTCATTCTTAGAGCCTTAAACGTTGAGAAGCTTAAAACACCATTTCTGCTTTCTGCTGAAAGGGTAACCCTTTCTCATCTCCGTTTGTGAGAGACTCTGTCGTCAGTTAAGATTAGTGTAAAAAGAAAACTAAACTCTGAAGTAGCCATTATAAAAGTGTGAGAATGAAGTCAGTTTTCTAAAGAGTTGGGGAAAGGTGATGCTAAAGGAGGGGATTGAGCAAGTCCTATCAAAGAGCCTTTTATGAAAATACTTAGTCATCTGTGACATCCCATTTGGCTCTTCCAGAAATCCTAGTAAATAGTTGTAACAGGATGTTAAGAGGCATACATTGTGTGTTTTAAATCCTCTGCTACTCATTAGGTATATGACCTTTGACAACTTAAAGTCTCTAGACTTCTCTGTTTGTGAGGGTTAAATGAAATCATGTATGTAAAGTGCTCACCTATTGCAGTGCCTGGCACATGTCAAGTAAAAGGTAACCCAAGAAGACTCATAAGTTCATTTCCCACAATATAAGTGACCACTAGCACTATCAGGTAGCAGGCAGAGTTGGCATGCTTTGGTTCTATGTAAGAAATCCCTAAGGTAAAAGTTTATAAATAGAAGAGCATCTGTGTTGGTATTGGTGGTTGTTATTATTGTAGTACTATAAGTAGTATTCGTAGTAACAATAGTTTATTATAATTACTAATGACACTTTTTGATTTTTTTTATCTTTCTGTGATGCTTTTCATGCCTCTTGTGCCCCTCACTGTATCTTGCCTCTTCTACTACTTACTTCCTCTGAATGTCTGCCTTTGCTTATCTCTTGCACTCAAGTGTGTATTTCTTTGTCTCTTTCTTTCTTGTCTTTGCTCTTTGTTCTCTATCTAAAGTGTGTCTTACCCATTTCCATGTTTCTCTTGCTAATTTCTTTCGTGTGTGCCTTTGCCTCATTTTCTCTTTTTGTTCACAAGAGTGGTCTGTGTCTTGTCTTAGACATATCTCTCATTTTTCATTTTGTTGCTATTTCTCTTTGCTCTCCTAGATGTGGCTCTTCTTTCACGCTTTATTTCATGTCTCCTTTTTGGGTCACATGCTGTGTGCTTTTTGTCCTTTTCTTGTTCTGTCTACCTCTCCTTTCTCTGCCTACCTCTCTTTTCTCTTTGTGAACTGTGATTATTTGTTACCCCTTCCCCTTCTCGTTCGTTTTAAATTTCACCTTTTTTCTGAGTCTGGCCTCCTTTCTGCTGTTTCTACTTTTTATCTCACATTTCTCATTTCTGCATTTCCTTTCTGCCTCTCTTGGGCTATTCTCTCTCTCCTCCCCTGCGTGCCTCAGCATCTCTTGCTGTTTGTGATTTTCTATTTCAGTATTAATCTCTGTTGGCTTGTATTTGTTCTCTGCTTCTTCCCTTTCTACTCACCTTTGAGTATTTCAGCCTCTTCATGAATCTATCTCCCTCTCTTTGATTTCATGTAATCTCTCCTTAAATATTTCTTTGCATATGTGGGCAAGTGTACGTGTGTGTGTGTCATGTGTGGCAGAGGGGCTTCCTAACCCCTGCCTGATAGGTGCAGAACGTCGGCTATCAGAGCAAGCATTGTGGAGCGGTTCCTTATGCCAGGCTGCCATGTGAGATGATCCAAGACCAAAACAAGGCCCTAGACTGCAGTAAAACCCAGAACTCAAGTAGGGCAGAAGGTGGAAGGCTCATATGGATAGAAGGCCCAAAGTATAAGACAGATGGTTTGAGACTTGAGACCCGAGGACTAAGATGGAAAGCCCATGTTCCAAGATAGATAGAAGCCTCAGGCCTGAAACCAACAAAAGCCTCAAGAGCCAAGAAAACAGAGGGTGGCCTGAATTGGACCGAAGGCCTGAGTTGGATGGAAGTCTCAAGGCTTGAGTTAGAAGTCTTAAGACCTGGGACAGGACACATGGAAGGCCTAAGAACTGAGACTTGTGACACAAGGCCAACGACCTAAGATTAGCCCAGGGTTGTAGCTGGAAGACCTACAACCCAAGGATGGAAGGCCCCTGTCACAAAGCCTACCTAGATGGATAGAGGACCCAAGCGAAAAAGGTATCTCAAGACTAACGGCCGGAATCTGGAGGCCCATGACCCAGAACCCAGGAAGGATAGAAGCTTGAAGACCTGGGGAAATCCCAAGATGAGAACCCTAAACCCTACCTCTTTTCTATTGTTTACACTTCTTACTCTTAGATATTTCCAGTTCTCCTGTTTATCTTTAAGCCTGATTCTTTTGAGATGTACTTTTTGATGTTGCCGGTTACCTTTAGATTGACAGTATTATGCCTGGGCCAGTCTTGAGCCAGCTTTAAATCACAGCTTTTACCTATTTGTTAGGCTATAGTGTTTTGTAAACTTCTGTTTCTATTCACATCTTCTCCACTTGAGAGAGACACCAAAATCCAGTCAGTATCTAATCTGGCTTTTGTTAACTTCCCTCAGGAGCAGACATTCATATAGGTGATACTGTATTTCAGTCCTTTCTTTTGACCCCAGAAGCCCTAGACTGAGAAGATAAAATGGTCAGGTTGTTGGGGAAAAAAAAGTGCCAGGCTCTCTAGAGAAAAATGTGAAGAGATGCTCCAGGCCAATGAGAAGAATTAGACAAGAAATACACAGATGTGCCAGACTTCTGAGAAGCACCTGCCAGCAACAGCTTCCTTCTTTGAGCTTAGGTGAGCAGGATTCTGGGGTTTGGGATTTCTAGTGATGGTTATGGAAAGGGTGACTGTGCCTGGGACAAAGCGAGGTCCCAAGGGGACAGCCTGAACTCCCTGCTCATAGTAGTGGCCAAATAATTTGGTGGACTGTGCCAACGCTACTCCTGGGTTTAATACCCATCTCTAGGCTTAAAGATGAGAGAACCTGGGACTGTTGAGCATGTTTAATACTTTCCTTGATTTTTTTCTTCCTGTTTATGTGGGAAGTTGATTTAAATGACTGATAATGTGTATGAAAGCACTGTAAAACATAAGAGAAAAACCAATTAGTGTATTGGCAATCATGCAGTTAACATTTGAAAGTGCAGTGTAAATTGTGAAGCATTATGTAAATCAGGGGTCCACAGTTTTTCTGTAAGGGGTCAAATCATAAATACTTTAGACTGTGGGCCATATGGTTTCTGTTACATATTTGTTTTTTAAACAACGTTTTTATAAGGTCAAAATCATTCTTAGTTTTTGAGCCAATTGGATTTGGCCTGCTGTTCATAGCTTACCACCCCCTGATGTATTATTTGTTATTCAGAGAAAATTTCTGAATACTACTAGTTTCCTTTTCTGTGCCTGTCCCTGTGCTAGGCACTAAAAATGCAATGATTATTGATATCTAGGTGACCTGAAAAAAAATAGTGAATGTGCTTTGTAAACTGTAAAGCACTTGTATTCTACTGTGATAAGCGTTGTGGATACAAAGAAAGGAGCAAGCATAAAAAAGTGCTCTTTCAAAAGGATATAGTACTATGCAGACACAAGGAATTGTTTGATAAATGAATAAATTATATGTATATTTGAGGCCAATTTGTGTTTGCTGCTCTGGTAATTTTGAGTAAAAATGCAGTATTCCAGGTATCAGAAACGAAAACACATGGAAACTGCTTTTAAACTTTAAAATATACTGAAAACATAAGGGACTAAGCTTGTTGTGGTCACCTATAATGTGCCAGATACCATGCTGGGTGCTAGAGCTACCAAAGGGGGAAAAGTATTCTCATAGAACAAAAAATTTCAGAAAGGTGCATATTAAAGTGCTTTGTAAACTAAAGCATGATACAAATGTCAATGGGCTACATATTTATGAATGAATGAATGGATGAATGAATATTAAGTGCCTCTTACATACCAGCTATTTTGGGTACTGTAAAATACAAGATTAATTCTCCTATGTAATAAGAGGAAAGTTTATCCTCTATACTATTCAGATGTAAGGAATGATATATTGCTTAATTTTAAACAATCAAGACTTTACTGGTGAGGTTAAGTTAAATTATTACTGATACATTTTTCCAGGTAACCAGGAAAGAGCTAGTATGAGGAAATGAAGTAATAGATGTGAGATCCAGACCGAAAGTCACTTAATTCAGCTTGCGAATGTGCTTTCTAAATTATAAAGCACTTGTAAATGAAAAATTTGATGCTTTCTGTATGAATAAAACTTTCTGTAAGCTAGGTATTGTCTCTACAAAATTCTCATTGTATAGTTAAACCACAGTGAGAAGGGTTCTATAAGTAGTTATACAAACCAAGGGTTTAAATACCTGTTAAATAGATCAATTTTGATTGCCTACTATGTGAACTCACTGTTAAAGGCACTGAAAATTTATCATATTTCATTTAGCCACAGCCAAAAATAAGGCAATACCTATGTTAGCATTTTGTGAACTCTAAGGCACCATATAAATGTAACTGTTGATTTTCTCACTTGGTGCTGGGTACTAGGTTTATAAAATTGTATGATAGTTATTATATTGTGCAAATAAAGTAGGAAAATTTGAATAACAATGATTATCTTTTGAATACGCATACGCAAGGGATTGGTTGTCTGAAGAATGCCACTATAGTAGTTATCTATTGTGTGCCAATCTCATTGCTAGGCATTGGGGATGCAAAGATAAACCATCTTTATTGTGTCTTGGGTAGCAGAAGAAAATATGTGTAAAATCAATTTATAATTTGTAAACTGCCACCCATATATAAGCTATATCTGCTGAATGATCATTGATTACTCTTATCCTTAGAGATAACAACTGGGGGCACAAACATTTATTATCATTATTGAACCTACAACAGAGATCTATGTGTAGATTTACAAAGCCTACAGTTCTATACAGATAGGAATGAACTATTGGCTTACTGAATGGTGATTACTTTCTGTGGGGCTCGGAACTACATGCCCTAGGATATAAAAATGATGTTATCATTATAGAGTGCTCACAGAAGGAAATGAAGTAATATAGGTGTGAGATCCAGACCAAAAGTCATTTAACAAGTTTATTCAGTGATGAAAACATGGGACAAATGGACTAATATAAGGCAGTGTACTAAGCTGAGTAGAGAGATAAAGTCCTGTCCAGAAGATACATGCTTCCTGGCCTGATTGAGGAGATGGAAAATTTTTGCAAAAAACAAGGTGTTGTGGTCTTCCATCCAGTTTCTTAAGTGCTGATGATAAAAGTGAATTAGACCCACCTTGACCTGGCCTACAGAAGTAAAGGAGTAAAAATAAATGCCTCAGGCGTGCTTTTTGATTCATTTGATAAACAAAGCATCTTTTATGTGGAATATACCATTCTGGGTCCTGAGGATAAGAGAGATGAGGGCATTAGATCACTGACAGCTGAAGATAGAAGAACATCTTTGGTTTGATTGTTTAAATAATATTTCAATGCCTATTCTCTGCAAGGTACTATGTTTCGTAAATTAAATAGGTCTGGCCCAGAAGACCCACTCAATTGCCTTTGAGATTAAAAAAAAAAAAAAAAAGAAAGAAAAATGCAAGTTTCTTTCAAAATAAAGAGACATTTTTCCTAGTTTCAGGAATCCCCCAAATCACTTCCTCATTGGCTTAGTTTAAAGCCAGGAGACTGATAAAAGGGCTCAGGGTTTGTTCTTTAATTCATTAACTAAACATTCTGCTTTTATTACAGTTAAATGGTTCAAGATGTAACAACTAGTTTTAAAGGTATTTGCTCATTGGTCTGGCTTAGAGACAGGAAGACATATGAGCAATAAAAAAAAGATTCTTTTGCATTTACCAATTTAGTAAAAATTTATTAAAACTGAATAAAGTGCTGTTCTTAAGTGCTTGAAAGACGTAAACCAAAGTGCACTTTATCTCATTTATCTTATGGTGGAAACACAGGAACAAATTCTCTAAGAGACTGTGTTTCTTTAGTTGAGAAGAAACTTCATTGAGTAGCTGTGATATGTTCGATACTAAGGAAAAACTAAACAGATCACCTTTGACATGCGTTGTAGAGTGGGAATAAGAGAGGGCTTTTTATTTTTTCGTTCATACGAGTATTGATGAAGATGATACTAAATGCTAAATGAAATATATCTGCTCCAAAAGGCATTTATTCTGACTTGGAGATGCAACAAAAACACAAAAATGGAATGAAGTGATACTCTTCATCAAACAGAAGTGACTGTTATCTCAACCATTTTGTTAAATCCTAAACAGAAAACAAAAAAAATCATGACGAAAAGACACTTGCTTATTAATTGGCTTGGAAAGTAGAATATAGGAGAAAGGTTACTGTTTATTTTTTTTCATGTATTCATTCATTCTACAAATATATTCGGGTGCCAATAGGTACTTGGTATAAGGTTTTTGGCCCCAGAGACATGGGAAAAAAATGCATGCCTTCCCAGAGAATGCCTAATACTTTCCTTTTGGCTTGTTTTCTTGTTAGGGGCATGGCTTAGTCCCTAAATAACATTGTGTGGTTTAATTCCTACTCCGTATCTCTTCTACCACTCTGGCCACTACGATAAGCAGGTAGCTGGGTTTTGTAGTGAGCTTGCTCCTTAAGTTACAGGAACTCTCCTTATAATAGACACTTCATTTTCCTAGTCCATCCCTCATGAAAAATGACTGACCACTGCTGGGCAGCAGGAGGGATGATGACCAACTAATTCCCAAACCCCAGTCTCATTGGTACCAGCCTTGGGGAACCACCTACACTTGAGCCACAATTGGTTTTGAAGTGCATTTACAAGGTTTGTCTATTTTCAGTTCTTTACTTTTTACATGCTGACACATACATACACTGCCTAAATAGATCTCTTTCAGAAACAATCCTCAGATAACGCATAGCAAAATGGAGATGGAGACATGATTTCTCATGCAACAGCTTCTCTAATTATACCTTAGAAATGTTCTCCTTTTTATCATCAAATCTGCTCAAGAAGGGCTTTTTATAGTAGAATAATATCAGTGGATGAAAACAGCTTAACATTTTACCATGCTTAAGTTTTAAGAATAAAATAAAAATTGGAAATAATTGGCCAAAATTGAAAGGAAAAATTTTTTTAAAATTTCTCTAAATGTAGGCCTGGCTGGGCTTTGACCTTTTCCGTTTTTAAATCACTCACAGAGGGTGGGACAGGAGGAAGAGTGAAGGAAAAGGTCAAACCTGTTTTAAGGGCAACCTGCCTTTGTTCTGAATTGGTCTTAAGAACATTACCAGCTCCAGGTTTAAATTGTTCAGTTTCATGCAGTTCCAATAGCTGATCATTGTTGAGATGAGGACAAAATCCTTTGTCCTCACTAGTTTGCTTTACATTTTTGAAAAGTATTATTTTTGTCCAAGTGCTTATCAACTAAACCTTGTGTTAGGTAAGAATGGAATTTATTAAGTGAATCAGTGTGACCCTTCTTGTCATAAGATTATCTTAAAGCTGAAGCCAAAATATGCTTCAAAAGAAGAGGACTTTATTGTTCATTGTAGTTCATACATTCAAAGCATCTGAACTGTAGTTTCTATAGCAAGCCAATTACATCCATAAGTGGAGAAGGAAATAGATAAATGTCAAAGTATGATTGGTGGAGGGAGCAAGGTTGAAGATAATCTGGGGTTGAAATTTTCTAGTTTTCATTCTGTACATTTTTAGTTAGACATCAGATTTGAAATATTAATGTTTACCTTTCAATGTGTGGTATCAGCTGGACTCAGTAACACCCCTTTCTTCAGCTGGGGATGGGGAATGGATTATTGGAAAATGGAAAGAAGAAAGTAACTAAAAGCCTTCCTTTCACAGTTTCTGGCATCACTACCACTACTGATTAAACAAGAATAAGAGAACATTTTATCATCATCTGCTTTATTCACATAAATGAAGTTGTGATGAATAAATCTGCTTTTATGCAGACACAAGGAATTAAGTGGCTTCGTCATTGTCCTTCTACCTCAAAGATAATTTATTCCAAAAGCTAAGATAAATGGAAGACTCTTGAACTTGTGAACTGATGTGAAATGCAGAATCTCTTTTGAGTCTTTGCTGTTTGGAAGATTGAAAAATATTGTTCAGCATGGGTGACCACCAGAAAGTAATCTTAAGCCATCTAGATGTCACAATTGAAACAAACTGGGGAGTTGGTTGCTATTGTAAAATAAAATATACTGTTTTGAAAACTTTGTATTTTGATGTGACAATTTCTAACTCACTGTCCCTAACCACACTAATTACCGTAAGTTCTTCATTTCTTTTTTCTTTTTCTTTTTAAATTAATAAATTAATTTATTTTTTGGAGATGGAGTCTCGCTTTGTTGCCCAGGCTGGAGTGCAGTGGTGCCATCTTGGCTCACTGTAACCTCTGCCTCCTGGGTTCAAGCGATTCTCCTGCCTCAGCCTCACCAGTAGCTGGGATTACAGTCATGAGCCACCATGCCTGGCTAATGGTTGTATTTTTAGTAGAGACGGGGTTTTGCCATGTTGGCCAGGCTGGTCACGAACTCCTGACTTAAAGTGAAACACCTGCCTCGGCCTCCCAAAGTTCTGGGATTACAGGCGGGAGCCACCGTGCCTGGCCTCATTTCTTTTTTTAAACTACCTTAATCACCCAGTGTGGGTAAATGGTTTGAAGTCTCATTTCTTACAGCATCAGTTGCTTTGGTCAAGGATACTGAGAAGCACAAACCCAGTAAAAAATGTGAGAAGCAAAAAACTTGAGGATCAAAAGTGGGAGAGGAGAAGGGTATAAACTGTAAGGCTGTGGGAATTAAGCATTCATGAAAGAGGCCCAGACCCTGAGTAGGTGAAGGGATCTTCAGTGTTTCTAGAATTCTGAATGATCAAATACCCAAACATTAGATTGGTGACTTTATAGGCAAATGAACCAGCACAGTATTTTTTTTTTTTTTGAGACAGAGTCTCGCTCTGTCTCCAGGCTGGAGTGCGGTGGTGTGATCGGCTCACTGCAACCTCTGCCACCCAGGTTCAAGCAATTGTGCCTCAGCCTCCCGAATAGCTGGGATTAAAGGCGTGTAGTACGACAGCAGGCTAATTTTTGTATTTAATTTAGTAGAGAGAGGGTTTCACCATTTTGGCCAGGCTAGTCTCTTAACTCCTGACCTCAAATGATCCACCCGCCTCGGCCTCCCAAAGTGCTGGGATTACGGGCATAAGTCGCCGTGCCCAGCCCCCAGCACAGTATTCTATAGGCAAGAGTTCCTACTGCTTTGTTGGAAATTAAACTGGAAACTGGTTTTTTTTTTTTTCTCCAGAAAGTCTTAAGCTGTTATGGGCCCAGATGGTTATTCAGTATATGAACTTTTTTTTTTTTTTTTTTAGACAGTGTCTTGCTCAGCCACCCAGGCTGGAGTGCAGTGGTGTGATCTCGGCTCACTGCAGCCACTGTCTCCCAGGTTCAAGTGATTCTCCCGTCCCAGCCTCCAGAACAGCTGGCATTACAGGCACCCGCCATCATGCCCGGCTAACTTTTGTATTTTAGTAGAGACTGGGTTTCACCATGTTGGCCAGGCTAGTCTTGAACTCCTGACCTCAGGTGATCCACCAGCCTTGGCCTCCCAAGGTGCTAGGATTACAGGTGTGAGCCGCCGCACCCGTCCCAGTACATGGACCTTTAAAACCGATGCCTGAAGAACTCTTACCTATGTGTTAACAGTTGAATTTTGTCATTATAAATGAGTAGAGTTTGAGGTGATAAAGTTGACCCATATCTTGGGGGTTGCTTCTGAACTGGGATGGTGCTACATGGACTTTTCTCTTTACTCTTATTTCTTTGCAAGGCTGGATGTGTAGGACAGAGGGAAAGCAGGTGAGGCGGTAAGGAGACTTCCTGAAGTTATTCTTGAGTGTCTTCTGTTCCTTTGTCCATCCCTCTTGATTCCTTCAGCAGATCCTATTCCCATAGGGGCTTACTTCAGTCCCCTTGTCATATTTGCTGTGCTTACTCTTGTGTTTGTGGTGCTTTGGTCCTCAAATTCCTTGATTCTCTTGTAAAATTTGAAGGGAGAGGAAATGAAAAACACCGTATCTCCTGGTTAGTGAGGAAAGGTCAGACAAGGCAATTTTATAGGGGCAGCAGAAATATTTAGAAAATGTCAAAGCATTTGATAGTATTTTTCAGTTTTTGTATTTTTTATGTGGTGTGTATGAAGTGGTCACTGTATGCTTGTAGTTGGATTTGGTGCCAGCCCAACCCACATCCACAAAAACTTGTGCCTCCTATCAATTTACTCTTTTACCCTTGGTCATGAGAAAAGGTAATGTTACTGAGGCCAGTAGACTTAGGCAAGCATCTATCATTCAAATTTCGAAGTGGAATAATTTAAATGGGGTTTAAAATTTAGCCAGCCATTCTATTCACTGTGAATGGATAGGCAGGAAGTGTGCTAATCATAGGTCCAACTTCTGAAAAAGGTGGAGGTAGCAAGGAAAACCAGTTGAAGGACCTTAGTACCTTTCCCATGAATTATAGCAAATGGAGCACCAAGGCAATTACATGGTAGCTGAGGAGTCATTAGTTCTCAAAATTCAAACCCCACTCAGCTATATTGTTTCCATTGGCTTGGTAAAGGTGAACTTTTGAGGGGTTCTTATTGTTAGTATTTCCTGGGTTTGCCACAGTCTTGCTCCCAGTACCAGCATTCTCAGTGACGAGCTTCCTTTTACCCACTCCAGTTTCTCTTCTCTGTGTACTCTGGATCAAAATAGTAACTCCTTTCTAGAGTGCTAGAACAAAAGCTGGCATCACTTGAGGGCCTAAGGAGAGGAGAGCAAAGGGAGAGCAGAATGCAAAGTAGAGTGGGAAAGAAAGTTGGATTCGAGCAGCCTTGCAGGTAGCTAACTACTTAGGCAGAACCTGTCACTTTATGGGAACTCCGTGGTAAGGAAAAAAATTCATAAGCAGACTTTGCAGGCAGGATTTCAAAAAATCTTAGGAATTCTGACTCACATTAAATAGAAGAAGAATGTCAAAGGTTGAGTGGCTTGTGAGGGATGAGCTTTGAGTGGACCCTACTTTATAATATTCCGTGAAGAAATGATTAGATATATCCCAAAGACCTAGAAAAACCCTTCCCCTTGTAGCCTTTTCCTTGCTGTTTTTTTTTTTTGTTGTTGTTGTTGTTGTTACTAATGAATTATTCTGAAAGTATCCCAGGAAACGCAATGACAATGAGAGTGGTGGAACAGATGTGGGTTCTTTCTGGCAGTGGACTATATTGTCTCCCCGCCTCTCCACTCCCAGAGGACATTTGGCTGAAGTACCAGAGTCCAAGAAATGTCTTGTTACTAGGCAGATAGTCTCATCTGCATAGTGTGGTGGTTTTACTCCCTCACTTCAGTTCCACTGTATTTTATTTTGTTTTGCTGCATGATGGTGTTAGCTGTGTAATTCCCATTGGGCCAATTAGAATTGTGTATCTAAATGCACAAAATAAAGATGAGGCATCTGAAACCCAGAGAAAATAACTTGATCAATGTCGCAGCGCAAAATAGCTGAGGTGACCCTAGATCCAAATTCACTTAATTTCTAAACAAATTCTTTTCTCACTGTATATTATCATAGCCTCTTTTATAACGGATACATGCTCATCAGGAAAGAGCTTGGATTATGAGTAATTTACAGTTAGAATGGCTCTTCCTAATCATAGCTAACCTCCAGTGTACTATTTTATGTCTTTATGCTCACGAGGAAATAAAGTCTTAGAGAATATCCAAAGAGAGGGATTATAGTAATTATGACTATTAACTGGTACCTAAATGGGAGCAATGTGAACTACTTAAAGGAAGACACAGGAAGATAATTCATCTACCTCCGATTCCTCTACCTTGGCCCTATACTTTCTAGCCCAGGGAGATAGTCTGAACCAAGTGAAAATCAGTTTTTCTTCTGTTACTACAGGTCTGCTGAAACTATAAAAGTATTAATTTGCCCCCCTGTAGTTTCCCATTGTTACCTCTCTTTTTATATCCATTTTGTGACTATTACTTTTCTTTTTCTTTTTTTTTGAAATGACGTCTCGCCCTTGTTGCCCAGGCTGGAGTGTGATGGCGCAATCTCAGCTCACTGCAACCTCTGCCTCCTGGGTTCAAATGATTCTCCTGCCTTGGCCCCCTGAGTAGCTGGGAATACAGGAGCCTGCCACCACACCCAGCTAATTTTTTTCTTGTATTTTTAGTAGAGATGGGGTTTCACCATGTTGGCCAGGCTGGTCTAGAATTCCTGACCTCGGGTGATCCACCTGCCTCGTCCTTCCAAAGTGGTGGGATTACAGGTGTGAGCCCCCGCGCCCGACCGACTATTACTTTTCTACTATAAATCAAGACAAAAAGGGGCTTGGGGTAGGCAGGGGTTGGAGAACTGGGGAGCAGACAGTCTCAGTTAAACCTTTACTTGTATTTGCTCATGGCTGGAGTCCAGTCGTTGTGCTCCTCCCATTGTGAGCTAGAATACTCACAGTTGCTACTTCCTGAAGAACTGGAAAACTTGTCTGCCATAGTATCCCATAGCATTTGGATTGTGGACATAGGAGGACAGCTGATGCAACCTGAATCTGCAGGGAGATAGACCATGAGACAGAAGGCCGGTTGTTAGAGTACCTTGCATGGTACCATCCTATAATGCCAAACCAATCTTCTCACTGTCACCTCTCATGTTTGAATAATAATTGGAAAGAGCAAGACTTAGCAGGGAATAAAGTTACTTTTGAGCTACCAATTTTACTACTTAAAAAGTGGTGAATAGGTAGAGATGGATTCCAGTTGTCCTCACCATAGTAAGCTGTTGCCTCCAAAAGAAAGAGAATGAACCAAGAAGAATATAGTGGACACTGCATAGTATTGGCTCAACTAGATTCTGAGAAAAGGGACTTTCTGTAAAGGCTGCTACCTGGTCTTTGATACAGCAACTAGACATGTATTTTGGGGTTCTAAGATAAGGTTTTTGGCTCTGAGCAGCAGAGAGCTGAGAAGCAGGACATGAAGAATTGGACTTACCTGAACTATAGCCAAATGGATGTGACCGCTAATTGTAGATGGCAGGCTGGCTTTTGAGAGAACCCAGAATGAATAGTAAATCTCATTTTCAGCAGAAGAGAGTCTGCTATGAGGTTCACAGAAAATAGCTCTAGTAACAACAGCCCCATTGGGCACTAGATTGGATACCAGTTCCCATAGGTAAAACAATAATATTAGCTATTCTGCAAACGCAAAGCAAAAGCTAAAGAAAATCGCTAACCAACCATGACTTCCCTTTAAAATACAGTCTGGAAACAGAAGTCCCTTTATTCCTTCCCTTTGATTTCTTGCCCTTTTCCTGCATTGCTAGATAAGGAATGCAATGGCCAGAAGGAAGGGTGGATAATCTAAATTAAGTAGCGAATATTAGAGAATGTTTACATAATGGTGTTGGGCGGGGGGACATTTAGAATAGCCCCTTCAGTAGCAAGATTATGCTAAGTAAAGTACTTGTCTCATCTTAAGCTATTTTTGTTGAGACAGGGACTGTGCACAGCTCCCTCTCTAATGCCAATCCTTGCTTAATTTTCCCTCCAACGAAGTTTCTTACCTGTTCCTCTTTAGAATAAGAAATGCTGGAGGAATGGTCAGCGTTGAAGGAAGTAAGCCTATAAGGGAAGGCACAGAAGATGACATCAGGCTTTAGAATAGGTAGGCACAGAAAGACTGGTATCAAGCAAGAGGTCCCATATCCTAGAGGTTCAAAACAGATGTTCACTGGTAGGGAGAAAAGTGGGCAGATTTACCTGATAGGCTGATTAAACAGATACAAATGCCATTTAGATGCTTCTATAACTCTTGCCTATATTCTGATTCCTTCTCACCTTAGTGTTTATAGCTTTTGCCCCATCAACTGTTTTCTCTGTACATTTCCTAATAAAATCTCTGAAACACCCCAATCTCATTTTTATAGAGCTAAACTTTATATAAGTAGAGCTGTCTAGTGCCTGTGTGGTGTGATTTCATACAAGAAGGCCTTCTTTCCCAAGCCTATATTTTCCCTCCTTGGTAGCTGATGTCTGAAATTCTGTTATCTGGAGACGAATCTTTGATTCTACATTAAGTGATAAAGCAGGGACAAGTTTATTTTTGTACCTAACAAAAGTACCTTTCTCATAGTGGAAAATGCCTGTCAAATTTTTTGGAATTATATTTAAACTTCAGGACCCTCTAGGAAAGAAAACAAGACTTCCATTTCACACTTAAGGCAAGATCAGCTAATACCATAATATGGGTGGATGCCACAGTTTTTTTCCAACTCGTGGAAAATTTCATTAATTAATCATAGCATTGATTCCTGTTAAGCCTAGTAAGGGACAAAAATGCTCGTTGCCCACCAAAATACATTCTCCCATTCTTGCTTGATGTGTGGCTGCCCAGCTAGGGTACATTTTTCAGCTTCTTTTGCAGTTCTGTGCAGCCAAATGATTGTTATGATCAATAAAATGTGAGTAGAAGTGATGTATGCCATTTCCATGCCTGGGTCCTAAGACATAGGGTATGCTCTCCTTTCCATACTTTCTCCCACCAGCTGCAACTCAGATGTAATGGCTACCCAGTTTCAGTATACAGATGGGAGTGATTCCCTATGAGATGAAAGTACAATGACTTGGAAGGAAATCAAGTCCCTGAATGACTAAGAAACAGAATTCCCTCTCTGATTTGAACTTTTTACATTGATACTGTCATGTAAGAAATAATTAACACTCTTTTTGTTTAATCCATTGAATTGTTGATTCTCTTTCCTATAGTAGCCAATTTTTCTTCTCATAACTAATTCAACTGGATGCATCCCCAGAATCCTTCACGTAGCATTTCAGGTGGCTGCTACTAATAATTTAGAGTTGGCATGCAAGATAAAATTTATTTACCATCCTAGCACTAAAGGGATAAATCGCTGACAGCAGATCCTATTTTGAAAGCCGATTATGAAGAAGCTAGAGAACAGGAGTCTCTGAGAAGAAGGAGTACCATACAGAAGGGAATAGATATTAAAAGAGACTGAGACAATACAGACCAACCTTACCTTCTTTATAACCTTCCCTTAGGCCTGCTCTATGGTTCACAATACAGGTGGGAAAGATGTGCTCAGAGAAATTAGGGCCAACCAGATGGCTGGATGGAAAAGAATGTCTTACATGAAATAGTTTCCCTTGGTGGCAATGCTAGGGAGAGAGAAGATCAATAATGAAAAAAGTCAAAAGAACTATCCAGCACCAGCTTAGGAAGAAAGCATAGGTCTTGCAAACAAGTCAGAACAATGTCTAAGAATTTGCTATGTTAAGTTTTTTTCTTCCAACTTTTATTTTAGGTTCAAGGGGTACTTTTGCAGCAAAAGCCAATGGGTAAATTTCCATGGGTAAATTGTGTGTCATGGGCTTTGATGTACAAATGATTTCATTACACTGGTAGTGAGCATAGTACCTGATAGGTAGATTTTTTGATCCTCACTCTCCTCCCATCCTATGTTAATCTTTTAACATCTTTGGAAAATAAGAATTGGCACTAGCTTATGCATTCCAGTAGCCCATCTACATAAAACCAGTGAGGGGGCCTCATGATATCAAGATAGTGGACTTAAAAGAAATGGGATACGTACTGTTCATCTTGTTTAGTCCCTTTGTGTTTGTTTTTCAGTGTCCTAAAGTGGATATTAAGCAAGCTGAGAGTAATTTGAGTACCGCTTTATTCTGTGGTAGAGTTACCTAGAAAACATATGGGTTGAGGGCATGTAATCATGTCCCCCATATCTGTGAAAATGGACAGTAAGAAGTGGTAAACATTGTTAGGGGCAGGGTTCCACTAGGAAATTTGGATAAAGAGAAATGTAAATTTCATATTTTCTACTCATAGGCCATTTTACCATTAGCAGTAATATCTAAATACTGAAAACAGTAATTATAGGAAATCTTGGGAACTAAAAGTCAACTTAATGATGATTATAATTTTCCTAGACTTAACACCCATTCTTTTGGTATACTGACAGTCCCTAATGAGGATACAAGCCATTGGTCTAAAATAGGCATTGCTTGTCACAACCAAATTCCTCATTTATGTCAATGTCTGCTTTAACTAAGTTCCTTTGGCTTCATATCTATATAGCCTTTCCAACCAGTGAAAGTGTCAACATTCCCACAGTCAGCTGTTTCCTCTATAACTTCATTTACCTTTGATTTGAATTTCATTTCCAGCATTGTGACTTTAGTTTCTTTCTTGAGCTTTCATTTTTATTGGCCAATTCCCTCTTTCATTATATGTTTTTGTTAAATGTCACTTGGGTTTATCACTGGCAGACAAAGAGGCAACACAAACACATGGTTTGTTCTCTGCACATGTACTGAATAGCTGATAAGTGACCAGTCACCAAAGACTGTGAAAGAAGTGATGTGATTCATAATTGATCATGATGCACATCTGTTAGTTATATAGTAATTTACATACTGAAAACCTAGCAGTGAAATTTGTACTTTATTTAATATCACAGTCAATATACCATGGTAACTGAAATTTAAACTGTGTTGTTGGGGTACTTGTATTATTTAACTAAACCATGGTGCAAAGTGAGGAATATCTGAGTCTTTACTTTGAATATTGACCACTTTAGTATGTTTGTGAATATATATGTGAAATTGTTTTTTTTAAACAGTGAGATGTCAATTGTAGGCTCTCATGTTTGCTGTTTTAAAGTAGATGTTCGATAGAGTATAATCACATGTAGATTTCAATAGATGGCCCTATCTACAATGCACTAACTGTCATATACTACACGTGGAGTAAACAAAAAAGTCTATTTTGCTATTTCAGGGATGTCAAGGCCAGTGTCTTCAAGGGGAATTCTGTAGCTTTGTACATAAAGAAACCCAGTTACACCAAAACACTCATTGTCTACCAGACCTTCTGGGATTAATTCTATTCAAGATAGCAAGAAAAATTACTAAGCCAAACAAAATTTTGAATTGCCAATCAGAAATACAGTCACAAATTGGATAAATATTGTCATGGTGGTCTTTTAAACCTTACTTTCAGTTTTTTTTTTTTTTGTGTGAGTTTAGATCAATAACAGGACTTAGAGGCTTTTACCTTCAAAGAGAAAGTGACCTCATGTTCCCAATGACTAGGGCCTCTTGAGAGGAAGTATGCCTAATAATTAAAAGCAAATACTCTAGGGCATCATGGCCCAATATGGTAGCTACTAGCCATATATGACTATTGAGTACTTAAAATGTGGCTAGTACAAATTGAGATGTATTATAAATGTAAAATACATACTGAATTTATGAATTGATTTTTATAATTACCACATGTTAAAATAATATTATTTGGATACAGTAGTTTAAATTACATATATTATTAAACTTTCAAAAATAAAACAAATAGGAGTTGGAAAGCTATGGCTTACCACCTGTTTTTGTTTGTCCCACAAGCTAACAATGGGTTTTCCATCTCTAAATGCTTAAATTTTTAAAGGAATATTTTATTACATGTGAAAATTATATGAAATTTAAATTTCAGTTTCCATAGTACTTATTGGGAAAGTACCATGTCCATTCATTTTCATATTGTCTATGGCTGCTTTTGTGCTATAATGGCACTGCTGAGTAGTTGTGACAGATAGCATATGGAATGCAAAGTCTATACCAGTTATTCTCACCTCAGGGCAATTTTACCTCCTATGGGACATCTAGAAATGTCTGGAAAATGTTTTTATTGTCACAACTGAGAATAAGATGTTATTGGCACCTAGGGAGTAGAAGTCAGGGATGCAGTTAAATACCCTACAGTGAAAAGGAAAGCACTCCACAACAAAGAATTATCTGGCCCAAAATGTGAATACTGTTGAGGTTGAGAAACCCTGGCCTAATCTACTTATTGTCTGGCCCTTTGAGGAAAAAAAATTTCTAACCTCTTGTCTAAAAACAAGTCATTTTGGTTGGGCGCTGTGGGTCATGCCTGTAGTCCCAGCATTTTGGGAGGCTGAGGCAGGTGGATTGCCTGAGCTTAGAGAGTTTGAGACCAGCCTGGGCAAAATGGAGAAACCCCATCTCTATCAAAAATACAAAAAATTAGCTGGACATGGTGGCACACGTATGTGGTTCTAACTACTTGGGAGACTGAGGTGGCAGGATGACCTGAGCCTGGGAGGCAGAGGTTACAGTGAGCTGAGATTGTGCCACTGCACTCCAACATGGGTGACAGAGGGAAGACCCCATCTCAAAATAAATAAATGAAATAAAAACTGTTTTAAAACTAGGACTTGTCAACAGAGAGTCAAACTCTATAAAATATTTGAAGAGATTTATTCTGAGCCAAGTAAATATGAGTGACCAATAGCTCATGACACAGCTCCAAGAGACCTGAGAACATGTACCCAAAGTAGTCAGGCTACAGCTTGGTTTTATACATTTTAGGGAAACATAAGACATCAATCAATGCATGTAAGATGTACATTGGTTGGGTCTGAAAATGTGGGACAACTCTAAGTGGGGGCTTCCAGGTCATAGGAAGACTCAGAGGTTTTCTGATTAAAGTCTTGAAATCAATAGAAGGGAGTATCTGCATTAACATAAGGGGCTTCTGAGACTAAGGCTCTTATGCAGATGAAGCCTCCAGGTAGGAGGCTTCAGAGAGAATAGATTGTAAATGTTTCTTATCAGACTTAAAAAGGTACCAGACTCTTAGTTAATTCTCTCCTGGATAAGCGAAAAGATCTGGAAAGGGAAGGGCATTCTCTACAGAATGTAGGTTTCCCCACAAGAGACAGCTTTGCAGGGCCATTTAAAAATATGTTGAATAAATATATTTTGGGGCCTGCTATCTGTTGTGTTCATATCTTATTGCTACAAAGAGTCTACTTTGTCAATCTTAAGGTCTCTGTTTTAATGTTAATGTTGGTCATTTGTGTCTAAATTCCAAAGGGAGGAGGATATAATGAGGCATGCCTGACCACCCACTTCCATCATGGCCTGAATTAGTCTTTCAGGTTAACTTTAGAATGCCCTTGGCTGAGAGGAGGGGTCCATTCAGTTGGTTGGGGGGCTTAGAATTTCATTTTTGGTTTACAGACCTTATATATTCTTATTTATTTTACTTAGTTATATTTGACTATTCTTATTTCCTTGAAAGAGTCAAGAATTGCCAAGATGAAACACCTTTGGGGTATCTGGACAGGTTTTACCTCTGTCAACCCTTGCAAGAAAATTAGAATTGACTTACCTTGGGGATGGAGAATAGGTGACAC
The DNA here is from genome assembly GCF_000001405.40 of Homo sapiens. Classification (NCBI taxonomy): domain Eukaryota; kingdom Metazoa; phylum Chordata; class Mammalia; order Primates; family Hominidae; genus Homo; species Homo sapiens. Next base: position 73,809,565 of record NC_000023.11, on the reverse strand, counting down.
TTGTGAATGAAGAAAATATTGTAGTGAAGGCCTTGTGATTGGGAAAATCAGAGGGCTTGGTGAGGGTACAAATGTTGGCTGTTGCTGAAAAGGCTTCTGTGATGGAGAGTGAAGCAACTGGGGTGCAGTGGGGTGGTGGCAGTGGTGCCAGTGGTGCCAATGGTGGTAGTAGCTGCTGAGTGTCAGGCCTCTGAGCCCAAGCCTGCACATATACATCCAGATGGCCTGAAGCAACTGAAGAATCACAAAAGAAGTGAAAATGGCCGATTCCTGCCTTAACTGATGACATTACCTTGTGAAATTCCTTCTCCTGGCTCAGAAGCTCCCCCACTGAGCACCTTGTGACCACTACCCCTGCCTGCCAGAGAACAACTCCCTTTGATTGTAATTTTCCACTACCTACCCAAATCCTATAAAACTGCCCCATCCCTATCTCCCTTTGCTGACTTTCTTTTCAGACTCAGCCCGCCTGCACCCAGGTGATTAAAAAGCTTTATTGCTCACACAAAGCCTGTTTGGTGGTCTCTTCCCACGGATGCACGTGACATTTGGTGCCATAACTCAGATCAGGGGACTTCCCTTGGGAGATCAATCCCCTGTCCTCCTGTTCTTTGCTCCGTGAGAAAGATCCACCTATGACCTCTGGTCCTCAGACCAACCAGCCCAAGGAACATCTCACCAATTTTAAATCTGGTAAGCAGCCTCTTTTTGCTCTCTTCTCCAACTTCTTTCACTATCCCTCAACCTCTTTCTCCTTTCAATTTCTGTGCTACCCTTCAATCTCTCCCTTCCCTTAATTTCAGTGCCTTTCCTTTTCTGGTAGAGACAGAGGAGACATGTTTTATGTGTGAACCCAAAACTCTGACGATGGTCATGGTCTCGGGAAGACAGTCTTCCCTCAGTGTTTAATCACTGCGGGGATGCCTGCCTGATTATTCACCCACATTTCAGAGGTGTCTGATCACCATGGGGATGCCTGCCTTGATCCTTCACCTTGGTGGCAAGCACCACCTCCCCGGGAGGCAAGTACCCCCCACCCCTTCTCTCCGTGTCTCTACCCTCTCTTTTCTCAGGGCTTGCCTCCTTCACTATAGGCAAACTTCCACCCTCCATTCCTCCATCTTCACCCTTAGACTGTGTTCTCAATAACTTAAAACCTCTTCAACTCACACCTGACCTAAAACCTAAACATCTTATTTTCTTCTGCAATACCACTTGACCCCAATACAAACTTGACAATGGTTCCAAATAGCCAGAAAACAGCACTTTCGATTTCTCCATCCTACAAGATCTAGATAATTCTTGTCGTAAAATGGGCAAATGGTCTGAGGTGCCTGATATCCAGGAATTCTTTTGCACATCAGTCCCTATCGGGGGACCTGCCCTGATAATCACGTAGGTTCTTTTCTATTTCCCTAAGCATTGACTGGCTTGAGAAATAAAAGGACAGAGTACAAAAGAGATAAATTTTAAAGCTGGGCATCTGGGGGAGACATCACACATCGGTAGGATCTGTGATGCCCCACAAGCCACAAAAACCAGCAAGTTTTTATTAGGGATTTTCAGAAGGGGAGGGAGTGTGCGAATAGGTGTGGGTGACAGACATCAAGTACTTAACAGGGTAATAGAATATCACAAGGCAAGTGGAGGCAGGGTGAGATCACAGGACCACAGGACCAAGGTGAAATTAAAATTGCTAACGAAGTTTAGGGCACCACTGTCATTGATAATATCTTATCAGGAGACAGGGTTTTGAGATCAACCGGTCTGACCAAAATTTATTAGGTGGGAATTTCCTTTTTCTAATAAGCCTGGGAGCGCTATGGGAGACTGGAGTTTATTTCACCCCTGCAGTCTCAACCATAAGAGACAGGTACGCCCCAGGGGGGCCAGTTCAGAGACCTACCCCTAGGTGCGCATTCTCTTTCTCAGGGATATCCCATGCTGAGAAAAAGAATTCAGCGATATTTCTCCCATTTGCTTTTGAAAGAAGAGAAGTATGGCTCTGTTCTGCCCAGCTCACCGGCAGTCAGAGTTTAAGGTTATCTGTCTTATTCCCTGAACAATTGCTGTTATCCTGTTCATTTTTCAGGGTGCCCACATTTCATATTGCTCAAACACACATGCTGTACAATTTGTGTAGTTAATGCAATTATTACAGGGTCCTGAGACAATATACATCCTCCTCAACTGACAAGATTGAGATTAAATTAAAGACAGGCATAGGAAATCACAAGGGTATTGATTGGGGAAGTGATAAGTGTCCATGAAATCTTTACAATTTATGTTTAGAGATTGCAATAAAGACAGGCATAAGAAATTACAAAAGTATTAATTTGGGGAACTAATAAATGTCCATAAAATCTTCACAATCCACATTCTTCTGCCATGGCTTCAGCCGGTCCCTCCATTTGGGGTCCCTGACTTCCTGCAACAAGTCTTTTCCTAATCTCTGCTCCCAATGTGACTCATCCCAAATCTTTCTTCTTTCTCTCCTGTCTCTTCCTTCAGTCTCCACCCCAAGCTCTGAGTCCTTTGAATCCTCCTTTTCTACAGACCCATCTGACCTCTCCCCTCCTCCCCAGGCTGCTCCTCACCAGGCTGAGCCAGGTCCCAATTTTTCCTCAGCCTCTGCTCTCCCACCCTATAATCCTTCTATCACCTCCCCTCCTCACACCTGGTCCAGCTTACAGTTGCGTTCTGTGGCTAGCCCTCCCCCATCTACCCAACAGTTTCCTCTTACAGAGGTGGCTGAAGCTGAAGGCATAGTCAAGGTTAATGCTCCTTTTTCTTTAGCTGACCTCTCCCAAATCAGTTAGTGTTTAGGCTCTTTTTCATCATATATAAAAACCCAGCCCAGTTCATGGCCCATTTGGCAACAACCCTTAGACACTTTACCACCCTAGCTAGACCCAGAAGGGTCAGAAGGCCGTCTCATTCTCAATATGCATTTTATCACCCAGTCAGCTCCTGACATTAGAAAAAGCTCCAAAAATTAGACTCCAGCCCTCAAACCCCACAACAGGAATTAATCAACCTCACCTGCAAGGTGTACAATAATAGAGAAGAGTTGCAATTACTTGCCTCCACTGTGAGAGAAACCCCAGCCACATCTCCAGCACACAAGAACTTCATAGCACCTAAGCCACAGCAGTCAGGCATTCCTTCCAGACCTCCTCCCCCAGGATCTTGCTTCACACGCTGGAAATCTGGCCACTGGGCCAAGGAATGCTGCAGCCTGGGATTCCTCGTAAGCCATGTCCCATCTATGCAGGACCCCACTGGAAATAGGATTGTCCAACTCACCTGGCAGCTACTCCTACAGCCCCTAAAGCTCTGGTCCAAGGCTCTCTGACTGACACTTTCCCAGATCTGCTTGGCTTAGCAGCTGGAGACTGACGCTGCCTGATCACCTCAGAAGCCTCCTGGACCATCACAGACACTTTAGGTAACTCTTACAGTGGAAGGTAAGTCCATCCCCTTCTTAATCAATATGGAGGCTACCCACTCCACATTACCTTCCTTTCAAGGGCCTGTTTCCCTTGCCCCCATAACGGTTGTGGGTATTGACGGCCAAGCTTCAAAACCCCTTAAAACTCTCCCACTCTGGTGCCAACTTGGACAACATTCTTTTATGCACTCTTTTTCAGTTATTCCCACCTGCCCAGTTCTCTTATTAGGCCAAGACATTTTAACCAAATTATCTACTTCCCTGGCTATTCCTGGACTACAGCCACACCTCATTGCCGCCTTTTCCCCAGTTCAAAGCCTCCTTCGCATCCTCCCCTTGTATCTCCCCACCTTAATCCACAAGTATAGGACACCTTTACTCCCTCCTTGGGGACCGATCATGCACCCCTTAGCATCCCATTAAAACACAATCACCCTTACCCCGCTCAATGCCAATATCCCATCCCACAACATGCTTTAAAAAGGTTAAAGCCTGTTATCACTCGCCTGCTGCAGCATGAGCTTCTGAAGCCTATAAACTCTCCTTACAATTCTCCCATTTTACCTGTCCAAAAACCGGACAAGTCTTACAGGTTAGTTCAGGATCTGCACCTTATCAACCAAATTGTTTGCCTATCCACCCCATGGTGCCAAACCCATATACTCTCTTATTCTTAATACCTCCCTTCACAACCCCTCCACAACCCATTATTATGTTCTGGATCTCAAATATGCTTTCTTTACTATTCCTTTGCACCCTTCCTCCAAGGCCCTCTTTACTTTTACCTGGACTGACCCTGACACCCATCAGTCTCAGCAACTTACCTGGGCTGTACTGCTGCAAGGCTTCAGGGACAGCTCCTATTACTTCAGTCAGGCCCTTTCTCATGATTTACTCTCTTTCCATCCATCTACATCTCACCTTATTAAATATTTTGATGACCTTCTACTTTATAGCCCCTCCTACAAATCTTCCCAACAGGACACCCTCCTGCTGCTCCAACAATCTATTCTCAAAAGGACATTGCACATCTGCCTCCAAAGCCCAAATTTCTTCCTCATCCGTTATATATCTTGACATAATTCTTCATAAAAACACACATGCTCTCCCTGCTGATCGTGTCTGGCTAATCTCCCAAACCCCAACCCCCTTGACAAAGCAACAACTCCTTTCTTTCCTGAGCATGGTTCAGTACTTTTGCCTTTAAATACCTAGCTTTACTGTCCTGACTAAACCATTATATAAACTCACAAAAGAAAACCTAGCTGACCCCATAGATCCTAAATCCTTTCCCCACTCCTTTTTCCATTTCTTAAAACAGCCCTGGAAGCTGCTCCCACACTAGCTCTCCCTAACTCATCTGAACCCTTTTTCATTACACACAGCTGAAGTGCAGGGCTGTGCGGTCAGAATTCTTACACAAGAGCCAGGACCATGACCTGTAGCCTTTCTGTCCAAGCAACTTGATCTTACTGTTTTAGGCTGGCTCCCACATTATTCCTGATACCACACCTGACCCCCATGACTGTATCTTTCTGATCTACCTGACATTCACTCCATTTACCCATATTTCATTCTTTCCTGTTCCTCACCCTGATCACACTTGGTTTATTGATGGCAGTTCCATCAGGCCTAATTGTCACTCATTAGCAAAGGCAGGCTATGCTATAGTATCTTCCACATCTATCCTTGATGTTACCACTCTGTCCACCTCCACTACCTGTCAGCAAGCCAAACTCATTGCCTTAACTCAGGCTCTCACTCTTGCAAAGGGACTACACATCAATATTTATACTGACTCTAAATATGCCTTCCATATCCTGCACCACCATGCTGTTATGTAGGCTAAAAGAGGTTTCCTCGCTATGCAAGTGTCCTCCATCATTAATGCCTCTTTAATAAAAACTCTTCTCAAGGCCACTTTACTTCCAAAGGAAGCTGGAGTCATTCACTCCAAGGGCCATCAAAAGGCATCAGATCCCATCACTCAGGACAGTGCTTATGCTGATAAGGTAGCTAAAGAAGCAGCTAGTGTCCCAACTTCTGTCCCTCATGGCCAGTTTTTCTCCTTCTCATCTGTCACTCCCACCTACTCTCCCACTGAAACTTCCACCTATCAATCTCTTTCCACACAAGGCAAATGGTTCTTGGAACAAGGAAAATATCTCCTTCCAGCCTCACAGGCCTATTCTATTCTGTTGTCATTTTGTAACCCCTTCCATGTAAGTTGCAAGCTGCTATCCTGCCTCTTAAAACCTCTCATTTCCTTTCCTTTGTAAAAATCTATCCTAAAAAAATCACTTCTCTGTCCCATCTGCTATACTACTACTACTCAGGAATTCCTCAGGCCCCCTCCCTTCCCTACACATCAAGCTCGAGAATTTGCCCTGCCCAGGACTGGCAAATTGACTTTACTCACATGCCCCGAGTCAGGAAACTAAAATACCTCTTGGTCTGGGTAGACACTTTCATTGGATGGGTAGAGGACTTTCCCACAGGGTCTGAGAAGGCCACCATAGTCATTTCTTCCCTTCTTTCAGACATAATTCCTAGGCTTGGCCTTCCCACCTCTATACAGTCTGATAATGGACCGGCCTTTATTAGTCAAATCACCCAAGCAGTTTCTCAGGCTCTTGGTATTCAGTGGAACCTTCATACCCCTTACCATTCTCAATCTTCAGGAGAGGTAGAATGGACTAATGGTCTTTTAAAGACACATCTCACCAAGCTCAGCCTCCAACTTAAAAAAGATTGGACAGTACTTTTACCTCTTGCCTTTCTCAGAATTAGAGCCTGTCCTTGAGATGCTAGAGGGTACAGTCCATTTAAACTTTTATATAGACACACTTTCTTGCTTGGCCCCAACCTCGTCTCAGACACCAGTCCTCTAGGAATCTATCTGCTGGTCCTCCAGCAGGCAAGACAGGAAATTTGCCAAGCTGCTAATCTTTTCTTGCCTACTCCATATTCCCAGCCATATAAAGACACCCTAGATGGACGATCAGTTCTTGTTAAGAATCTGACCCCTCAAACTCTATAACCTTGATAGACCGGACCCTACTTAGTCATCTATAATACCCCAACTGCCATCCGCCTGTAAGACCCTCCCTATTAGGCTCACCATTCCAGAATAAAGCTGTGTCCATTGGACAGCCAGCCTAATCTCTCCTCTTCCTCCTAGAAGTTGCAAGTACTCAACCCTACTTCCCTTAAACTCACTCACATTTCTGAAGAACAGTAGTAACCCTTATGAGCCTAAAACATCCTTTCATTCTATTAAGTTTATTACCCTACTTATTGCAACAAGGCTTTATGCAGTCACCCCCACTACTTGGACTGCAACCCCAAAACTTGTCATCCCTACTATCTTCTGTCTAGTCATACTCCTATTCACCATTCTCAACTACTCGTAAATGCCCTGCCCTTGTTTACACTGCCAGTTTACACTTTTCCTCCAAACCATCATAACTCATATCTCCTGGTTTTACCTCAAACCACCTTCCTTAAGTCTCTCTTGAAGTGGATAGAAGATCTTCAGTGACAAGGTACACTCCAATACTTTCACCCTAATAAAGTCCTATTCTTTACCTTTATATTCACTCTTATTCTCATTCCTGTTCTTATGCGACCCTCTACCTCTCCCCAGCTATCTCCACCACACTATCAATCTCATTCACTCTCTCCTAGCTGTTTCTAATCCTTCTTTAAAAAATGATTGCTGGCTTTGCATTTCTCTTTCCTCCAAAATCACTGAGGCCTTGACTTACTGCTCAAAAAAAGGGGACTGTGTGTATTTTTAAATGAAAAGTGTTGTTTTTACCTAAATCAATCTGGCTTGGTATATGACAACATAAAAAAACTCAAGGATAGAGCCCAAAAACTCATCAACCAAGAAAATAATCACGCTGAACCCCCTTAGGCACTCTGATTGGATGTCCTGAGTCCTCCCAATTCTTAGTCCTTTAATACCTGTTTTTCTCCTTCTGTTATTGGGACCTTGTGTCTTCTGTTTAGTTTCTCAATTCATACAAAACTGTATCCAGGCCATCACCAATCATTCTATGTGACAAATATTCCTTCTAACAAATCCACAATATCACCCCTTACCACAAAATCTTCCTTCAGCTTTATCTCTCCCACTCTAGGTTCCCACGCCACCCCTAATCCCACTCAAAGCAACCCTAAGAAACATCACCCAGTAACTCTCCATACCACCCCCCAAAAAATTTTTCACCGCCCCAACACTTCAACACTATTTTGTTTTATTTTTCTTATTAATATAAAAAGACAGGAATGTCAGGCCTCTGAGCCCAAGCCTGCATGTATACATCCAGATGGCCTGAAGCAACTGAAGAATCACAAAATAAGTGAAAATGGCTGGTTCCTGCCTTAGCTGATGACATTTGTGAAATTCATTCTCCTGGCTCAGAAGCTCCCCCACTGAGCACCTTGTGTCCTCCACCCCTGCCCGCCAGAGAACAACCCCCTTTGACAGTAATTTTCCACTACCTACCCAAATCCTATAAAACTGCCCCACCCCTATCTCCCTTTGCTGACTCTCTTTTCAGACTCAGCCTGCCCGCACCCAGGTTATTAAAAAGCTTTATTGCTCACACAAAGCCTGTTTGGTGGTCTCTTCACATGGACGTGTGTGACACTGAGGATGCTGCATTTTGCTTTCATGATCCCAAAGACCCTTTAAAAAGAAAGAGTCAGGAAATGGGGTGGGGGGTATAAAGAGAAAATATAACATAGAAAACTTAAATAGAGCATGTAACAATTGTGTGTATCTCTGTGATTCTTATACTCAAAGGATCATCACAGAATCTTGGAATTTTGTAGGAATGGCAAATATTCTGATGACCTGCTAGTGTGTTAGCCAGTAGGGGTAATATTGAAACAAAGTAATTTTTGCTTTTTTGTAGTTTGGCTGAGGAAAAGGCTTAAAACACATTAGTGTGGCCATCCTCACTGCTACATTCCCATCAGCACCATGACAGTTTACAAATGCCATGGCAATGTCAGGAAGTTACCCTATATGGTCTAAAATGGGAAGGCATGAACAATCCACCCCTTGTTTAGTATATCATCAAGAAAAAAACACAAAAATGGGCAACCAGCAGCCCTTGGGGTTACTCTGTCTATGGAGTAGCCATTCTGTTACTCCTTTACTTTCCTAATAAACTTGGTTTTGCTTTGCACTGCGGACTCGCCCTGAATTCTTTCTTGCACAAGATCCAAGAACCCTCTCCTGGGGGCCTGGATCAGGATCCTTTTCCTATAACATCTTTCTGATTATCACAGAAGGGACTATAGTGCAGAAATACCTGACCCAAAGGTTAATTTTGGGTAAGTGTTGGGGGTCCTATAACATCTTTTTGGCAACCACTGAAGTGACTATAATGCAGAAACCCCCAATCCAAAGGCTAACTTTGGGTAAGTGGTGGGGCCTGATAACATCTTTCTGGTGAAACTCGAAGGGATGATACTGAGGAGACCCCCAGCACAAAGGAAATAGACTGCAGCATTACTAATTGGACAACTTTGGGTAAGTGGTGGGGTACTCAGGCAAAGGATGGGATTGGTTATAGCTCAACTTAGGGGAGTTAGAGTCTCTCGTAAGAGAGGGTTAAAGCTTCCTCTCAATAAAAGGCAAGGATGCTTGACTGACACTGGGTTAGAGGCCCAACTTAGGAGGATTAGAGTCCCTTTTAAGATTTAGGGGGTTAGAGGTCCCTCTCAGTAAAGTCCCTCTCCTTAAAGTCCCTTTCGGCTAAGAACAGGTTTGGCATTATAGGATGTTAACCGCTATTCTCTTTGGATTGATCTGCCTTGCACTCTTTGCTGATGGCTATGGTTGACAGAATTAGGCATGTAGAGGATTGTAGAACATGGGGAGCTTTTCCCTCCTAAAAAGGGAAATGAGAGCTGATGGGACTGCTGGAAAAAATCCGTTCATGACTGACAAGCAGCTGCATGAACTTTTCAGTGTTGCTGCAATGGGTGGGGCTTTCTCTGGCACTCGGAGTGCCGGGCCTTCCCCACCCTGCCTCAGGCAATGCTTTCCTCTCTCTCTCTCTATAAAACTGGTTGAATGGATGGCAAAAATCACTGTTCATTTCCTCTGTAAAGTTTTGATTAGTGAAAAAATGGATTTATGAGGCTAGTCTTAAGTTGTAGCAAATCTGTTGTGTGTCTTTCTGTATTGTTCTGTCATAAAGAGGGGTATCTTAGGATAGAACATGAGCTTAGGACACCTGTAAACCTGCTGTTCAAGATGGCCCAGTAAATTTATCAGGTACAAACTTTGCTGCAGGTCCCTGAAAAAACTGGATGAGGTTTCCTTCTTGTTTTGTATGTCCTTGGGAGCTTGACCTTGTAACCATGTGGCTGTGCTTTTTCTTTTCACAATGGTGGCCTGTGTTCAGGGTTTGATTCCTGCCTTAGGGGATAAGTCCTTTATCTTCTTCTGTGTATTTATTTATTAATTTTTTGAGACAGGGTCTCCCTCTGTCACCCAGCCTGGAGTGCAGTGGCACAATCTTGGCTCACTGCAACCTCTACCTCCTGGGTTCAAGCTATCCTCCTGCCTCAGCCTCCTGAGTAGCTGGGATTACAGGCATCCTCCACCATGCCCAGCTAATTTTTGTATTTTTAGTGGAGATGGGGTTTTACCACATTGACCAGGCTGCTCTCAAACTCCTGACCTCACGTGATCCGCCTGCCTTGGCCACCCAAAGTGCTGGGATTACAAGTGTGAGCCACTGCACCCAGCCTGTCTGTGTATTTATATGTGTTGTGTGTGTGATATAAAAAAGCTTTAATTGGTTCAAAAATAATAAGTGCTTAAATCAGATATTTCATCAGAAAACTAAAATGTATAATGCCTTTTAGTTCATTTGACTTAAGTAATCTTTGGAAAATAGAAAATAGTTTTAAAGATTACTGATAAAATAAAAATATCTTCAAAAATGTAAACATTTGGTCTAAATTAGTCAGGTCAGATATTAAGTTTGCTAACTACTTTAAGGTCATAAACTGCTTCCTTGACTTTTGAAAATTATTCAATGTACCTACCTTGGAGACATTAGATTCTAGATAAGGTCTGGGGACATGTGGAGAGCCAGGCACCCTAGCTGTACTGGAAAGAGTCAGACCTTATCTGCACTTCTGCTTGATGTGTCCTAGGCTAGGCTCCACACTAGTACATAAATAAAATCTCTTTGGGCCTGGATTGGGACCTCTTTCCTGTAACAATTCTAGAACTTTGGGAGGCCAAGGCAGGAGGATTGCTTGGGGCCAGGAGTTCAAGACCAGTTTGAGCAACATAGTGAGACCCTGTGTCTATGAAAATAAAAAAAAATTAAAAACTAGCTGTGTGTAGTGGCACACACCTGTAGTCCTAACTACTCGGGAGGCCGAAATGGAAGGATCCCTTGAGCCCTGGAGTTCAAGGTTATAGTGAGCTATGATTGTGCCACTGCACTCTAGCCCAGGTGAGAGATAAGAGCCTGTCTCAAAAATAAAAAAATTGCAGATAATTTGTATGGAGTGAGAAGTAGGACTTAGACCTTTTGAACACTGTCCCAGTTACCATGTTGCCATCCTTCTTTTCCCTTCCCTCTAATTTTTCTATATAATGTCTAAAAATAAAATAAGAAGCCTAGAAAATCTACACTCAAAGTTCTCAGTTTTGGAGTGATCAAAAATGATTATAAGTGTAAATATTGAAAAAGGAGGACTTGGGATCTATCAAAGGAGTTCACTGAACTGTCAAAGTATGGAATAAAAACAGTATAGGAAATGAGACAAAAAAGAACAAAGAAAATAAAACAAAGATACAGAAGAACTTGAAGATTGCTTTGGGGAGGATAGGAGCAAAAGTGAAGTTAAGCATTATTAAACATATGTAAAGATAGGCCTGATGTTGTTACCATGGTTGGGGTTTCCTGTAATATATTTGAAGTAATGTCATCCTTCCATCTTCCTAATAAATCTTACTTGTTCACTGATCACATCAGTGATTTCTCTTAATTTCTTGACTCCAAAGTAGATATATTTGTCAGTTTATGCAGATTATACCTGCATTTGTGGGATTGTTTGATTAATATATGTCTTCATCCCTCTTCAGACTGGAAGCTTCCTGAAGACAGAGGCCAAGGTCTATTTTAACCACCTTTGTGTTTCTATTACCTGGCACATTCAGGCTCTCAACAAATACATGTTGCCTGAATGAATGAATAACCCAGCAATTAAGCCCAATGTGATATCTAGGTTACTGGTCCTGGTTTAGTTAGCCACTGTTCACAACCCACATGTTCTAGCTCCATACCTTTCCATCTCTATACTAAAGAATCCACTTCTCTCTTATTTCATCTCTACAGTAGAGATGCTCAAAGGGAATTTTTTTTTTTTAGAGAAGTCTCCCTCTTGTCCCCCAGGTTTGAGTGCAATGGCTCGATCTCAGCTCAGTGCAACCTCCACCTCCCGGGTTCAAACAATTCTCCTGCCTCTGCCTCCCAAGTAGCTGGGATTAAGTTGCCTGCCACCACTTCCGGCTAATTTTTGTATCTTTTAGTAGAGACAATGTTTAGTAGAGTCACCATGTTGGCCAGGCTTGTCTTGAACTCCTGACCTCAGGTGATCCTCCCACCTCGGCCTCCCAAAGTGCTGGGATTATGGGTGTGAGCCACTGCACCCGGCCTTTTTTTTTTTTGGCTCAAAGGGAATTTCTTCAGACTTTCTGTTTTGGGTTCATCACTATTTAATTCCCCAATCCACTATAGTCAGCCTACCACTCCCACAACTCCACCGATAGTGTTTTGATAAAAATCACCAATGATCTATCTAAGGGACTCATTATGCTCATCTAAACTGGCAGCTGGCTAACCTGTTTCTGTTGTTATAATTCCTCTTCTCTCTTTTAAAAAACTCCTGCCTCTCTCCCTTAGTTGCTGTAACATATCACTCTATTGGTTTACCTTTAACCTCTCTGGCTATTATTTTTGAACCTACTTGGGCTTTTGCTTGAAGGGTTTACTGCTGTCTTTCCAGATTAAAGTGTTTTAATTACAGAAGCTTTATCTTTACCATAATAGAATTAAAACATTTGCTTATACTATGATAAGAATGATAAATATTAGCAATGAGAAAGAATTTATTGATGTGTAGATAAATGAGGCAATGTAACTATAACACTACCTAGATAAAGATGATTCCATGTTTTCCTGATTTAGTTGAAACTGATTATCTGGCTGAGTTTAGATAGTTTTCTGCCCAGAAGCCAGAACGTTGACTAGGTAACTTATAAGATACTCCTTCTATCCCTGGCATTCTACCATTTATACCACATTTTATGTGTATTTAAAAATATCCAGCCATAGCCAGTCACTCTTCTCACATGGTGGACAGTGGTTCCACTTTTAATTGCTTATTTACAAAGAGATTGACATCTGTATTAAGCTCTATCTCAAAGATGTTTTCATGTTCCTTCTCCACATTGCTTGTGTGAGTCTAAAAAAAAAAAAAGAACAGCAAAGAGATAGCCCTGAACAATGCTATATCCACATGGGACCTGGACTTAGGGAATGACATAAAAATAGAATTAGGGGTTGTGATTTCCACTAGCTACTTTGCTGTCATAGACTGCATATCATCTTTATATGAAATTGCCTTCCATCTAGGTGTTATAGACTGAATTGTGTCCTCTCAAAATTCATATGTTGTAGGTCTGACTCCAAATGTGACTGTATTTGGAGATAGAACCTTTAAGGAGGTAATTAAGGTTAAATGAGGTCATAAGGGTGGAGCCCTAATCCAGTAGGACTGGTGTCCTTATAAGAAGGTGAAGAGGCATCAAACCTCTCTCTCCTCACATACTCAGAGGAAGGACATTTGAAGACACAGTGAGAAAGCGGCCATTGGCAAGCAAGGAAGAGAGACTTCACCAGAAATCAAACTTGCTGGCACTTTCATCTTAGACTTCTAGCCTCCAGAACTGTGAGAAAATAAATTGTTATTTAAGCCACTTGGTCTGATATTTTGTTATGGCAGCTGAGGCAAACTCATAAAGTAGGTGAAGGTGTTTTTACAGAGAAGTTGTAAAAGATACACTTTCCTATCCATTATACATTAGTCTATTCCATGCCTCCTCTTCTGGTTGTGTCTATAACCTCCTTAATTCCCTATAAAGGATATATGTACATAGCACTAGAATCACAGGAGCATTGTATAGTTTCTTTCTTTTTTATTTTTTTGAGAGAAGTTCTGGCTCTACTGTCCAGGCTGGAGTGCAGTGGCATGATCTTGGCTCATTGTAATCTCCACCTTATGGGTTTAAGCCATCCTCCCACCTCAGCCTCCAGAGTAGCTGGGACTACAGGTCCACACAACCACACCAGGCTAATTTTTGTGTTTTTGTAGAGACAAGGTTTCACCATGTTTCCCAGGCTGGTCTCGAACTCTTGGACTCAAGCGATCCACCCACCTTGGCCTCCCAAAGTGCTGGGATTACAAGCATGAGGCACTGCACATGGTCATTGTACATTTTCTTAATGCTGCTGTAACAAATTACCACAAACTTGAGGGCTGAAAATAACACAATTCTAGATGTCAGAAGTCTAAAATGCATCTCATTGAGTTAAAATCACCATGTTGGCAGGGCTGCATTTCTGGAGATTCTAGGGAAGAATCCGTTTTCTTGCCTTTTTCAGCTTCTAGAGGCTACTCACATTTCTTGGCTCATGGCCCCCTTCTTCTATCTTCAAAGCCATCAACTGCTGGTAGTCTTTCCCTCATTGTATCAGTCTGACACTGAATCTCCTGTCTGCCTTTTCCATTTATAAGGACCCTGTGATTACATTGGGCCCACCCATACAAACCAGGAGAATCTCCCATCTCAAGGTCAGCTGATTAGTAACCTTAATTCCCTCTTGCCATGTGATATAGTATAGTTATAAGTTTTGGAGATTACAGTGTAGACATCTTTATGGGGCATTATTCTGTTTATCATTGATGTCTATTCACATTAATGCAGGTAAGAATATGTATAGGTATTATAAAATTGATAATTTCCATATTCTTCCTCTTTCCCACATTTAAATACTGAATACTAATTTTCCTTCTTTTGAAGCTTGGGCCCATTACTACATTAGCACTATTACTGGTGACTTTAGGTTCATCTGGGCACAGTGAGTGCAATAGGAGGAGGGATGTAGAGTACCCATCATGCCATGCACTATGAATTTGCGGATACAGGCTAATCAAAAATTTTTGCCTTGGGCTTTTTTTTTTGAGAGCAGGAGAGATTTGGTATCAATGTATTAAAAAAGCACTTGGATTATCTGTGAATTCTATATGAATAATATAGAATATATTAACATATATTAATATGAATGTAATATATATAATTATATATAGAATATATATAATTCTATAGCATCTGTGAATGCTATAGCTGGGTTCACCCTGCCCCTTAGAAACAAAGAACCCAGAATCAAATTTCTAGGTCTCAACTTCAAGTGCCTCTCTTAGATAATAAAGTGTTAAGTATAATATGTTCTCAGTTATTTCAAATGCTGCCAGTGCTTTTTGGCTTCAGCTAATCTGTGGCTTGACTTGGTTAAGCTACTCAATTAAGAGTAAATATCCACCCTTACCTCAGTCCTTCAAACCTTAATTCTTTCATAATGGGATAAAAACACTCAATGATAAAGTTTAACCCAAAGGTAGACAATTAGAAAAGCTTATCAGCTGTGGGTAAAAGCACATTGTTTTCCCTTTTCCCTTCCCTTCCCTTCCCTTCCCTTACCTTCCCTTCCCTTCCCTTCCCTCCCCTCCCCCCTTTCCTTCCCTTCCCTTTTTTCTTTCTTTTCTTTTTTCTTTTCTTTTTTTTTTGAGACAGAGTCTCGCTCTGTCACCCAGGCTGGATTGCAGTGGTGTGATCTTGGCTCACTGCAAACTCCACCTCCCGGGTTCCAGCAATTCTCCTGCCTACCTCCTGAGTAGCACGGATTATAGGTGCGTGCCACTATGTCTGGCTAATTTTTGTATTTTTAGTAGAGACGGGGCTTCACCATGTTGATCAGGCTGGTCTCCAACTCCTGATCTCGTGATCTGCCCACCTCGGCCTCTCAACGTGTTGGGATTACAGGCATGAGCCACCATGCCCAGCATGTTTTCTAGCAAGATAACAAAGAAGGGTGCATTTGGATTCTTGAATCTTATTCCAAGATCAACTGAGAATTTAGCCATAAGTATTTTGGAAAGTTATTCCACCTCCTTCAAATTGGGTTCTCTACCTTATATATTACATAACAAATGAACACACTTTGATACTTTTCCCAACAAAGCCTTTGGATAGAAACCAAGAAGCTTGGTTTGCTATTTTCATGCTTATGGCATTTGCTCACCTAACTTTTAGTTATGACCTCAAAAGAAAAGGCCCTCCTCTCTTCCTCACACTACTTTGCTCATTATATGTGAAATTCAACTGTCCCTTTGAGGCCAACTACTAATTTTTCCTTTCTGCTTCCCAAGAAAATTAGAGAAATTTCAGAATTCAAATATGACAACTTTTACAAGTCATAGGCCAACCATCAAGTTGTCATCTGTGATATGGAAAGGGGAAGGGGATGGATCTAGGTTCATCAAGCCATGGATTTGGCACTGCTTGACACAATAAGCCTTCCAGATGTCTTTAGTGAATTCATAATTAAAATAGTCAAAAGGATCAATACCTTTGAAGAAACAATCCAAGCTCCAAGGGGCAGAAGTAGGCTGAGTAGTCACTTTAAATTCAATCAATACATTTAACAAATATTCATTGAATACATATTAAATGGTAGTGTTAGGCACTGGCTAATAAACCAACAGACATTGTACCTTATCAAATGGAACTTATGATCTATTGAGGGAGACAGGCAATAACCAAAAAAAAAAAAAAACATATAATTATACATTGTGATAAGAAAATTAAAGGGAAAGAAATAGGATGCAATGACTAATAATGAAAAACAGCATATTTACTTTAGAAAGAGTGATTAGAGAAGAAATCTGTGAAAAGGTAGTATTTAAAGCCAGATGTGAAGGGTAAAAAGAAGCCAGCCAGCCGGGCACGGTGGCTCACACCTGTAATCCCAGCACTTTGGGAGGCCGAGATGGGCGGATCATGAGGTCAGGAGATCGAGACCATCCTGGCTAACTAACACAGTGAAACCCCGTCTCTACTAAAAATATAAAAAATTAGCCAAGCGTGGTGGCGTGCACCTGTAGTTCCAGCTATTCGGGAGGCTGAGGCAGGAGAATGGTGTGAACCCAGGAGGTGGAGCTTGCAGTGAGCAGAGATCGTGCCACTGCACTCCAGCCCGGGCCACAGCGAGACCCCGTCTCAAAAAATAAATAAATAAATAAATAAATAAATAAATAAATAAATAAAAGAAGCCAGACATTGAAGCCATCCAAGTTTGCACTTTCCATGTAATGTAAGTAAAGAACCAATTGAGGTAGATAGAGGTCAGGAAACTGCAGCTAATGGGCCAAATCTGACATGCTGCATCCTTTTTTATAGCCTCCAAGCTAAGAATGATCTTTTACATTTTTATTGATTTTTTTTTCGAGTTGGAGTCTTGTTCTGTTGCCCAGGATGGAGTGCACTGGCGCGATCTCGGCTCACTGCAACCTCTACCTCCTGGGTTCAAGTGATTCTCCTGCCACAGCCTGCTGAGTAGCTGGGATTACAGTGTGCACCATCATGCTCAGCTAATTTTTGTATTTTTAGTAGAGACAGGGTTTCACCATGTTGGCCACGCTGGTCTTGAATTCCTGATCTCGTGATCCACCCACCTCAGCCTCCCAAAGTGCTGGGATTACAGGTGTGAGCCACCACACCCAGCTGATCTTTTACATTTTTAAATGGTTGGAAGAAAAAAATTATAGAATATTTCATGACAAACAAAAAATATATTAAATTCAAATTTCAATGTCCATTAATAAAGTTTTATTGGAATACAGCAAAGCTAATGCATTTATATATTGTCTATAGCTGCTTCGTGCTTCAACAGAAGAGTTGTAGTTGCAACAGAGACCATGTGGCCCAAAAGCCTAAAATAATGAGTATCAGGCCCTTTATAAGAAAAGATTGCCAACTCCTTGGCTGGAGTATAGAAAATAAGGAGAATGGCATGAGATGTGTTTGAAAAGATAGAAAAAAAAGACAGCAAAAAGACCCAAGATCATGCAGGATATTACAAGCAAAAGAAAAATTTTGAATTTTATTATTTTTAAAGTTTGATGTATGATTAGAAACCACTGAAGGATAGAAAGCAAAGGAGTGTTATGATCCAATTTATGTTTCAGAAAGGTTATTATGACATTTGGCTTTGGGTCAGAATGTAGAAGATAGTGAAAGACCATTATTCCCACTGTAACAACTAGAAAAAAAACTAGATAACTACAACACAAATGGACATCAGGGATTTCTGGGTTCCACATAGGATGTAGAAAACTGGCAAAGGCAGCCGGGCGTGGTGGCTCATGCCTGTAATCCCAGCATTTTGGGAGGCCAAGGTGGGTGGATCACCTGAGGTCAGGAGTTTGAGATCAGCCTGACCAACACGGTGAAACTCTGACTCTACTAAAAATACAAAAATTAGCCAGGTGTGGTGTCATGCAACTGTAATCCCAGCTACTTGGGAGGCTGAGGCAGGAGAATCATTTGAACCTGGGAGGCAGAGATTGCAGCGAGCCAAGATCGCATCACTGTCCTCCAGCCTGGGCGACAGAGCAATACTCCATCTCAAAAAACAAAAACAAAAACAAAAACAAAAAACCTGGCAAACGCAGTGTCCTCCACATAACAATAAGAAAAATACCGATAAACTAAAAAATCATAACTTGAGGCCAGGCATGGTGGCTCACACCTGTAATCCTAGCACTTTGGGTGGCCAAGGTGGGCAGATCACCTGAGGTCTAGGAGTTCAAGACCAGCCTGGCCAGCATGGTGAAATCCTATCTCTACTAAAAATACAAAAATTAGTTGGGTGTGGTGGCATGTGCCTGTAGTCCCAGTTACTCAGGAGGCTGAGGTAGGAGAATTGCTTGAACCTGGGAGGCTGCAGTTGTGGTGAGCCAAGATCATGCCATTGCACTCCAGCCTAGGTGACAGAGTGAGACTCTGTCTCAAAAAAATCAAAACAAACCTTGAATTTATTGAAGAGCTGAGGGTGCAGGGCAACTAACTAGCCTGAACTCTAAGGAAAGATGGACTTTTTCAAGAAAAGACAGAACATGAACACTGGCTCACCTGTGTCAATGGGAAGATAAGGCCTCCATATAAGCAAGTATGAGGAATTCGATTAAAAGTTAAACATCTAAAGGCCAAGTGTGGGCTAGCATGAGTGCATAGAGCCCTTGGAAACCACAGACTCCAGGGGAATTCATACTCTTACAGGCACATGCCACCACATTCGGCTAATTTTTGTATTTTTCATAAAGATGGGGTTTGACCATGTTGGCCAGGCTGGTCTTGAACTCCTGACCTCAAGTGATCTGCCTGCCTCGGTCACCCAAAGTGCTGGGATTATAGGAATGAGCCCTGTGCCTGGCTATTTCATTTCTTAATAACCATCTAAAGATTTCTACCCTTCTAAGATGAGTCCTTTGACTCCCCTTTTGCCTTTCTCATTTTTTTTGGTTAATTATCCTTATGTTTTATTAGCACCTGTAAGACTCATGAGGAAAAGCTGCAACAGCATATTTGATAAGGCTTCTTGAACCATTGTTTGATTCTGTAGGAGTAATGGCACCCAGGATACCCATGTAGAAGGGTCCCTTTGAACCGTAGCATTTACCATGGTCTGGGTAATGGGCATATTCAGTGGGCGAATATCATGGTAAAGCCAGTCCAACATGACTTGCATATGAAGCATATCAGCTGCTTCATGTAGGGTGCGCCACTTGGCATTTTATAGGGAGAGTTGGGCAGTCCCCTTCTCAGGGTAAACAGACCTTATAGTGGCTTTTATTCATTCTACCAGACTGGCTGATACTCCTCGAGAAGAGCAACCTTACGACACATAATCATCAGATTCACCAAGGTTGAAATGAAGAAAAAAATGTTAAGGGCAGCCAGAGAGAAAGGTCAGGTTACTTACAAAAGGAAGTCCATCAGACTAACAGTGGATCTTTCTGTACATACCCTACAAGCCAGAAGAGAGCGGGGGCCAATATCCAACATTCTTAAAGCAAATAATTTTCAACCCAGAATTTCATATCCAGCTAAAACTAAGCTTCATAAGCGAAGGAGAAATAAAATTCTCTACAGACAAGCAAATGCTGAGGGATTTTGTCACCACCAGGCCTGCCTTACAAGAGCTCCTGAAAAAAGCACTAAATATGGAAAGGAAAAATGGGTACCAGTCACTGTAAAAACATACCAAAATATAAAGACCAACAACACTATGAAGAAACTGCATCAACTAATGTGCAAAATAACTAGCTGGCATCATGATGACAGGATCAAATTCACATATAACAATATTAACCTTAAATGTAAACAGGCTAAGTGCCCCAATTAAAAGACATAGACTAACAAATTGGATAAAGAGTCAAAAGCCATCAGTGTGCTGTATTCAGGAGACCCATCTCATGTGCAAAGACACACATAGGCTCAAAATAAAGGGATGGAGGAATATTTACCAAGAAAATAGAAAACAAAACAAAACAAAAAACAAACAAAAAAAGAAAACCATGGGTTGCAATCCTAGCCTCTGATAAAACAGAATTTAAATCAACAAATATCAAAAGAGACAAAGAAGGACATACATAATGGTAAAGGGATCAATTCAACGAGAAGAGCTAATTATCCCAAATATATATGCACCCAATACAGGAGCACCCAGATTCATAAAACAAGTTCTTACAGACCCACAAAGAGACTTAGACTCCCACATGATAATAGTGGGAGATTTTAACACCCCACTGTCAATATTAAACAGATCAATGAGACAGAAAATTAACAAGGATATTCAGGACTTGAACTCAGCTTTGGACCAAGCAGAACTAATAGACCTCTACAGAACTCTCCAACAAAAATCAACAGAATATATGTTCTTCTCAGCACCACATGGCACTTATTCTAAAGTTGACCACATAGTTGGAAGTAAAACACTCCTCAGCAAACGCAAAAGAACAGATATCATAACAGTCTCTCAGACCACAGTGCAATCAAATTAGAACTCAGGATTCAGAAACTCGTTCAAATCCACACAACTACATGGAAACTGAACAACCTTCTCTTGAATGACTACTAGGTAAATAATGAAGTTAAGGAAGAAATAAATAAGTTCTTTGAAAATGAGAAAAAAGAGACAATGTACCTGAATCTCTGGGACACAGCTAAAGCAGTGTTAAGAGGAAAATTTATAGCATGAAATGCTCACATCAGAAAGCAGGAAAGATTTAAAATCAATACTCTAACATCACAATTAAAAGAACTAGAGAAGCAAGAGCAAACAAATTCAAAAGCTAGCAGAAGGCAAGAAATAACTAAGATCAGAGTAGAACTGAAGGAGATAGGGACATAAAAAACCTTTCAAAAAATTAATGAATTCAGGAGCTAGTTTTTTGGAAATTTTAACAAAATACATAGACCACTAGTAAGACAAATAAGAAAAGAGAGAAGAATCAAATAGGCACAATAAAAAATAATAAAGGGGATATCACCACTGATCCCACAGAAATACCAACTACCATCAGAGAATACTATAAACACCTCTATGCAAATAAATTAGAAAATCTAGAAGAAATAGATAAATTCCTGGACACATGCACCCTCTCAAGACTGAAGCAAGAAGACATCAAATCCCTGAATAAACAAATAACAAGTTCTAAAATTGAGGCAGTAATTAATAGCCTACCAACCAAAAATAGCCCAGGACCAGATGGATTCGCAGCCAAATTCTACCAGAGGTACAAAGAGGAGCTGGTACCATTCCTTCTGAAATCATTCCAAACAACAGAAAAAGAGGGACTCCTCCCTAACTCATTTTATGAGACCAGCATCACTGTGATACCAAAACCTGGCAGAAACACAATGTAAAAAAAATTTCAGGCCAATATCCCTGATGAACATTAATGCAAAAATCCTCAATAAAATAATGGGAAACCAAATCCAGCAGCTCACCAAAAAGATTATCCACCACGATCAAGTTGGTGTCATCCGTGGGATGCAAGACTGGTTCAACATACACAAATCAATAAACGTAATCCATCACATAAACAGAACAAATGACAAAAACCACATGATTATCTCAACAGATACAGAAAAGGCCTTCGATAAAATTCAACACCCTTCATGCTAAAAACACTCAATAAACTAGGTATTGATGGAACATACCTTAAATAAATAAGAGCTATTTATGACAGACTCACAGCCAATATCATACTGTGTGTGCAAAAGCTGGAAGCATTCCCTTTGATAACTGGCACAAGACAAGGAAGACCTCTCTCACCACTCCTATTTACCATAATATTGGAAGTTCTGGCCAGGGCAATCAGGCAAGAGAAAGAAATAAAGGGTATGCAAACAGGAAGAGAGGAAGTCAAATTGTCTCTGCTTGCAGATGACATGATTGTGTATTTAGAAAACCCCATCGTCTCAGCCCAAAATCTTCTTAAGCTGCAAGTCTCAGGATACAAAATCAATGTGCAAAAATCACAAGCATTCCTATACAGCAATAATAGACAAACAGAGAGCCAAATCATGAGTGAACTCCCATTCACAACTGCTACAAAGAGAATAAAATACCTAGAATACAACTCACAAGGGACGTGAAGGACCTCTTCAAGGAGAACTACAAACCACTACTGAAGAAAATAAGAGAGGACACAAACAAATGGAAAAACATTCCATGCTCATGAATAGGAAGAATCAATATCGTGAAAATGGCTATAGTGCCCAAAATAATTTATAGATTCAATGCTATTCTTATAAAGCTACCATTGACTTTCTTCACAGAATTAGAAAAAACTACTTTAAAATTTCATATGGAACCAAAAGGAAGGAGCAATTGAAATATTGGTTTTCTAAATTGGGGGAGAAATAGATATGAAGGGCTTGCTTATATCCTTCACAAGTGTGTGCTCACAGTACATAAGTAGGACTAGATTTTTTTTTTTTTTTGAGAGGGAGTCTCGCTCTGTCACTGAGGCTGGAGTGCAGTGGTGCTATCTCAGCTCACTGCAAGCTCCACCTCCCGGGTTCATGCCATTCTCCTGCCTCAGCCTCCCGAGTAGCTGGGACTACAGGTGCCCGCCACCACGCCTGGCTAATTTTTTTTTTTTTGTATTTTTAGTAGAGACGAGGTTTCACCGTGTTAGCCAGGATGGTCTCAATCTCCTGACCTCGTGATCCACCCGCCTCGGCCTCCCAAAGTGCTGGGATTACAGGCGTGAGCCAACGCGCCTGGCCTAGATTTTTTTTTTAATCTGTCTTTCTGGTTGATCTGGGGAGGATGCTGGTAAAACTGCAATTCTTACCAAAGGAGGAGTATACTGGTATAACTACTATAATTTTTGTTCTTCTCCAAATTGCCTCAAATTTTTTTCTCTCCCTTACCTGATGTGGTGGTCCTAGGACCAGGGCTCCAATTATAACTCCTACTAATAGCAGGAATGCTTTTTAAGCAAAAAACTTTACCTTTAAACCTCTATGTTAGAATTCCTAAAAGGCTTCTAGGGGTGGATTGTGCTTCCACATTTGGCAAAATGGAGGCTAATAGTGAATGTATATAGCTATATTGCCTGGTGGTAAAAATAGCCCACTAGTTCTGTACCTATGTAACCTTACCTTATTGGAATGGGAGTAGACTGAGGAGGAGGCACTTGCTAGACTAGTATTGCTGCCTGCAATCCAGCACAGTGGTGTTTCTAACATCCCTTCCAAAAGTGAGTTTGAGTAAATAAATGGGTTAAAAATTGAGAGAAATTAAACATTACATAAATACTTCAAAAGAGACAGCAAGAGATGACACTGCCTCTTAGCCCAGTTATTCCAGATGCCTGAAAGTGTGAAGTTATATGTTTGCTGAGACAACAACTGCTTTTGGAACCTGACAAGATTAAAAGGAAGCCTGTAAACCTGAGTGGCCTCACCCTGGGACACATTAATGCAAGATGATGGATTGGACCAATTATTAATGACTGAATGGGATTCAATATCTTTTGAGTTGCATGCCCTTTTGATGTAAAGGATCCAGGTTCAAATACCAGGGGTGGACTGTGATATTTTAAAATATATATTTGGTCTTCATCCCAGTTTCCTGGCATATAACTCCTAAAACCCTTGGAATCGCCAAAGTGCTGTCTTTTTATATGGTAATGTTGACTGACACCTTCAGGGTAGGGCTGGTCACCAGAAAGACAAAGGCATGATTAGAGGGTTGGGCTTTCAACCCCATCCCCCAAACTCTGGAGAGGGAAGAGAGGCTGAAGGTCAAGTTGATTACCAATGGCCAATGGTTTAATCAACCATGCCTCTGTAATGAAGCCTATGTAAAAACCCAAGAGGACATGGTTCAAAGAGCTTCTGGATAGCTGAACATATGGAGGTTCCTGGAGAGTGGCACACCCAGGGAGGGCATGGAAGCTCTATACCTCTTTCCCTATACCTCATCCTACACATCTCTTCATCTATATCCTTTGTAGTATCCTTTATAATAAACCAGCAAATATAAAAACAATTAAAAAATGAAAAAAGTCAATGTGCCTAAGACCATCCAGATAATAAGTGACAAAATATAGTTTCAAATCCAAGTCTGACACCTAACCCAATGCTGTGTGAAACTTACATAACCTCTTACAACCATCAATCTCCAGGATCCTCTGCTGCTCATATCAAAAGCAGAAGCTTTCAGTTATTTCAATAAGATTGTGTTTGTGAAGTCCTGAAGGGAGGAGCCTTCATGTTTAGCAACACCCAGGGGGATGGTCAGGCTATAAGATTGTAATATGTGACTTTAATAACAAGGTTGAATAACTTTTTATTCAATATCTTTTTTTTTTTTTGAGACAGAATCTCACTGTGTCACCCAGGCTGGAGTGCAGTGGCACGATCTTGGCTCACTGCAACCTCTGCTTCACAGGTTCAAGCGATTCTTAAGCCTCAGCCTCCTGAGTAGCTGGGATTACAGGCACCCACCACCACACCTGGCTAATTTTTGTATTTTTGGTAGAAATGGGGTTTCATCATGTTGGCCAGGCTGGTCTTGAACTCCTGACCTGAAGTGATCCACCTGCCTTGGCCTCCCAAAATGCTGGGTTTACAGGTGTGGGCCACCATGCCTGGCTTTTATTCAATATCTTAAAATATATTTAGAAAATTATATTGTACTTCTGCACTCTGCTAAAGTTCTGACCAAAGCCAGAGAAATACGATATTAAAAATGACAAATGAGTTTATTGAAGAAGAATCACAAAGTTAGAATTTTACGAATGTCATATTGTGGACTCAGACTGAGCTTATGTTTGCCACAAATTTTATAGTTATAAACTCCTCAAGGGCTAGAGTAAGGAGTGTTCAGTTTCTCAAACTCCACTCTACTTAGTACTTCTTAGTGTGGGGATATATATGAAAGAGGAAGGAGAGGCTGAAATCAGATTCTTTTTCTGTGAGTGATTTGGGCTTTGAATACCTCAGAAAAACTTCTAACCTGCAGTGGCTAGTCAACTGTTCCCTGGCTAACACTCAAGAGTATAGAGCTTCATGGAGATTGGCAGAGCTTGACCCTTCATGACTTGGATGTGACCTCTGATAAATATCTGGAGTTAAAAGCCTTATAAAGGAATTGTGTTTTTATATAGTACTGGACACTGATAGATGAGACAGAGTGAGTTTGCTCCTGTGAGTCTAATTTGCAGATGGGATAAAGGGTATTTGTGGAAATGAGATAAAGCATGTATCATCTTTGATTGTTTAACTGTTAGGCTGCTTTTGATTTTTCCATAGATCTATAATGAACACCTTTGCATTCTAGCCTTTTCTTTCCTTAGAACTTTGATTATTATGTCAAGTGGTATAAATGTTTTCATGGTTCTTTAGATGCATTGCCAAATCATTTCTTAAATGGAGAGAAATAATTTACATGTTTAATGCCTCTCAGTACTGGTTTAAATTTTGAAAATAAATGCTTAATGGAATAAAAAATGTATAGTTGTAGGTGCTACTTTGTAAATGAGAATCAGGCTGCAGAAATATCTTTTTCATGAAATGCAGAGTGAAAGTGGCTTCCTTGTTCTATTCTCCATGATTAACTGAGAAATCTAGGAGGGGCTACACAAAATGGTGGAAACTGGAAAGTAAAAGAGTTGGTGGGGGGGGGTCAGAGGAAGAGTGAGAGCAATGTTCTTAACCTTAATATTTAAAAGCTATCTACAACAGAGATGTCCTATAAAAGGTACTCAACTATTATTTTTTTCTCTCTTGCCCTTACCGCTTTATAGCCTAGAACATGAAGGCTTGCCAAGTCACAGAGGTTAAGTTACAGAGAGAAAGGGATGGGAACCACTTTGGCTTCTTTGGTCCCCAAATATCTGTTCCCATCAATCTATTATTTTTGAGAAAGATACATGATGAGGACTAAATTCTGATTTTTTCATCTTGTCCAAATTCCTATCTAAGGGGTCTGGGAAGTCATGCCCTACAAATCATAAATTGTCATCGGATGGGTTTTATTTAACCTTATATATATCGTGACTTACTTTCCAATCTGACTCTGGCATAACATTACAAGACAAGGAAGAAAATTAAAATATTTTACTCCAAAACATGCTTCTTTGCCATATCTTGAAATGGCCTTGCAAAGCTGTTCTTTGTGGGGAAAAATTTGCATCTGTAAAGAATCTCTATTAACATAGCTAGATCTTATTCTTCCAGGCCTTCCCAATCCTAAAGAGATTAACTAAAAGTCTAGCACCTTTTAAAGATCTGAATAGGAAACATTTGTCATCTATTGTCTCTAAGGGCAGCCACTATTAGACTTCAAAAGAACCTTGGTCTCCACAATCTTTTATCTTAACCTGAACATTTCCTTTCTATAATCCCAGGTCCTTAGATAAACTCAACCAATTGTCAACCAGAAAATGTTTAAATTTATCTATAGCCTGGAATCCCCACCATGGCTTTGAATTGTCCCACCTTTCTGGACCAAACCAATGTATTTCTTAAATGTATTTGATTGATGTCTCATGCCTTCTTAAAATGTATAAAATAAGTTGTACCCCAACCACCTTGGGCACATGTTCTCAGGACCTCCTGAGGGCTGTGTCATGGGCCATGGTCACTCATATTTGGCTCAGAATAAATCTCTTCAAATATTTTACAGAGTTTGACTCTTTTTGTCGACAATGGCTATGCACGATTGCCACTCAGGTACTGATTTCTGTATTAATGTGGCATGCTAGGGCTTGGTAGATAAAAGTTCAGGAGTCTAGAAAGTTTAGAGAAAGGAGACATATTCTTCTCTAGAACTTGATGAAGGAGGAGGAGGGAACAGGAAGGAATACCATTAAGCTCTAAGAATCATCAACCAACCAGCAGAAAATATTTCTGAGTACCTTTTAATGAAATATAAGAGTTTTCTATTTCCCCAAATTCCAAAGAACAAACCCACTATATCTCTGAAGCTTACAGTAATCTTAACCCTTCTGTTTCTGGAGAGCATATCACAAATGGGCATATCACCTAGGTCTTCAAACACCCAAGGGGACAGTTAGGCTATAAAGATAAAACATATGACTTTAGTAATAATACAAATAAGAAACAGGATACTTTATGCAGATGTTCCAAAGCTTTGGCCTGTTTGTGAGTTTAGATTCATGAGCATATACCTAGGACACAAATGTATATCCATTGTAATTGATTGAGAATAAGCTGACATTAACAATTTAAAGAGACACTGCAAGTAGTATAATCATGTACATACATATATAAAATATGGCTATTTATGCTGGAAAGGATGAGGCCAATTGAGGATTCTGATATTAGCTTTATAAAGAGATGTGTCCCAATTAGAAGAGGTGGAGAGAGTTGTGAAATTTAGAATTCTGATTTTAATGATAAAGGAAACATGTGTGATAGAAAAGACCAGGAATTGGGGGGAAAAACTTTCAGTGAAACTACTGTTTTTGTTGTTGTTGTTTTTTTAACTGTAAACAAGCCACCAAACTTCCTAAACAAAAGTGAACTTTGAGTGAAATTATAACATTTAGCCATGCAGAAAACAGGGCATTTTTCCATTTCTAAAGGAATAATACTAAAAACTTAGATGGCTCCCCAATACTTGGCAAACAGTGATGGTTAATATTAAGTGTCAACTTGATTGGATTGAAGGATGCACATATTGCTCCTGGGTGTGTCTGTGAGTGTGTTGCCAAAGGAGACTAACATCTGAGTCAGTGGACTGGGAGGGGCAGACCCACCCTCAATTTGGGTGGGCACCATACAATAAACTGCCAGCCTGGCTAGAATAAAGCAGGCAGAAGAAGGTGGAAGAAGCCAACTTGCTCAGTCTTCTGGCCTTCATCTTTCTTCCCTGCTGGATGCTTCCTGCCTTGAACATTAGACTCCAAGTTCTTCAGCTTTTGAACTCTTGGATTTACACCAGAGGTTTGCCAAGGGCTCTCAGGCTTTTGGCCACAGACTGAAGGCCGCATTTGTTGGATTCCCTACTTTTGAGGTTTTGAGACTTGGACTGGCTTCCTTGCTCCTCAGCTTGCAGACAGCCTATTGTGGGACTTCACCTTACCATCATGCAAGTCGATACTCCTCAATAAGCTCCCCTTCATATATACATCTATTCTATTAGTTCTGTCCCTCTGGAGAACCCTAATACACAAACTAACAGTAGGTTGTTGAGTAGAATGTAAAACTTCTGACTTTTACAGAATATTGTTTTCACTTAGAAGCTGCTTTATCAGAAATAAAATAGCTCTCTCACCCTATAAACTCTGAAATTTTCAACAAAAAATGCACAGAATGACAAGAGCAGCAATAATAAAATCCTAAACAAGACAACACTCAAAAATATCTCTGTGAAAAGATTGGAATAAAATAAAATATCAAAACAAAAAAACCCCACAAAGCAGCCACAGAATATCACAACCAGTCTATAGTGATGACAGTTATCACTATGACAGTTATCATTGCCTTCCTATGTTTCTTTCCATCTGATACCAAGGGTAACATTTCAAGCACAGGTAACAAACAGGTAACTCAAATTCCTTTTGTACTGTTTTCCTTCTTTTTGGATGTCCCCTGGCTTTCTTAAGTAAATTTAAGGTCACACGCATGAACACAGAGAAACATTTCTTTATGCTGCAAATGGTGACCTTCACATTATCAGTGTCACTATTACTGTGGCTGGTCTCACCTTCTCCCACTATGGGCACCTATGGAATGATTAAAGACACTAGAGAAAGTCAAAATGGAAATAGGGACTAGATGGAACTTCCGGCAGTCAAAGAAGAAGGATTTATGTGTTAGTGTTAACACTATAAGTGATAGTGTTAAGGAGGGCAAGTCAAGTTGGAACAAAGCTTAGTAAACCAGCTCTACCCTATAACCTGGTCATTGCCCTTTCCCCACATCAAGAAGTACTTTAATAACCTTTGGAAAATGGACCTTGAGTACAACGTTCTTATGATACTAGGTTATGCAATTTAATAGCACCAGATAACCTGGGGAGATTCAACAGTTGGTTCTAGAATACTTTAGTTGTCTCAGTTGCTTACTATAATCTTCAATTTTCTTCTGTTATTGTTGACATTTATTTCATTTCTTTAAAAATCTTATAAAAGATTACATCATTGAAGTCTCATCATGCCCAACTCTCCAGTGCTATTACCCTCAGCTTCAAGGTAGGTATATTGAAGCTATTTGAGAAGATTATTACATAGCTGATCCCTAATATTTACATTTTCTGTATTTGAAAATTCACTTCCTTTCTAAAATTTAGTTGTAATCCCCAAATTAATACTTACATCACTTTTTCAGTTATTTGTAAACATGCTCAGAGTGGTAAAAATTGTGAGTCATCTGAAGTGCACATTTCCAGCTGAGGTTGAACAAAGTGATACTCTGTCTTTTTGTTTCATCTCTCATACTATAAACAAATATCTTTTGTATTGTCTATTTCCTATCATGTCTTTCACATTTTTGTTTCTTTTGTTGGTGGTTTTACTATTTTAAATTGCTGGCAAGCATAGTGCTGAAGTGTTGTCTAGGGGTCCTAAGGGCAAGAATGGGATAGGCCGTGAGGATAAAATACACGTGTTAGATAAGCTTGGTTCAGGCATGAATTATAGTGGTTTTGCCCCTAATCTCAAAGTTAATGAAACAACAATATATTCAAATAACGTGGCTTTAAACGGAAACACACATAAAACAAGGTTATATATTGACTGGTTGAAAAACGTTTTGTGACCAGAGGCTCACAAGAACTTAACCCTGTACTTCCTCTAGAAGAAATGGTTCAGTATTTGCTAAATCAATGTTTGCAGTGGCTTTATAGAGCATAACTACCATGAATGCTGAGAGTTGACTATATTTGTATAACACACGAGAATGAAATGTTTCAACCAAATAACAGTAAACTTTATGCCAGTCTCCCCCCAAAATCTTAGAATAGCTTATTTAAAAGGTTGGCCGTCAGCACTTAAAAGTGAAAGAGCTACTTACTAGGCCCCAACGTGCAGTAAAAATTAAAAAAATAATCCATTAACATCAGACTAACTGCATTTTCTGTTTTGACATGTTTACAAGCTAGACAGATCACCAATGTGGGTTATATCACATTTTAATCTCAAGGAAGTATTTGACATGGTCTTTAATTATATCCTTGTAGACAACACAGAGATATATGGATTGGATAATAATACAATTAAGTGAGCATGTAACTATTTAGAGTTCTCTATGTTAAGTGTTCTGATTAAGAAATTATTACAAAAGTGTAAAGAGTGTTCTGATGATGTTCCATAGTACTGTCCTGAGGCTTTATTCTTCAAAGCCCTGTCCTTTCCAGAATTTTAACTGGTGACTTTCATAGAGAAGTAGTAAGCATGCTTTACAGAGTTTGGTATGTTAAGAAGCTATGTGAGAACAAGACGGCAGAATAACAGGTATCCCCCCTTATATCCTTCCACAACAACAATAATTTGGGAACTATCCACAAACAAAAGTGCCTTTGTGGAAGCTTTGGGATCCAGGTAGGAAGTTGCAAAATCTTGGTGGAGCACAAGGCCAAGGAGGACCATTGTGAGAAGGCAGGCCTGTGCCCAGGTGGAAGGCTTGCCTACCACAGTCCTGGCTACAGACCTAGAAACATTGTTGCCCCCTGTGGACTCAGCTACAGTCCTGTTTAGTCTTGGATCTGCCACCCAATCCATATGCCAAGAAACCCAAGAGGAGTCATGCCTACACCATGTTTTAGGTAATAGGCCTGCTAACCTTGGTCCTGGATATGGACCCTGAAAGGATCCATGACCTGCCTCCATCCCCTCTCAGATGTGATTGGGCAACAGTTCTGCCCGCACATGAATATGCTGTGATACATGCCCATCCACACCCTTAGAAGCAGGTCTGCTAAATTCAGTCCCATAGCAGATTCTGAAACAGTCCTGTAACTCAGTTCCAGCTCTTCCTAACTGTGGTCTGAGCATATTTCTGCCTTTCCAGGTATCCACCAGTAGACACATCCATTTGTGCTACTGGAGGCAGGTTTGCCAAGCTCAGTCTGACTGTGGATCATGAGGCAGCACTGTAACTCAGTTCTACCCCTTCCCAATCATGGTCCAGGAGTAGTCCTTCCCACTCAGGGATTTGTTGGGTAACATGCCCATCCATGTCCTGGGTGGTAGGCCTACTAATTTTGTTCTGACTGCAGATTCTGAAGCAGCCCTGAGACAAAGATCCAGGTTCACTCAGATAAAATTAGGAGTAGTCCTGCCTTCCCACCCAGGAGGATGCATACCTGTCCATGCCCCTGGAGTCAGGTTTGCAGACCTCATTCTCAGCTGTGGACCCTGAAGTAGCCCTATGACTTGGTTTCAGCTCCTCTCAGCCATGATATGTGGCCTGTCCTTCCTGCCCAGGGACCTGGCCAGTAAATTGATAAGAGCCCTCCCAATGATTCAGTGGAAACCACACTCATTTATACCACCTGGTAACAAGTCCACTGTCTAAAGACACTGAAGTGGACACTTTAACCAGAGCTAGCTCTATTGATGAAGGTCCTGAAGGTAGTTCAGTCCATAGGAGCTAGACAGAATCTACATTAGTCTGAGACTCTGTTAACAGACACACCAACTGCAGACCTGCTGGGCACCCAGCAACAGCCATGTGACTCAGCTCCAAGACTGTTTCACTGCAATCTAGATGGCAATTCCATAAGCTTGGGGATCCAACAGGAAAAGGTCTTTACCTGCCAAAGCCAGTCAGTAAAGACTGAAAGAGATGTTTGTGCATTCAAATGTATAGACATCAATATGAGGCTACATGGATTTTAAAAAAATCAGGCACACATGACACCACCACAGGAGACTAATAAAGCTCCAGTAATCAACCCCAAGGAAATGTAGATATATGAAATACCTGGCAAAGGATTCAAAATCGTCATTTAAAGAAGCTCAATGAGATGTAAGATGACAGATAAACAACTACACAAAACCAGGAAAACAATGCATGAAAAAAGAGAAGTTTAATAAAGAAATAGAAACCTTAAAAAAGAACTAAAAAGAAGTCCTGAAGCTGAAGAATACAAGGAAAGAAGGAAAAAATTCAATAGAGAGCTTCGACAGAAGACGCAAACAGAATAAAGCTTCAACAGCAGACTCAAGCAGTCAGTTCAAAGACGAGTCATTTGAAATAAGCCAGTTAGCCAGGTGTGGAGGCTTATACCTGTTGTCTCAGCATTTTGAAAGGCTGAGGCAGGTAGATCACCTGAGGTCAGTAGTTCAAGAAATTAGTCAGTTAAAGGAACAAAAAATAAAAAAAAGAATAAAAAAGAGTGAATGTCCCTATGAGACCTAAGGGACACCATCAAGTGAATAAAAATATGCATTATCAGATTCTAAGAAGGTGGGGGAGGAGGGAGGGAGAGAGAGAAATAGCAAGAAAGCTTATGCAAACAAATAAAGGTAGAAAATTCTCAAATCTTAGGAAAGATATAAATATCCAGACTCATGAAGCTTAAAGACTTTCAAGCAAAATAAACCCAAAGAAGATTATATATAGACACATTATAATCAAATTGTCAAAAGTCAAAGAAAAAGACATAATTTTGAAAGCAGCAAGAAAAAACAGACTAATCTCATGCAAGGGAATCTTCATAAGGTTATCTGTGAATTCTTAGCAGAAAACTTGCAGGCCGAGAGAGTGGAATAATATATTTAAGTCATGAAAAAAAAACCTGCCAATCAAGACACTATGACAGGAAAAGCTGTCCTTCAGAAATGAAAAGAACAAATATATTTCTTTTTTTATTATTATTATACTTTAAGTTCTAGGGTACATGTGCACAACATGCAGGTTTGTTACAGAGGTATACATGTGCCATGTTGGTTTGCTGCACCCATCAACGTGTCATTTACATTAGGTATTTCTCCTAATGCTAGCCCTCCCCCAGCCTCCCACCCACTAACAGGCTCTGGTATGTGATGGTCCCCACCCTGTGTCCATGTGTTCTCGTTGTTCAACTCCCACCTATGAGTGAGAACATGTGGTGTTTGGTTTTCTCTCCTTGTGACAGTTTGCTTAGAATGATGGTTTCCAGCTTCATTCATGTCCCTGCAAATGACATGAACTCATCCTTTTTATAGCTGCTTAGTATTCCATGGTGTATATGTGCCAGGTTTTCTTAATCCAGTCTATCATTGATGGACATTTGGGTTGGTTCCAACTGTTTGCTATTGTGAATAGTGCTGGAATAAATATACATGTGCATGTGACCTTAGAGTAGCATGATTTATAATCCTTTGGGTATATACCCAGTAATGGGATTGCTGGGTCAAATGGTATTTCTAGTTCTAGATCCTTAAGGAATCACCACACTGTCTTCCACAATAGTTGAACTAATTTACACTCCCACCAACAGTGTAAAAGCATTCCTATTTCTCCGCATCCTCTCCAGCATCTGTTGTTTCCTGGCTTTTTAATGATCACCATTCTAACTGGCGTGAGATGGTATCTTATTGTGGTTTTGATTTGCATTTCTCTGATGACCAGGGACGATGAGCTTTTTTCATGTCTGTTGGCTGCATAAATGTCTTCTTTTGAGAAGTGTCTGTTCATATCCTTTGCCTACTTTTTGATGGGGTTTTTTTTTCTTGTAAATTTGTTTAAGTTCTTTGTAGATTCTGGTTATTAGTCTTTTGTCAGATGGGTAGATTGCAAAGATTTTCTCCCATTCTGTAGGTTGTCTGTTCACTCTGATGGTAGTTTCTTTTGCTGTGCAGAAGCTCTTTAGTTTAATTAGATCCCATTTGTCAATTTTGACTTTTATTGCCTTTGCTTTTGGTGTTTTACTCATGAAGTCTTTGCCCATGCCTATGTCCTGAATGGTATTGCCTAGGTTTTCTTCTAGGGTTTTTATGGTGTTAGGTCTAACATTTAAGTCTTTAATCCATCTTGAGTTAATTTTTGCATATGGTGTAAGGATGGGATCTACTTTCAGCTTTCTACATATGGCTAGCCAGTTTTCCCAGCACCATTTATTAAATAGGGAATCCTTTCCCCATTTCTCGTTTTTGTCAGTTTCATCAAAGATCAGATGGTTGTAGATGTGTGGTGTTATTTCTGAGGCCTCTGTTCTGTTCCATTGTTCTATATATCTGTTTTGGTACCATTACCATGCTGTTTTGGTTACTGTAGTCTTATAGTATAGTTTGAAGTCAGGTAGCATGATGCCTCCAGTTTTGTTCTTTTTGCTTAGGATTGTCTTGGTAATGTGGACTCTTTTTTGGTTCCATATGAACTTTAAAGTAGTTTTTTCCAATTCTGTGAAGAAAGTCATTGGTAGCTTGATGGTAATGGCATTGAATCTATAAATTACCTTGGGCAGTATGGCCATTTTCACGATATTGATTCTTCCTATGCATGAGCACGGAATATTCTTCCATTTGTTTGTGTCCTCTTTTATTTTGATGAGCAGTGTTTTATAGTTCTCCTTGAAGAGGTCCTTCACATCCCTTGAAAGTTGGATTCCTAGGTATTTTATTCTCTTTGTAGCAATTGTGAAAGGGAGTTCACTCATGATTTAGCTCTCTGTCTGTTAGTGGTGAATTTGGCTCTCTGTCTATTAATTGTGTATAAGAATGCTTGTGATTTTTGCACATTGATTTTGTATTCTGAGACTCTGCTGAAGTTGCTTATCAGCTTAAGGAGATTTTGGGCTAGATGATGGGGTTTTCTAAATATATAATAATGTCATCTGCAAACAGAGACAATTTGACATCTTCTCTTCCTAATTCAATACCCTTTATTTCTTTCTCTTGCCTGATTGCCCTAGCCAGAACTTTCAACACTGTGTTGAATAGGAGTGGTGAGAGAGGGCATCCTGGTCTTGTGCTGGGTTTCAGAGGGAATGCTTCCAGTTTTTGCCCATTCAGTATGGTATTGCCTGTGGGTTTGTCATAAATAGCTCTTATTATTTTGAGATATGTTCCATCAAAACCTAGTTTATTGAGTTTTTAGCATGAAGGGCCGTTGAATTTTGTCAAAGCCCTTATCTGCATCTATTGAGATAAACGTGGATTTTGTCATTGGTTCTGTTTATGTGATGGATTATGTTTATTGATTTGCATATGTTGAACCAGCCTTGCATCCCAGGGATGAAGCCATCTTGATTGTGGAGGATAAGCTTTTTGATGTGCTGCTGGATTCGGTTTGCCAGTATTTTATTGAGGATTTCTGCATTGATGTTCATCATGGATATTGGCCTAAAATTCTCTGTTTTTGTTTTGTCAGTGCCAGGCTTTGCTATTAGGATGATGCTGGCCTCATAAAATGAGTTAGGGAGGATTCCCTCTTTTTCTATTTATCGGAATAGTTTCGGAAGGAATGGTAGCAGCTCCTCTTTTTACCTCTGGTAGAATTTGGCTGTGAATCTGTCTGGTCCTGGACTTTTTTGTTGGTAGGCTATTAATTATTGCCTCAGTTTTAGAACCTGTTATTGGTCTATTCAGATATTCAACTTCTTTCTTGTTTAGTCTTGGGAGGTTGTATGTGGCCAGGAATTTATCCATTTCTTCTAGGTTTTCTAGTTTATTTGCATAGAGGTGTTTACAGTATTCTCTGATGGTAGTTTGTATTTCTGTGGGATCAGTGGTGATATCCCCTTTATCATTTCTTATTGTGTCTATTTGATTCTTCTCTTTTGAAGGTTTTTTTTTTTAATCTCCTTTGGTTCTGCTCTGTTCTTAGTTATTTATCGCCTTCTGCTAGCTTTGAATTTGTTTGCTCTTGCTTCTCTTGTTCCTTTAATTGTGATGTTAGGGTGTTGATTTTAGATCTTTCCTGCTTTCTCTTGTGGGCATTTAGTGCTGTAAATTTCCCTCTACACACTGCTTTAAATGTGTCTCAGAGATTCTGGTACGTTGTGTCTTTGTTCTCATTGGTTTCAAAGAACATATTTATTTCTGTCTTCATTTCATTATGTACCTAGCATTCATTCAGGAGCAGGTTGTTCAGTTTCTATGTAGTTGTGTGGTTTTGAGTGAGTTTTTTAATCCTGAGTTCTAATTTGATTGCACTGTGGTCTGAGAGACTGTTTGTGGTGATTTCTTTTCTTTTACATTTGCTGAGGAGTGCTTTACTTCCAATTATGTGGTCAATTTTAGAATAAGTGCGATGTGGTGCTAAGAAGAATGCATATTCTGTTGAGTTTTGGTGGAGAGTTTTGTAGATGTCTATTAGGTCTGCCTGGTGCAGAGCTGGGTTCAGGTTTTGGATATCCTTTTTAACCTTCTGTCTCATTGATCTGTCTAATATTGACAGTGGGGTGTTAAAGTCTCCCATTATTATTGTGTGGGAGTCTAAGTCTCTTTGTAGGTCTCTAAGGACTTGCTTTATGAATCTGGGTGCTCCTGTATTGGGTGCATATATATTTAGGATAGTTAGCTCTCATTGTTGACTTGATCCCTTTACCATTATGTAATGGCCTTCTTTGTCTCTTTTCATCTTTGTTGGTTTAATATTCCGTTTTCATCAGAGACTAGGATTGCAACCCCTACTTTTTGTTGCTTCCCATTTGCTTGGTAGATCTTCCTCCATCCCTTTATTTTGAGCCTATGTGCATCTCTGCACGTGAGATGGGTCTCCTGAATACAGCACACTGATGGGTCTTGACTTTTTATCCAAGTTGACAGTCTCTGTATTTTAATTGGGGCATTTAGCCCATTTACATTTAAGGTTAATATTGTTATGTTTGAATTTGATCTTGCCATTATGATGTTAGCTGGTTATTTTGCCCATTAATTGATGCAGTTTCTTCATAGTATCAATGGTCTTTACAATTTGGCATGTTTTTGCACTGGCTGGTACCGGTTTTTCCTTTCCATGTTTAGTGCTTCCTTCAGGAGCTCTTGTAAGGCACGTCTGGTGGTGACAAAATCTGTCAGCATTTGCTTGTCTGTAAAGGATTTTATTTCTCCTTCCCTTAAGAAGGTTAGTGTGGCTGGATATGAAATTCTTGGTTGAAAATTCTTTTCTTTAAGGATGTTGAATATTGGCCCCCACTCTCTTCTGGCTTGTAGGGTTTCTGTAGATATATCCACTGTTAGTCTGATGGGTTTCCTTTTGTGGGTAACCCGACTTTTCTCTCTGGCTTTGCTTAACATTTTTTCCTTCATTTCAACCTTGGTGAATCTGACAATTATGTGTCTTGGGTTTGCTCTTCTCGAGGAGTAGCTTTGTGGTGTTCTGTGTTTTTCCTGAATTTGAATGTTGGCCTGCCTTGCTATGTTGGGGAAGTTCTTCTGGCTTATAATCCTGAATAGTGTTTTCCAACTTGGTTCCATTCTCCCCGTCACTTTCAGGTACACCAATCAAACATAGGTTTGGTCTTTTCACATAGTCCCATATTTCTTGGAGGCTTTGTCTGTTTCTTTTTACTCTTTTTTCTCTAAACTTGTCTTCTTGCTTTATTTCATTAATTTGATCTTCAATCACTGATACCATTTCTTCTACTTGATTGAATCGGCTATTGAAGCTTGTGCATCCATCACGAAGTTCTTGTGCCATGGTTTTCAGCTCCATCAGGTCATTTAAGGTCTTCTCTACACTGTTTATTCTAGTTGGCCATTCGTCTAACCTTTTTCTCAAGGTTTTTTGCTTCCTTCCAATGGGCTAGAACATTCTCCTTTAGGTCAGAAAAGTTTGTTATTACTGACCTTCTGAAGGCTACTTTTGTCAACTCGTCAAAGTCATTCTCCATACAGCTTTGTTCCATTGCTGGCGAGGAGTTGCGATCCTTTGGAGGAGAAAAGGCACTCTTGTTTTTAGAATTTTCAGCTTTTCTGCTCTGGTTTCTCACCGTCTTTGTGGTTTTATCTACCTTTGGTCTTTTTTTTTATGCAAGAGCAATTTAAAAAAATTAAATATTTATTTGAATAACAAGTTTAAGTTCGAGCTGCAATGTTGGCAATGCAGGTTTTTAACACAGATCACAAAAAGCATGCACAAAAAAGTACTGGCGCAAAGGACAAAATAGTGCTAAGAATTAGGCCAAATAGCTACTGATTTTAAGAAAATAAAAGGCCTGAAATCACTATACAAAATATAAAATGTATTAAACACTACCATCCACAGAACAGTCTTTATTATTCATTATATTTAAAAATTATTTGCATAATTATATATTGAATTGTAAATGAGTATTATACATGAACCTCCATTTGGAAGGCAATTCCTTGTAGCACTATAGAACATCTAATTACATTGCAAAAAGTATCCTTTTTTGCTATCGATAAAACAGTTAATCGTATTACTGTAAATATCAGGAAGGCTACAAAAAAAGATATAAGATTTTTTTGTCTTCAAAATGTTTTCCATGCAGTGAAGCACTTGCTGTGTTGAACTGAATGCACTACTGGAGAATGTTCTGGATCCGAGATGCTCTTGAGAGACAAGACTAGGCTTTTCAAATCAAACACTCAAAGGAATCATGCAACCCTCTTATGACTGGGATACCATCATGTGCCACTTACCAATGCTGTCTCTCCAGAAAACCATTCAAGATGCTTAATAAAAAAATCAGACTTACTTGATAAATATACATAAAATGAAGACACCAACTGCGATTTGACATGACTACTGGTAATGTCTGTGCTATGTGAAAGCACCTTTAAAAAGAGCCTATGCGGCAAGAGATAAGTGTCTAAAGATTCAAAATGAATCAACAGCATTGGATAACAATATAATTCTCAATTCAGAAGCTGCCTCAAGATTAGGTGCATCTTCAGTTAATGTAACAGGAAAAAAAGGCAGTGGATTTTATTTTATTAATTGTATCCACTTACAAACTGACCTAAGGTCACCCCGATGTGTAGACACAATGAGATTTTTGTTGTTTATAGTCTTTAGTTGAAGTGATAAGGGAAATAGATCTATTTAAAAACAAAACCAAACAGCTATTTCTGTCTAGATTAAGATGTGGCCCCGGGTGTGAGATTCACATTTTGAGTGGCCACTTGTGGTGCAACCTTGATGATCTGGGGTTTGTCTATGATTCTGGCTGTGTGGTTGCCCTTCTCTACAATCCCAATAATCCATGCTTGGTGGCCTTCACTATATTTGGGGGACTTTATCTCTGCACAGAACCGAGCTGCTTGCTGACATGGTAAACAGATCAGAAGGCCGCCTGAGGTCTCCGGGCAGGTCCCATGCATGAGGCTGAACATGTTTCCGCAGGCCTTGCTCACCGCAGCCATCTTGGCCAGCACCAGGAGGTTGTGAATTACAAACGACACCTCGTTCCTCTGCTGCTTGGCTAGGTTCTGCACGTGGCCCAAAATCCCGAAGCCCGTGATGTCAGTGGCCATGTGGGCATTGAACGTGTGCATGAGTCCTGCAGCTGTCCTGTTGAGCCTCACCATGTTCATCATCGCCTCCTGGTTGGCCAGCTCTACATCTTCGGTGACCACTAGCTTAATCTTATTCCATTTCTAAGGAATATCCAGCCACTGGTGCACAGCCACTGCCACCTGTGTCCCCAGGGGTTTTGTCAACACCAGCACGTCCCCTGGCACTGCATTGTCTGGCATGATAAATTCATTGGGCTGGAAGACAGTGGTAGTGACTCCTCCCAGGACAATCCAGGGATTTAGTACTGTTTGGCTGACCATTACAGACATTCCTGCTTCCTCAGCTGCATCTTTAAAACTTTGGATAATCAGAGGCATCACTTTATCCCTTTCCCTGTCGGTCATTTTATTACTGACTCCAAGGAGCATCAGCATATTGTCACATTCTGTGACCCCCATTGCATAGAGGTCACTGAGGACATTGGCACATGCTATCCTGCCCATCATGTAAGGGTCGTCTACGATCGGGTAAATGTAATCTGTGGTTTGAACCAAGGAAAGCCCACCATGCCTCAAAGGAATGGCACAAGTATCCATTCCAATGCGAAGCCTTGGCATAACGGCTCCCAGAAACTGCTCATCTTCTTGGAAGTGGTTCTCCTGTAAAGATTCCAGCAATTTTTGCAAGACATCTTGGGGCACTTTGCAACCTGTGCCCTTCAGTTCAGTGAATCTGGTTAGCCAGAAGCTTTTGTCCAATTCATAACTTTCCAGGTTAAAGGACTCCCGCTTAGACATGGTTCTTGGGCCCCGCTCTCCTCACAGCTCAGCCCCTCCCCTCCCTCTGTGGGTTGGCTGGGTTCTTTATGGATCCACCGGCTGGCTTTGCACCCTCCGCCTCCTCCCAAAAACGGGCTGCGGGCCGCTCCCACAATGCACCGGGCACGGCCGGACTCCCTTAAGCGTCGCCTGAATAAAAATGCCACGCCTGGTGGCAGTAGCAGTGGCAGCCCAGGCCCATGCCTGGGTGCTGCGGGGGCTCACCTGGCTTGGCATAGCCCTGTGGGAGCCAGGCCATGGCACTCATGCCTGCTGGGCATGTGGGGCTACGTTTGGTCTTTGATGTTGGTTATCTACAGATGGGGTTTTTATGTGGATGTCCTTTTTGTTGATATTGATGTTATTTCTTTCTGTTTGCTAGTTTTCCTTCTAACAGTCAGGTCCCTCAGCTGCAGGTCTGTTGGAGTTTTCTGGAGGTCCATCCAGCCCGTTTGCCTGGGTATCACCAGCAGAGGCTGCAGAACAGTAGATATTGCAGAACACCACATATTGCTCCCTGATTTTTCCTCTGGAAGCTTCGTCCCAGAGGGAAGCCGCCTATATGATGTGTCTATTGGCCCCTACTGGGAGGTGTCTCCCAGTTAGGCTACACCGCAGTCAGGGACCCACATGAGGAGGCAGTCTGTCTGTTCTCAGAGCTCAAATGCCATACTGGGAGAACCACTGCTCTCTTCAGTTCTGTCAGACAGGGATGTTTAAGTTTGCAGAAGTTGTCTGCTGCCTTTTGTTTAGCTACGCCCTGCCCACAGAGGTGGATTCTATAAAGGCAGTAGGCCTTGCTGAGCTGTGGTGGGCTCCACCCAGTTTGAGCTTCCCGGACACTTTGTTTACCTAGTAAAGCCTCAGCAATGGCAGGTGCCCCTCCCCCAGCAAGGCTGCAGCCTTGCAGGTCGATCTCAAACTGCTGCACTAGCAGTGAGCAAGGCTCCATGTGTGTGGGACTCACCGAGCCAGGCACGGGAGAGAATCTCCTAGACTGCCGGTTGCTAAGACTGTGGGAAAAATGCAGTATTTGGGTGGGAGTGTCCCGTTTTTCCAGGTACAGTCTGTCACGGCTTCCCTTGGCTAGGAAAGGGAAATTCCCTGACCCCTTGCACTTCCCAGTTAAGGTGATGCCCCACCCTGCTTCGGCTCACCCTCCATGGGCTGCACTCACTGTCCAATCAGGCCCAGTGAGATGAACCAGTTACCTCAGCTGGAAATGCAGAAATCACCCAACTTCTGCATCAATGACACTGGGAGCTGCAGACTGGAGCTGTTCCTATTCGGCCATCTTCAGCCATCGGTCAAATTTGTCATTTTATAAGTATCCCATTCCCACAACAATGAACACACTTCCATGATAACAGCATTAATCATTTATGAGGTTGGTGTCCCATGACCCAAAAACTACCCATCAGGCCCTCAATCCTTTATTGTAGAGTTTTTATATGTGGTTTAAGTTAGGTTGCTTTCAGCTTAAAATAGACTGTTATAACCTTAAGATGTTTTATATAAGCCTGATGGTAACAACAAAAAGAAAAGCTCTAGTAGATACATAAAAGATAAAGAGAAAGAAATAAAAACATACCACTACAAAAAAAATCATTAAAGTATGAAGGAAGACAGCAAGAGAGGAATAAAGTAACAAAGAAACTACAAACATAAAACAATGCTAAAATTGACAATAAAGCCAGCAACGGTGACACATGTCTGTGGTCCCAGCTACTGAGGAGGATGAGGTGTGAGGATTGCTTGAGGTTAATAGTGTGGGGCTGTAGTGTGCTATGATTGTGCCTATTAATAGCTGCTGCAATTCAGCCTGGACAACATAGCAAGACAGTGTTCTCCAAAAATAAATAAATAAAAATTTAAAATGCCAATAGTTTTTTAAATTACTCTCCCACTTGCAAAGACAAAACAATGTGTAGAGATTTACACTATGAACATTTTTTTTTCCCAAGAAGCAACACAGAAACTTAAAAGGAAAAGTGAAAGAAACCACATACCCTTTGAAAGAAGTGTTGGGCTGCAGCCTACACTGTGAGCCAGGCAGAAAACTAAGTCCCAGAATGTGAGAGGGGGATAAACTGCCTCCAGGATACACACTCCCACTGGGAACCCAGCAATTCAGGCCACAGGGGATGAACTTAACTCTACCAGCACTGGAACTTATTTAGTGACTGGTGGGGAGTATATTATAAGTAGCAGAAACAGGACGTGCCTTGCATGCATTTCCATTCTCCAGCAGAGATGGAGGGAAGCCATTCCTGATCCTACCTCACACAGGACCTCACAGAAGTCTGCCAGCTAACTCAAGTAGTGTTCACAGGTTGAGAGAAGCTCCCAACTGAGCTTCATGATATAATCCAGAACCGAGGGGGCAAGTAGGAAGTAAACTGTAGACATGGGTTCAGGAGCTGGTTGTCCCTGCTTTGTGGGCAGACTGGGAAAGATATAGCCCCATAGCTACAGTTTATGTCTCCCTGGGGAAGGCTTATGGCCTAGGGCAGTTTTGAGTTTTGAAGGCAGACTGTCTAGAATCTAGCTAGCTGCTGCTAGCGGAATAATGTTGGTGTGAGGCCTGCTTTGCTAAGTGCATGGGAGCTAGGTGGGGCTTAGCTTACTGCTGCCTGCTAATCTCTATTCCCCATATGGATTCTTCCGTGCAGCAGAGACAGCTGTAGTCTTCCCTGGAACATTAACCTGGTGGCCAGAAAACTATCCTCCAAACCACTAGGGCCACTGCTGGCACTCACATGTGGAGAGCCAGAGTGTTTGACTTGTCTGACCCAGCCCCCACATAGCTTTGCCCCTCCACCTACCCTGGTATCTTAACACAAAGGAAAGAAAATTTTGAGAAGTCTATGGCCCTGCTCATTGCCTGAGATACCAGAGTACCTCCCCTGGGTAATAAAAGGCAAGTACAAATCCCACTGCTACCACAGCAGCTGGTGCTCTTTTGCAAGTGCCACCTCCTGGCTGGAGGCCAACCAACATAGTCCATTACAGCACCTGCAGGCAGAATAACACAGCACCTAGCAAGGAGAAAACTTGGGCATGTTCTAAGCTATCATCATTGCCTGCATCACTCTGGCTAAGTAGGAGGTCCTGAGTCTGTCCATGTGACCAGTTTATTACTATTATAGCTTGCAGTTGAGAAAGCCAACACTCTAAGTCTATTTATAACCAAGGAATCTCACAGAGTCTAT
Source organism: Homo sapiens (assembly GCF_000001405.40). NCBI lineage: Eukaryota > Metazoa > Chordata > Mammalia > Primates > Hominidae > Homo > Homo sapiens. Next base: position 73,766,014 of record NC_000023.11, on the reverse strand, counting down.
ATCACTCCCCTGCCACCCCCATCAGAGCTGATGCTGGTACCCGCTGCTGGGAGACTTTGTATGATGGCTGGGAGAGGTCATATCACTAGATCCCTTGTAGACATTCTCCAGCACCAGCATGGCATATGGAATCCCCACTGAACAGCTAGACTCAGAGGAGCAGCAGCATTCACTGTAATCTGACCCTCAGGGACTCCTGCTCCTGGAAGAAAGCGGGGAGTGAACCCCATCAAGAGAGCACCCTGTTTGACAAAATAATCCAGAAGGCAAGCCTTGAGTCCCTGAACTTTCTGCTTGTGGGAAGTTTCTATCAGCAGAGGCACAAGTGCAGGACTGAGCTCAGTGTGGAAAGTTATGTGGCTCTACCACGATAGTCTGGCAGCCCTGGTACTTGTGAAGGGTCTTGGAGAAGGGGACTTTCTCTTCCCCTTACTTAGCACTGCAGACACAGCTGCAGCTTCTCCCATGGGAACTTAGCATGGGTGAACATGTAAACAGCCTTCCTGAAGCACTTCAGGGTGATAGCATCCCCCAAAAAGGAGTGCCTTGCAGGTTCAGGCTTGCACTAGTAGAGCCACCATCCCTCTCTACATTAAACATAAGCATTCCTGCAGATTAAAAGAGGTACCTGTCTGATCTGAATAGCAGGAACACTGTGTCAGGAGTGTGACTGGGAGGCAGATTGTTTTCTTGCTGGCCTGGCAGGGGAGCAAGATGGCTTTCTTCCTTCTCCCATGAAAGGACCTTGGTGTGTTTCACTGAGAGCTCCCCCAGCCACCTCTGTCAAGGTTGGGTTGTCTGCCCACTACTGGGTATTGTGTTTACCTACCTGCTTTAGCCACAGCCAGTTTTCACCTGTAGACACCATCCCCTACTGCCCTGAAGACTGAACTATTCAACCTAGTAAATAAAATACTGAGAAAAAAATAAATCAATAAAAAAGTACACACCACTGGGGATAAAGAAGTTTCAAATGACCTCTGCTATTTCAACCCTACAGGAGACAGTAAACCTGCTCACACATTGAGAATATTGCTACTACAACCAGCATCTGAGTAAGCAATGACGTAAAGACTCTCTATAACCAAGGAACTCATACCAAATCTTTACCTCCAACACTCAGAGCCAAATTAGGTTACAATAAACTATAATCAGCCAGGTGTGGTGGCTCACACCTGTAATCCTAGCACTTTGGGAGGCTGAGGTGGGTGGATCACAAGATCAGGAGATCAAGACCATCCTGGCTAACATGGTGAAACCCCATCTCTACTAAAAATACAAAAAAATTAGCTGGGCGTGGTGACGAGCGCCTGTAGTCCCAGCTACTCAGGAGGCTAAGGAAGGAGAATGGCATGAACCCAGGAGGTAGAGCTTGCAGTGAGCTGAGATAGCACCACTGCACTCCAGCCTGGGTGACAGAGCGAGACTCCATCTCAAATAAATAAATAAATAAATAATAAACTATAATCATTAAAGTCACACCCTCAAAGGGTAAAAAGGAAATAAAAACCACAGTAGAATTAAAAAGTAATTAGAAGAAATAGTCTACCTAAATGAGATGGAATCAGAAAAATAATTCTGGAAATATGACAAAACAGGTTCTATAGCTCCCCCCAAAGATCATGCTAGCTCTCCAGCAATGGATCCAAACCAAGACAAAAATCTCTGAAATACCAGATAAAGAATTCAAAAGGTTGGTTTTTAAGTTACTCAAGGAGACACAAGAGAAAGGTGGAAGTAAACCTAAAGAAAGTTAAAAAAGTTCAAAATACAAATAAAATTTTTTAAAAGAAATAGATATATTTTTTTAAAAAATCAGAACTTTTGGAAATGGAATATACATTTTGAAAACTACAAAATGCAGTGGATTTAACAATAGACTACACCAAGTAGAAGAAATAATTTCAGAGCTTGAAGACAAGGCTTTTGAATTAACTCAATCAGACAAAAATTAAGAAGGAAGAATATGGGGGGTGGGGCCAAGATGACCAACTAGAAGCAGTGGTGACCGGAGGCTGTCATGGAAAAGATCCAAAACGGTTTGCAAATCTTGCACCAGCAACTGAGGTATCCAGGTTCTGTCATTAGGACTGACAAGGTAGCTGGCATGACCCATGGAAAGGAAGGAAGAGCTGCACAGATTGTCCAACAGCCACTGGGGTAGAATCAGTCTAAGCCTGATGGGTTCCTGGTGGGAGGGGCAGCCATCACCACTGCTGTGGCTGCCTGCTGTCTAAGCCATCTGAGCTCCTTGAAGGAGGGGCAGCAGCCAACACAGCAGCTGCAGGGCCTCCCTGTAGAAACTCCAACTCCAGCCAGGGGCTCAGGGAGAGAATTCTTATCTCCCTGGGCCTGAGCCCCTCGGGGGAAATGTAATCACAGTCTCTGCCAACCAGCAGACTCAGTCTTTCCTCCTGCTACCTGTGAGGAATCTGGGCAGCACAGACGAGTGGGTTTCCCTGCCACGCAGCACACCCCCTCCATTAAGGGAAAGCCAAATGGGTCCTGCTTCCCATTCCACCCAACTGGGTAAGACCCCCCTTTGCAGGGACATGGATGAAGCTGGAAGCCATCATCATTAACAAACTAACACAGGAACAAAAAAACAAACACTGCATGTTCTCACTCATAAGTGGGAGTTGAACAATGAGAATGCAAAGACACAGGGAGGAAAACGACACACACCGGGGCCAGTCAGGGGGTGGGGGGTGAAGGGAACAAGAGCATTAAGACAAATAGCTAATGCATGCAGGGCTCAAAACCTAGGTGACGGGTTGATAGATGCAGCAAATCACCATGGCACACATGTACCTATGTAACAAACCTACACGTTCTGCACTTGTATCCTTAAACTTAAAGTAAAAAAAAAAAAAACAAAAAACCCATAATCCATCACATAAACAGAACTAATGACAAAAACCACATGACAATTTCAGTAGATGCAGAAAAGGCCTTTGATAAAATTCCACATCCCTTCATGTTAAATGCCCTCTCTCACCACTCCTATTCAACATAGTATTGGAAGTTCTGGCCAGGGGAATTAGGCAAGAGAAAGAAATAAAGGGTATCCAAATAGGAGATAGGAAGTCAAATTGTCTCTGTTTGCAGATAACATAATTCTATATTTAGAAAACCCCATCATTGCAGCCCAAAAACTTTAAGCTGATAAGCAACTTCAGCAAAGTCTCAGGATATAAAATCAATGTGCAAAAATCACAAGCATTTCTATAAACCAACATTAGACAAGCAGAGAATCAAATCATGAATGAACTCTTATTCACAATTGCTACAAAGAGAATAAAATACCTAGAAATACAGCTAACAAGGGATGTGAAAGACCTCTTCAAGGAGAACTATGAAACCACTGCTCAAGGAAATAAGAGAAGAAAAAAACAAATGGAAAAGCATTCCATTCTCATGGATAGAAAAAATTGATATCATAAAAATGGCCATACTGCCTAAAGTAATTTACAGATTCAATGTTATTTTCATCAAACTACCATTGACATTCTTCACAGAATTAGAAAAAACTACTTTAAATTTCATATGGAACCAAAAAAGAGCCTGCATAGCCACGACAATCCTAAGCAGAAAGAACAAAGCTGGAGGCATCATGCTACCTGACTTCAAACTATACTGCAAGCCTACAGTAACCAGAACAGCATGGTACCAGTACCAAAATAGACATATAGACCAATGGAAAAAAACAGAAACCTCAGAAATAACACCACACATCTACAACCATCTGATCTTTGACAAACCGAACAAAAGCCATGGGGGAAGGCATTCCTTATTTAATAAGTGGTGCTGGGAAAACTGGCTAGCCATATGCAGAAAACTGAAACTGACCCCTTCCTTCCACCTTGTACAAAAATCAACTCAAGATAGATTAAAGGCTTAAATGTAAAACCCCAAACCATAAAAACCCTAGAAGAAAACCTAGGCAATACCATTCAGGACATAGGCACGGGCAAAGATTTTATGAAGAAATCACCAAAATCAATTGCAATGAAAGCAAAAACTGACAAATGGGACCTAATTAAACTAAAGAGTTACTGCACAGCAAAAGAAACTATCATCAGAGTGAACAGGCAACCTACAAATGGAAGAAAATTTTAGCAATCTACCAATCTGAAAAAGGTCTAGTGGAAGATCCCACTTGAGAGCCCACACAACTGGAATCTACAAGGAACTTAAAGAAATTTACAAGAAAAAAACAAACAAACCCATCAAAAAGTGAGCAAAGGATATGAACAGACACTTTTCAAAAGAAGATATTTATGCAGCCAGCAAACACATGAAAAAAAGCTCAACACCACTGATCATTATAGAAATGCAAATCAAAACTACAATGAGATACCATCTCATGCCCATCAGAATGGCGATTATTAAAAAGTCAAGAAATGACAGATGCTGGTGAGGCTGTGGAGAAATAGAAATGCTTTTACATTATTGGTGGGAATGTAAATTAGTTCAACCATTGTGGAAGACAGTGTGGTGATTTCTCAAGGACCTAGAACCAGAAATACCATTTGACCCAGCAATTCCATTACTGGGTATATACCCAAAGGAATAGAACTCATTCTATTATAAAGATACATGCACACATATTTTTATTGCAGTACTATTCACAATAGGAATGACATAGAACCAACCCAAATGCCCATCAAGGATAGACTGGATAAAGAAAATGTGGGCTGGGTGCGGTGGCTCACTCCTGTAATCCCAGCACTTTGAAAGGCCAAGGTGGGCAGATCATGATGTCAAGACATTGAGACCATCCTGGCCAACACAGTGTAACCGCGTCTCTACTAAAAATACAAAAATTCACCAGGCATGGTGGCGCACACCTGTATTCCCAGCTACTCTGGAGGCTGAGGCAGGAGAATTACTTGAACCTGGGAGGCAGAGGTTGCAGTGAGCCAAGATCATGCCCCTGTACTCCAGCCTGGTGAGAGAGCAAGACTCCATCAAAAAAAAAAAAAAAAAAAAAAAAAAGAAAGAAAGAAAGAAAGAAAGAAAATGTGGTATGTATACACCATGGAATACTATGCAGCCCCCAAAAATATTGAGATCATGTCCTTCGCAGGGACATGGATGAAGCTGGAAGCCATCATCCTTAGGAAACTAACACAGGAGCAGAATACCAAACACCATATGTTTTCACTCATAAGTGGGAGTTGATCAGTAGAACTCATGGACACAGGGAGGGAAACAGCACATACTGGGGCCTGTCAGGTGTGGGTGATGGGAGGGAGAGCACCAGAACAAATAGCTAATGCATGCAGGGCTTAAAACCTAGGTGATGGGTTGATAGGTGCAGCAAACTACCATGGCACACATATACCTATGTAATAAATCTGCATGTCTGCATGTTCTGCACATGTATTCCAGAACTTAAAATAAAAAAAAAGAATCAAAAGAAATGAACAAAGTCTCCAAGAAATGTGAAATTATGTAAAATGGCCAAACATAAAAATCACTGGTGTTCCTGAGGGAGGAAAAAAAAAGAGTTTGGAACATTTATTTGAGGGAATAATTGAAGAAAATTTCTGGGCCTTGCTAGAGGTTTAGACATCCAAATACAAGAAGTTCAAAGAACTCCTGGGAGATTCCTTTCAAAAAGAACATCACTGAAGCATGTAGTCATCAGGCTATCTAAAATCAGAGTGTAGAAAAGAACTCTAAAAGCAGTGAGACAAAAGCATCACATAACCTATAAAGAAAATTCTATTAGATTAACAGCAGACTTCTCAGAAGAAACCTTACAAGCCAGAAGTGATTAAGGTCTTATATTTAGCCCCCTTAAATAGAATAACTGTCAGTCAATAATTTTGTATCCCATAAAACTAAGTTTTATAAATGAAGGAGAAAGAAAGTATTTTTCAGACAAGCAAATACTGAGGAAATTGGTCACTACCAGACCAGACTTACAAGAAATGCTAAAAGGATTTCTACATCTTGAAACCAAAGTTCCATATGTACCAGAATAGAACCTCTTCAAAGCATAAGACTCACAGAGTGTATGAAACAGTACCACAATGAAGAAAACAAAGTATCTCTGGAACAGTATCTTATATCTCAATATTAACATTGAATGTAAATGGCCTAAATGCTTCACTTAAAAAATAAAGATTGGCAGAATGGATAAAAAATGTCACAAACTAAATATTTTCAAAACATTCACCTAATATGTAATGATTCTTATAAACTCACAGTAAAGGAGTAGAAAAAGGTATTGCATGCAAATGGAAATCAAAAGCAAGCAGTAGCAGGTATTCTTATATAAAACAGGCTTTAAAGCAACAACACTAAAACAAGACAAAAAGTCATTATATAATGATAAAAGGATCAATGCAACAAGAAGATATTATAATACCATCTTAAACATATATGCACCTGAAATCAAGATGGAAATTTCAAAATTCTTCAAAGTAAATGATAATAGTAACCCAAGTTATAAAATCCTCTGGGATACAGCAAAAGCAATGCTAAGAGGAAAGTTTATATCACGAAATGCCTACATCAAAAAGTCTGAAAGGTCACAAATTGACAACTTAATGTCACACCACAAGGAATTAGAGAAATAAGAATAAACTGAACCCAAAGCTAGCAGAAGAAAAGAAATAACAAAGATCAAAGCAAAACTAAATGAAATGGGTACAAAAAATACAAAAAATTAATGAAACAAAAGTTCAGTTTCTGAAAAGATAAGCAAAATTGATAGCCCATTAGCTAGAATAACAGAGAAATGAAGAGAGAAAATTCAAATAAGTTCAAGTAGAAATAAAAATGGAGAACATTACAACTAACACCACAGAAATATAAAAGATCATTCAAGACTACTATGAACACCTCTATGCACACAAACTAGAAAATCTAGAGGAAATGGGTAAATTTCTGAAAATATACAACCCTTAGCTTAAATCAGGAAGAAATAATAGAAATTCAGAACAGACCAGCAACAAGCAGTGAGGGTGAATTAGTAATAAAAAAAAATGCCAACAATAAAAAAAGCCTAGGGTCAGATGGATTCACAGCTGAATTCTATCAGATCTTCAAAGAAGAATTGGTACCAATTCTACTGAAACCACTCCAAAAGACTGAGAAAAAGGAAATCCTTCCTAACTCATTCTATGAGGACAGTATCACCCTGATACCAAAGACAGGAAATAACATAATAAAAATGAAAACTACAGACCAATATTCCTGATGAACATAGATGCAAACATCCTCAACAAAATACTAGCAAACTAAATCTAATATCAGGAAGCAGAGGGTCCTTGGTTCTTGTCTTCTTGGAAGAAAGAATTCAACCAAGAGAAAAGCAGTTACAGTTAAGACTAGGAAAGTTTATTTAAAGTGAAAATATACCCTGAATGCTGAGTTAGAGTGGGCTGCTTAAGAATGAGACAGCCCAGATAGGCACGGGGAGGCTCTCTTACGAGAGTCTCACAGGATTATTCATGAATGGTGTGAAGGAGTGTTATTAGCAAGCACGTTTTGGGTGGTCCCCTGGGCATGTCTTATTAGCATCTTAAATCTCGACCTAGGGGTGTGTTTCTTACTATTATAATGAGCAAAATGTTACCTTTAGGGTGACACTGCCAAGTTGAGGTGTGCGTGCTAGCCACTGGGAAAAGTCCCTACTACAGTCATTTCCTGTTACGGATAAGTCTTGGTTGGGGCTGCATAAGCATAACCACAAGTCTAGATGTGGCTATTGGCTTTTTAAAAAATCCTAACTGCTAGGGAAGCATTGATTGCTAGTGGGGCAATGTTTCCAGGGCTTCCTTCCTCCAGGGCTGCCTTTCTTTCTTATGTATATCTGTCTACAAACTCTAACAAATCCAACAGCACATCAAAAAGATAATTCATCATGATCAAGTGGGTTTTATCCCAGGGATGAAGGGATGGTTCAACATATGCAATTCAATAATGTGATTCACCACATAAATAGAATTAAAAACAAAAACCATATGATCATCTCAATAGACTGAGAAAAAGCATTTAATAAAATCCAGGATCCCATTATGATAATAATCCTCAACAAACTGGGCATAGAAGGGACATACCCCAAAATAATAATAGCCATATATGACAAATTTATAGCCAACATCATACTGAATGGGGGAAAAGTTGAAAGCATTCCCTATAAAAACTAGAACAAGACAAGGATATCCACTTGCATTACTTCTATTCAACACAGTACTAGAAGTCCTTGCCAGATTAATCAGGAAAAGGATATAGATTCTTTCTCTTTTCCAATTTGAATGCCCTCTATTTCTGTTTACTGATAATATGATCGCATACCTAGAAAACCCCAAAGACTCCTCCAAAAGACTCCTAGGTATGATAAATAAATTCAGTAAAGTTTTAGGTTACAAAATCAATGTACACAAATAAGTAGCACTGCTATCCACCACCAATGACTAAGCTGAGAGTCAAATAAACAACTCAATCCCTTTTACAATAGCTGCAAAAAAAAAAAAAAAAAAAAAAAACCTCCAGGAATGTACTTAACCAGGAAAGTGAAAGATCTCTACAAAGAGGACTACAAACTACTGCTGAAAGAAACTGTAGATGACACAGGGCTGGGTGCGGTGGCTCACACCTGTAATCCCAGCACTTTGGGAGGCCAAGTCAGGTGGATCACGAGGTCAGGAGATTGAGACCATCCTGGCTAACACGGTGAAACCCCGTCTCTACTAAAAATACAAAACATTAGCCGGGTGTGGTTGCAGGCGCCTGCAGTCCCAGCTACTCAGGAAGCTGAGGCAGGAGAATGGCCTGAACTCGGGAGGTGGAGCTTGCAGTGAGCTGAGATTGCACCATTGCACTCCAGCCTGGGCAACAGAGCGAGACTCCATCTCAAAAAAAAAAAAAAAAAAGAAATTATAGATGACACAAACAAATGGAAATACATTCCATGCTCATGAGTTGGAAGAATCAATATTGTAAAACTGACCACACTGCCTAAAGTAATCTACAGATTTAATGCAATTCCTAACAAAATACCAACATCAATTTTCACAGAATTAGAAAAAACAACCCTAAAATTCACATGGGATCAAAAAAGAGCATGAATAGCCAAAGCAATCCTAGGAAAAAAGAAAAAATCTGGAGGCATCACATTACCTGACTTTAAATTATACTACAAGGTTGTAGTAATAAAAACAGCATGGTACTGGTATAAAAGTAGATATATCAGCCAGTAGAACAGAATAGAGAATGAATACAGAAATAAAGTCAAACAAACACTTACAATCAAGCGATCTTTGACAAAGCATGCAGAAACATAAATTGAGGAAAGAAAACCCTGTTCAATAAATGGTGCTGGGAAAACTGGATAGCTACATGTAGAATAATAAAACTGGTTCTCCATCTTCATATACAAAAACCAACTGAAGATGAGTTAAAGACTTAAATCTAAGACCTGAACCCATAAAAATTCTAGAAGAAATGCTTAGAAAAACTCTTCTGTACATTTACCTGGGCAAATAATTAATGACTAAGACCTCAAAAGCAAATGCAACAAAAACAAAAATAAATAAATGTGACCTAATGAAACTAAAAAGCTTCTGCACAAAGAAATAATCATCACAGTAAACAAACACCCCTCAGAATGGGAGAAAATTTTTACAAACTATGCATCCAACAAAGGACTAATGTGCAGAATCTACAAGGAACTCAAATCAGCAAGAAGAAAACAAATAATCCCATCAAAAAGTGAAAAAATGACATGAGTAGATACTTCTCAAAAAATACAAATGGCCAACAAATATATGAAAAAAAATTCTCAATACCATTAATCATCAGGAAATGCAAACTAAAACCACAATGAGATACCACCTAACTTTAGCCAGAAAGGCCATTATTAAAAATTCAATAAGTTGACATGGATGTGGTGAAAAGGGAACACTTATACACTGCTGGTAGGAATGTAAATTAGTACAACCTCTATGGAAAACAGGGTGGAGTTTTCTCAAAAAACTAAAAGCAGATCTACCATTTGAGCCAGCAATCACACTGCTAGTTATCTACCCAAAGGAAAATAAGCCATTATACCAAAAAGATACCTGCATGTGTATGTTTATCACAGCACAATTTACAATTGCAAAGATATGAAAACAACCTATGTGCCTAAGCCAATTAGTAGATGAGGAGGATGTGGTATATATACACCATGGAATACTACACAGCCATAAAAAATGAAATAATGTATTTTGCAGCCACTTAGATGGAGCTGGAGGCCATTATTCAAAGTAATTCAGTAGTAGAAAACCAAATACCATACGTTCTCACTTACAAGTGGGAGCTAAAGTATGGGTATACAAATGCATACCGAGTGGCACAGTGGACATTGGAGACTCAGAAGAAGGGAGAGTGGGAGGGGAGTGAAGGATAAAAAACTACATATTGTACAATGTACACTACTTGGGTGATAGTTGCACTAGACTCTTGACTTCACCACTATACAATTCATTCCTGTAACCAAAAACCACTCGTACCACAAAAGCTACTAAAATAAAAGTAAAAACAGAACTGACAATAGTAAGTCCCTGCCTATCAACAAATACTTTGATTAAATTCTCCAATCAAAAGACAGTGGCTGAATGGATTTTTAAGAATATCTAAAAATATGCTGCCAACAAGAACATTATCTTTAATGACACACAATGGCTGAAAATGAAGGAATAAAAAAAGATATTTCAAGCAAATGGTAACCAAAGGAGAGTATTAGACAAAAACAGACTTTTAGTCAGAATCTGTCACGAGAGACAAAGAAGGTTACTGTATAGTAAAAAGAGGGTCAATTCATTAAGAGAAAACCACAACTATAAATACATATGTACCCAACATCACAGCATTTAAATATATGAAGCAAATATTAAATAAGGGGGGAAATATACAGCAATACAAAAATAGCAGGAGACTTCAATTCTCCACTTTTAGCAATAGATAGATCATCATACAGAAAGTCAATAATGAAACAGCAGATTTGAATAACACTACAGACCAAATGGACCTAACAGACATAAAGAATATTCCATTCTTTTCAAGTGCATATAGAACATTTTCCAGGAGATCACGTGTTAGGCCACAAAATAAGTCTTAACAAATCTAAAATTGAAATTATATCTTTGCATCAACAATGGCATAAAATTAGAAGTCAGTAACAGGAGAAATTTTAGAAAATTCACTAATATGTGAAAATTAAACAGCATAGTCCTGAATAACTATGTTGCCAAACCTAATGAGCCAAACATAAAACAAATGAGCCAAACATAAAACAAAAGGGAGTTAAAAAAATAACTTGAGACAATGGAAATGAAAATAAACATTTCAAAACTTATGGGATGCAGCAAAAACAGTTCTAAAAGGGAAGTTTATAGCAACAAACCCCTACCTTGAGAGAAAAGAGAGATCACAAATAAATGACCTAAATTTACACCCCAAAGAACTAAAAAAAGAAGAACAATCTAAGTCCAAGGATAGCAGAAAAAGTAAACAACAGAGATCAAAGCAAAAATAAATAAAATAGACGCTAAAAAGACAATAGAATAGATCAATACCACTAATAGTGGATTTTTTGAAAAGAAATACAAAACTGACAAATCTTTAGCTAGACTAAGAGAAGAGTTAAATAAATAAAATTAGAAATGAAAGAGAAGACATTACAACTGATACCCTACAAAACAAATGATCTTAAGCTATAATGAACGATTATATACCACAAATTAGATAACCTAGACTAAACAGATAAATTCCTAGAAACATACAACTTACCACAAATGAATCAGGAAGAAGTGAAAAATCTGTATAGACCAATAGCAAGTAGGGAGATCAAAGCCCTAGTCAGAAACCTCCCAACAAGAAAATCCCCAGAACCAGATGGATTTACAGGTGAGTTCTATCAAGCATTTAAAAAAAGAATAAACAATAATTCTTCTCAAACTCCCCAAAAATTTCAAGAAGAAGTAACATTTTTAATCTCATTTTATCTCATTTTATGAGGCCAGTATTACCCTCATACTAAAGCCAAATTAGGATACGTTAAAGGAAAATGTAACTACAAGCCAATATTCCTGGTAAACATAGAGCAAAAATCCTCAACAAAATACTAAACACCAAATTAAACAGCATATAAAAAGAATCATACGCCATGACCAAGTGTAATTCATCCTTGTGATATGAGGATGGATCAACCTATGCAAATCAATAAATATGGCATGCCATGTTAAAAAAATGAAAAATAAAAACTATGTGATTATCTAAATAGATGCAGAAAAAGCAGTAAGAAAATTCAACATTCCTTCATAATAAAAAATCTCAATAAAGTGAAGTAGGACTGCACCTCAACATAATAGAGGACAAACATGACAAGCCCTGAGCTAATATCATATTCAACAGTGAACCTTTCACTTTTTCTTCCAAGATCAGAAACAAGACAATGGTACTCACATTTATACTTCTATTCAATATTGTACTGGAAGATATAGCCAGAGCAATTAGCCAAGCAAAAGAAAAAGACATAAAAAGGCACCAGAATCAGAAATGAAGTTAAATTGTCTCTGTTTGTAGGTGACATTACTTTTTTTAAAAATGGAAATCCCCAAAGGGTTTCTGAGGCAGAGCAAGATGGTGAAATACAAACCTTTACTGATCATCCCCCCTACAAGGACACCAAGTTAATCACCATCTACACAGAGAAAAACACCTTCATAAAAACAAAAAATCAGGTGAGCACTCATAGTACCTGGTTTTAACTTCAGAGGCACTGAAGAAATAGACAAAGCAGCCCTGAATTGCCAACGCCTCCCCTCCCCCATCCCTGGCAGCAGCAGCGTGGTGTGGAGAGCACCTCTGAGTGCTGAGGAGAGAGAATACAGCAATTGTGAGGCACTGAACTCAGTGCTCTTTAGTTAGAGAAGAAAGGAAAACCAGATGAAACTCAGCTGATGCCTGCCCATGGAAGGAACATTTAAACCAGCCTTAGCCAGAGGGGATGACCAATTCCAGTGGTCCAAATTTGAGTGCCTACAATCCTTGCCACCACGGTCCCTCTACAGCACTCTGTATCTCCAAGTAAACTTGAAAGGCAATCTAGGCCATAAGGACTGCAACTCTTAGGTGAGTCCTAGTGCTGAACTAGTCTCAGAGACAGTGAACTGGGGAGGTCTCAGAGACAGTGGATTGGGAAGACAATGGATTGACAGTGGATTGTCTCAGTATGCAACACACTGAGACACAAACTGGGGCAGCCAAGAAAGTGCTAGCATTACTCCTCTTCTAACTGAAGGCTACACAGCTCCAAAAGACTCCCCTTCCTTCCACTTGAGGAAGGGAGAGGGATGAGTAGGGAAGACTTTGTCTTGCATCTAGGATACCAGCTCAGCCACAGCAGGATGGCCACTAGTCAGAGTCATGAGGCCCCTGTTTCAGGCTGTAGCTACCAGACAACATTTCTAGACACACCCTGCACCAGAAGGGAACCCACTGCTTTGTAGGAAAGGACAGTGCTGGCAGCATTCATCACTTGCTAACTGAAGAGCCCTTGGGCTCTGAATAAACAGCAGCAATATCCAGGTACTACATTGAGGACCTTGAGTGAGCCTCTGAGACTTGCTGATGTCAGGTGAAACTCAGCACATTACCAGCTGTGGTGGCTACAGGGCAAAACTCCTGCTTGAGAAAAGCAGAGGGCAAAGTAAGGAGAACTTTGTCTTGCACCTTAAGTACCAACATGGCCACCAAGGGGTAGAGCACAAAGTGGGCTCTTGGAGTCCCTGATTCCAGGACTTGACTCTTGGACAGCATTTCTGGGCCTGCCTTGGGTCAGAGGGGAGCTCACTGCCCTGAAAGGTGAGTCCCAGGCCAGGCAGCATTCCCCAAAATCTGACTTAAGAGCCCTTGGGACTAAAGGAAACATTGGCGGCAGTCTGGCAGTACCCCAGTACCCCTTGTGGGTTGGCATGGTGGTGACTATGGAGTGAGGCTTCTCCGACTTTGGAAAGAGGAGAGAACAGGTAGAAGGACTGTGTCTTGTGGTTTGAGTGCCAGTTCCACCACAATACCATAGCACACCAGGTAGACTTCTGAGGTTTTTGACTCAAGTCCCTGACTTCTGGGCTGCATCTCTGGACACATCTGAGGCCTGGGGGACCTTGTTGCCCTGAAGGGAAAAATACTGGCATGGTGATTGTAGAGTCCCAGGACCTTGAGTAAACATAGGCAGTAGCCAGGGAGTGGTTAAAGAGAGCCTTGGGCAAGACCCAGTTCTGTGCTGGTTTCAGGTCTGACCCAGTGCAGTCATAGTGGTGTTGGCGACAAGGGTGCTTGTATTACTCTACCCCCAGTTTTAGGTGGCTCAGAACAGAGAGTGAGACTCTGTTTGGGAGAAAGTAAGGAAAGAGTACAATAGTCTCTGTTTGGTAATCCAAAGAATTCTCCCAGATCTTGTTCAAGACCATAAAGATGGTCCCTCTACAAGTCTGCAAGAACCACAGGGTTACTGGGCTTGGGGTACCCTCTAAAGCAGATAGAGCTTAGATCACAACACCCAAGTCCTTTCAAATATCTGGAAAACCTCCCCCACCCCCAAAAAAATGGCTTCAAATAAGCCCTGACAGTGGAGACTACAATAAATATCTAGCTCTTTAATGCCCAGACACTCAGGAAAACACCTACCAGCACCAACACATTCCAGGAAAACATGACCTCACCAAATGAACTAACTGAGGCACCAGCGACCCATCCTGGAGAAACAGAGATATGTGACTTCTGAGGTGAGACAGAGAATTCAAAATAGCTGTGTTGAGGAGACTTGAAGAAATTCAATGTAACACAGAGAAGGAATTCAAACTTCTCTTAGGTAAATTTAACAGAGATTAAAATAATTTAAAAGAACCAAGCACAAATTCTGGAGCTGAGAAATGCAGTTGGCATACTGAAGAATGCATCAGAGTCTTTTCATGGCAGAATTGATCAAGCAGAACAAAGAATTAGTGAGCTTAAAGACAAAATATTTAAAAATACACAGTCAGAGGAGACAAAAGAGAAAAGAATTTAAAAAAATAAAGCATACCTACAGTTTCTAGGAAATAGCCCCAAAAGGGCAAATCTAAGTTATTGGCCTTAGAGAGGAGGTAGAGAAAGATAGTTGTAGAAAATGTATTCAAAGGAATAGTGGATAACTTTCTAAACCTACAGAAAAATATATACAAGTACAGGAAGGTTATAGAACATCAAGCAGATTTACCCCCAAAGAAGACTATCTCAAGGCATTTAATAATCAAATTCCAAGGGTCAAAGACAAAGCAAGAATCCTAAAAGCTGCAAGAGAAAAGAAACAGGTAACATACAATGAAGCTCCAGTAAGTTTTGCAGCTTTTCAGTGGAAATTTTACAGGCCAGGAGTGTGGCATGACATTTTTAATGTGCTAAAGGAAAAAAACTTTTTTTTGTTTTTTTGAGATGGAGTCTCGCTCTGTCATCCAGGCTGGAGTACAGTGGCATGATCTTGGCTCACTGTAAACTCCGCCTCTTGGGTTCAAGAGATTCTCCTGCCTCAGCCTCCTGAGTAGCTGGGATTACAGGTGCATGCCACCATGCCTGGATAATTTTTGTATTTTTAATAGAGATGGGGTTTCACCATGTTGGTCAGGCTGGTCTTGAACTCCTGACCTCCTGGCCCACCTACCTCGGCCTCCCAAAGTGCTGGGATTACAGGCATGAACCACCACGCCCATCTGGAAAAAAGCTTTTATCCTGGAATACTATATTCGGTGAAAATATCCTTCAAGCCTTAAGGAGAAATAAAGACTTTCCCAGAGAAATAAAAGCTGAGGGATTTCATCAATGCTGGACCTGTCCTACAGGAAATACTAAAGGGAGTTCTTCAGTCAGAAAGAAAAGGACGTTAATGAGCAATAACCTCTTGAAGGTACAAAACTCTCTGGTAATAGTTAAGTATACAGAAAACACAGAATATTACAATATTGAAAGTGTGGTGTGTAAGCTACTCTTACTCCAAGTAGAAAAACTAAATGATGAGCCAATTAAAAATAATAACTACAAATTTTCAGGACATAATCAGTTCAATAAGATATACATAGAAAAAAAGTTAAAAAGCCAAAGGACAAAATTAAGGCATAAAGTTTTTAAAAGTTTTTTTCCTGTTTGTTTTTCTGTTTATGCAAATTGGGTTAAATTATCAGGTTAAAATAATGAGTTATAAGATAGTAATTGTAAGCCTCATGGTAACCTCAAACCAAATAATGTACAATAAATACAAAAAAAAATAAGAAACTAAATCATATCATCAGAGTAAATCACCTTCACTAGAGGAAAACAGTAAGGAAATAAAGAAGGAAAAGAAGATCAGAAAACAAATAACAAGATGGCAGGAAGAGAAGACCAGAAAACAAATAACAAGATGGCAGGAGTAAGTTCTTACTTATCAATAATAACAGTCAATGTAAATGAACTAAACTCTTCAATCAAATGACATAGACTGGCTAAATGCATGAAAAAACAAGACCCATCGATCTGCTGGTTACAAGAAACAAACTTGACCTATGATGTGATGCACAGACTAAAAATTAAGGCATGGAAAAGGATATTCCATACCAATGGAAACTAAAAAAAGCAGGAATAGCTATGCTTATATCAATCAAAATAGACTTCAAGACAAAAACTATAAGAAGAGTCAAAGAAAGTTACTATATAATAATAAAGAGGTCAATCCAGCAAGAGGATATAGATATTTTAAGTGTATATGCAACCAACACTGGAACACCTAGGTATAGAAATCAAACACTATTAAAGCTAATAGAGAGAGATATACCTCAATAAAATAATTACTAGAGACTTCAACAGCTCTCTTTCAGCAATGGACAGATCTTCTAGAGAGAAAATCAACAAAGAATTCTCAGACTTAGTCTGCACTGTAGACCAAATGGATCTAATATTTATAGAACATTTCATTGCAGAATACACATTCTTTTCCTTAGCACATTTATTATTCTCAAAGACAGACCACATGTTAGGTCACAAAACAAGTCTTAAAACATTGAATAAAAATTAAAATAATATCAAGCATCTTCTCTGACCCAATGAAATAAAACTACAATCAATAACAAGAGAAATTTTGGAAATCATGCATATATATGAAAATTAAACAGTATGCTCCTGAATCACCAGTGGATCAATGAAGAAATCAAGAAGAAAATAAAAATAATTTCTTGAAACAAATGACAATAAAAATACAACATTCCAAAACCTGTGGGATACAGCAAAAGCAGTACTAAGAGGGGATTTACAGCAATAAGTGCCTACATTGAAAAAAGACAAAAACTTAGAATAAAAAATCTAATGATGCATCATAAAGAACTGGAAAAGCAAGAGCAAATGAAACACAAAATTAGAAGAAAAAATAAAGATCAGAGCAGAGAGAAATGAAATTGAATAAAAAAGTACAGAAGATCAATGACAAAAGTTGGTGTTTTGAAAAGTTAAACAAAATGGACAAACCTTTACCCAGACTAAGAAAAAAAAGAAACAACCCAAATAAATAAAGTCAACAATAATAAAGGAATCATTGCAACTGATACTGCAGAAATTCAAAGATCATTAGTGCCCAAACACACCAATAACAAGTAATTATAACAAAGCCATAATAAAATGTCTCCCAGTAAAGAAAAGCATGAGACCTGATGGCTTCACTGCTGAATTCTACCAAACTTTTTTTTTTTTTTAATTTTAAGTTTCAGGCTACATGTGCAGGATGTATGGGTTTGTTACATAGGTAAACCTGTGCCATGGAATTCTACCAAACATTTAAATAACTACTAATACCAATCCTATTCAAACTATTTTGAAAAGTAAAGGAGAAGGGAACACTTCTAAACTCCTTCTATGAGGCCAATATTAATTACCCTGATACCAAAACCAGATAAAGGCATATTAAAAAAAAACTACAAGCCAAAATCTCTGATGATTATTGATGTAAAAATCCTCAACAAAATACTATAAAACAGAATTCAACAATAGATTAGAAAAACCATTCATCATGCCCAAGTGGGATGTGAGAAGGGTTCAACATACACACATCAATCAATGTGATAAATCATACAACAAAATAAAGGATAAAAACCACATAATCATTTCAATGAATGCTGAGAAAGCATTTGATAAAATTCAACATTGCTTCATAATAAAAACCCTAAAAAAAACTGGGGATAGGAGAAACATACCTCAACACAATAAAAGTCATATATGACAGATCCATAGCTAATATCATACCGAATAGGGAAAAAGTAAAAGCCTTTCCTCTAAGATCTGAATACAAGGATGCCCACCGTCACCCCTGTTGTTCAACATAGTACTGAAAGTTTTAGCTAGAGCAATCAGACAGGAGAAAGATATAATGAGAATCCAAATTGGAATGGAAGAAGTCAAGTTATCCTTGTTTGCAGATGATATGATCTTATATTTGGAAAAACCTAAAGACTCCATGAGAAAAATATTACAGCTGATAAACAAATTCAGTAAAGTTTCAGGTTACAAAATTAACATACAAAAACCACTGGAATTTTCATATTCCAATAGTGAACAATCTATAAAAGATATTAAAGAGTAATCCCATTTATAATAGCCATACATAAAACTAAATACCTAGGAATTAACCAAAAAAGTAAAAGATTTCTAGCATTAAAACAATAAAACACTGATGAAAGAAATTGAAGAGGACATAAAAAATATAAAAATATTCCATATTCATTGATGGGAAGAATAAATATTATTAAAGTGCTCAGACTACCCAAAGTGACCTACAGATTCAATGCAATCCCTATAAAAATACCAATAGTATTAATCACAGAAATGGGGAAAAAAGCTCTAAAATTTATA
The DNA here is from genome assembly GCF_000001405.40 of Homo sapiens. Taxonomy (NCBI): domain Eukaryota; kingdom Metazoa; phylum Chordata; class Mammalia; order Primates; family Hominidae; genus Homo; species Homo sapiens. Next base: position 73,747,102 of record NC_000023.11, on the reverse strand, counting down.
TGGAACCACAAAAGACCTAGAATAGCCAAAAGTATCCTAAGCAAAAAGAACAAAACTGGAAGAATCACATTGCCTGACTTCAAATTATATTACAGAGCTATACTAACCCAAACATCATGGTCCTGGCATAAAACAGACACATATAACAATGGAACAAAATAGAGAACCTGGAAACAAATTCACATACCTACAGTGAATTAACTTTTGACAAAGGTGCCAAGGACATACACTGCAGAAAATACAGCCTCTTCAATAAATGGTGCTGGGAAAACTGGATATCCATATGCACAGGAATAAAACTAGACCCCTATCTCTCACTGTATACAAAAACCAATGCAAAATGGATTACAGACTCAAATCTAAAACTTCAGACTATGAAACTACTACAATAAAACATTGGGAAAAATCTCCAGGACATTGGTCAGGGCAAAGATTTCTTAAGCAATACCCCACAAAGATAGGAAACTAAAGCAGAAATAAACAAATGGGATTACATCAAGTTAAAAAACTTGGGCACAGCAAAAGATATAAACAACAAAGTAAAGGGACAATCCACAGAATGGGAGGAAATATTTGCAAACTACCCATCTGACAAGGGATTAATAACCAGAATATATAAGGAGCTCAAACAGCTCTATAGGAAACCATCTGGTAATCTGATCCAAAATGACAAAATACTTGAATAGACATTTCTCAAAAAAAGACATACAAATGGCAAACAGGCATATGAAAAGGAGTTCAACATCACTGACCATTAGAGAAATGAAAATCAAAACCACAATGAAATATTATCTCATCCTACTTTAACTGGGATGAGATAATATCTCATTGTAGATTATCTTCAAAAGACAGGCGATAACAAATGTTGGTGAAGATGTGGAGAAAAGGGAACCCTTGTACACTGTGGGTGGAAATGTAAATTAGTACAATCACTATGAAGAATAGTTTGGAGGTTCCTCAAAAAGCTAAAAATTTACTTACCATATGATCCAGCAATTCCTCTGCTGAGTATATACCCTGAAGAAAGGAAATTAGTATAGCAAAGAGATATCTGCACTCCCATGTTTGTTGCAGCACTGTTTACAATAACTAAAATTTGGAAGCAAGCTAAGTGTCCATTAACAGATAAATGGATAAAGAAAAGGTGGTACATATTCACAATGGAGCATGATTCTGTGATAAAAAGAATGTGATTCAATCACTTGCAACAACATGGATGGAACTGGAGATCATTTTGTTTAACAAAATGAATCAGATACAGAAAGACAAACATCGCATGTTCTCACCTATTTGTGGGATCTGAAAATCAAAACAATTAAACTCATGGACATAGAGAGCAGAAGAATTGTTACCAGAGGCTGGGAAGGGTAGTGGGGGCTGGGGAGTATATTGGGATACTTATTGGGTACAAAAACAGTAAGAAATAATACACCTACTATTTGATAGCACTATAGGGTAACTATAGTCTATAATAACTTAATTGTACATTTTAAACTAACTTAAAGAGTATAATTTGCATTGTTTGTAACTCAAAGGATAAATGCTTGAGGGGATGGATACCACATTCTCCATGATGTGCTTATCTCATATGGCATTCCTGTACCAAAACATCTCATGTATCCCATAAATATATACGTCTACTATGCACCCACGAAAATAAAAAAAGGAAAATGCCAGAGACTCCATCCAAAAACTGTTCCAACTAATAAATAAATCCTGTAAAGTGGAAGAATATAAAAATCAACATACAAAAATCAGTAGTGTTTCATGCACATGTATGTTTACTGCAGCACTGTTCCCAATAGCAAAGACTTGGAATCAACCCAAATGCCCATCAACGATAGACTGGATAAAGAAAATGTGGCACATATACACCATGGAATACTATGCAGCCATAAAAAGAATGAGTCATGTTCTTTGCAGGGACATGGGTGAAGCTGGAAATCATCATTCTCAGCAAACTAACACAGGAACAGAAAACCAAACACTGCATGTTCTCACTCATAAGTGGGAGTTGAGCAATGAGAACACATGAACACAGGGAGGGGAACATCACACACTGGGGTCTGTTGGAAGGTGGGAGGCTAGAGGAGGGATAGTACTAGGAGAAATACCTAATGTAGATGACGGGTTGATGGGTGCAGCAAACCACCATGGCACATGTATACCTATGTAACAAACCTGTATATTCTGCACATGTATCCCAGAACTTAAAGTATAATAGTAATAAAAAATCAGTAGTGTTTCTACACACTACAGTAAACTATTTGAAAAAGAAATTAAGAAAACAATTCAATTTAGGATAGCATCAAAAACAATACTTAGAAATTGAACAAGGAGATGAGAGATATGTACACTGAAAAATATAAAATATTTATGTCAAAAATTAAAGAAGACACATATATATGAAAAGATACCCCATGTTCATGAATTGGAAGAATTAATAAAGTATCCATACTATCCAAAGTGATCTACAGATTTAATGTAATTCCTAACAAAATTCCAATATCATTTTTCAAAAAAATAGCAAAAAATCCTAAAATTAGTATGTAACCACAAAAGTCCCCAAATAGCAAAACCAATCTTGAGCAAAAAGAACAAAGCCGAAGGCATCATACTTCATGATTTCAAACTATATTGCAAAGCTACGTAATCAGAATAGTATCATACTGGCATAAGAACAGACAAATAGACCAATGGAAGAGAATAGTGAGTCCAGTAATGAACTCACATATATATGGTCAACTAATCTTTGACAAGGATGCCAAGAATGCACAATTGGTAAAAGATAGTCTTTTCAATAACTGGTGTTGAGAAACAGCATATCCAGACTCAAAAGGATGTAATTTCACCCTTAGCATATACCATAAGAAAAAATTAACTCAGAACAGATTAAACTTACATGTAAGTTCTGAACAAAAACTTCTAAAAGAAAATATAGAGAAAAAGCTCCTTGACATTGGTCTTGGAATGATTTGTTAAATATGATGGTGAAAACACAGGCAACAACAAAAAAAAACAAGTGGGACTGTATCAAACTAAAAAGTTTCTGCAAAACAACAAAATGAAAAGGCAAACCCCAGAAATAGAGAAAATATTTTCAAGTCAAACATTCCACAAGTGGTTAATGTCTAAATATATAAGGAACTCCTACAAGTCAAAAGTAAAAAAGAAAATCTGATTAAAAAATGATCAGAGGACCTGAATAGATATTTTTCAAAGAGGACATACAAATGGCCAACAAGTATGTAAAAAGGTGCTCAGCATCAATAATCATCAGGTAAATGCAAATTAAAACTGTAATGACATATTACTTCATACCTATTAGGATGGCTATTATCAAAAAGTCAAAAGATAAGTGTTAGTAAGGATGTGGAAAAAAGGAAACCCTTGTACACTGTTGTAGTGAATGTAAGTTGGTACAACCATTATGGAAAAAAGTATGGAGGTTCCTCAAAAAATTTAAAAGAGAATTACCACAGGAGCCAGCAATTCCATTTCTGGATATATATTTAAAGGAAATGAAAGCAGTATATCCAAGAGATATTGTCATCACCATATTCATTGCAGCATTATTCGCAAGATCCAATATATCAATATAATCTAAACGTCCACTGATAAATAAAGAAAATGTGGTATAAAATGAGATACCACTTCACACCAGTCAGAATGGCTATTATTAAAGAGTCAAAAAATAACAGATGATGTCAAGGTTGTGGAGGAAAGGGAACTCTTACACACTGCTAGTGGGAATGTAAATTAGTTCAGCCACTGTGGAAAGCAGTTTGGAGATTTCTCAAAGACTTTAAAACAGAATTACCATTTGACCCAGCAGTCCCATCACTGGATATAGACCCAAAGGAATATAAATTGTAGTGTAAAGACACATGCACATATATGTTCATTGCAGCACTATTCACAATAGCAAACACATGAAATCAACCTAGATGCTTATCAGTGGTGGACTGCATAAAGCAAACGTCATACATATACACCATGGAATACTATGAAGCCATAAAAAATTAAGTGTTTTCTGTAATATGGATGCTGCAAGCGGCCATTATCCTAAGTGAATTAATGCATAAACCAAATACTACACGTTCTCACAACTGAAAGCCAAACACTGAATACACATGGATACTAAGAAGGGCTTGATAGATACTGGGGCCTAATTGAGGGTGGAGAGAGGGAGAAGGGCAAGAATCAAAAAATAACCCATTGGGTACTATGCTCATTACCTGGGTGATAAAATAATCAGACTACTAAACCCCCATGACATGCAAATTATCTAGTAACAAACCTGCACATGTACTCCTTGAACCTAAAATAAAATTTGGAAGAAAAAAATTTAAAAAGTACTTAAACCACCCACCCTCCAAAATAATAAAAAATGTTATTTCCTTTATGAAAAAAAGAAAATGTATATATACAATGGAATAGTATTTAACAATAAAAAAGAAGGAAATCATGCCATTTCTGAAAACATAGAGGAACCTGGAAGACATTATGCTAAGTGAAAGAAGCCAGACTCAGAAAGAAAGAAAAATAGTATACTATCTCATGTATATGTGGGATCTAAAGAAGTAGAGCACATAGAAGCAGAATGTAAAACATAGGTTGCCAGAGGCTGGGAAGTGGAGAAAATGGGGAGATGTTGGCTGATGTGTGCAAATTTATGAGTAAATCTATGAGTAAATTCTGGGGATCTAATGTACAGCATGATGACTATAATTAATAATACTGTATTGCATTCTTGAAATTTGCTAAGAGAGTAGATTGTATTTTCAACATAATAAATGGTAGCTACATGTGGTAATGGATAGTTAATTAATTTCATCTTGACAATCATTTTACAATGTATATCAAATCATCATGTCATATACTTTAAATATATACAATTTTTATTTGTCAAGTGTATCTCAATAAAGCTAGAAAAAAGAAGTATATAAGACAGTATGTCAGATAACCAAATTAGAATCCCGCAAAAAGATCTCTTGCCAGATTTGAATGGGTCCAATTTTACAATATGAAATTTAATATACATGTTTAACATAAAAGCAATTGTACATGTAAAATGGTTAAAAAACTCTATTTAGCATATATACTAATAATTTTACTTGGTAGTAGGATAAATATAAAATATGATTGAATAGGTAGCAGATTTACTTTAGGCTGAATTAACAGAAATATAGTATGTAGAATGAAGCAGGTGACAGTCCTATCTTCTTGTGCTCTGATTAACTCCTGAAGTACTGCATTCATTTCAGAAAGCCACATCTTAAAACATGCCCAAACAAGCTAAAATGTGTTTAGAGAACCAGCATGGTGAGGGGACTCCAAATTAAGTCACATGAGGAAAGGTTGAATAGATTTTGAATATTTGGTATAGCCAGGAGAAGACTCAGGGCTGAAGTCATAGTGGGAAGAAGGACCACTATCTTTACAAGTTTGAAGGTCTATCATGTACAGGCAGCATTAGATTTGTCATACATGGTCCAGAGGAGATGAATTAGAATAAACAGTTAAAAAGTAAAGCTCTTTGCTTGGCATAAGTAGAAAACTTGAAACAGTAGAGCTATTCAAAGATTTAACAGACTTCCATGGGAGGCAATTAATTCCTCATCAATAAAAATATTTAACAACATGCTGGAATATTATAGAAAATTGAAATACAATATGACTTATTAGGTGATCTTTCCTGCAACTAAACCTTAAACATAAGGGTTTGCAGACCTGTGAACATACTCAGGATCCAATTTTTAAAATGGCATATTATAGGGGCATAGTCAGTTTTTTTCTTGGTCCCCAAAATACCTTCAGAAATAGGCAGAGGAGAAAGAAGAGAAAGAGAAAACTCTATGAGTAATTATGTGTCCATCTAGCCACATATTTTTATTTTAAAGCTCTAAAAGCAGGATATATAAAAGATCACAACCAGTAGCTAAATATACATTATAAGTGTACTTGAATTTTCAGTGGACAACACTATCCCAGCATGACACATAAGCAAATATCTTCTTTTTAAAAAAAATTTTTTTTGCTATATTTTAAGTTGTGAGATACATGTGCAGAATGTGCAGGTTTGTTACCTACAAATACACATGCCATGGTGGTTTGCTGTACCCATCAACCCATCATCTATATTAGGTATTTCTCCTAATGCTATCTCTCCCCTAGCCCCCCAGCCTCCAACAGGCCCTCGTGTGTGATGTTTCCCTCCCTGTGTCCATGTTTTCTCATTGTTCAACTCCCACTTGTGAGTGAGAACATGTGGTGTTTGGTTTTCTGTTCCTGTGTTAGTTTTCTGAGAATGATGGTTTCCAGCTTCATCCATGCCCCTGCAAAGGACGTGAACTCATTCTTTTTTATGGCTGCATAGTATTCCATGGTGTATATGTGCCACGTTTTCTTTGTCCAGTCTATCATTGATGGGCATTTGGGTTGATTCCAAGTCTTTGCTATTGTGAACAGTGCTGTAATAAACATACGTGTATGTGTGTCTTTATAGTAGAATGATTTATAATCCCTGGGGTATATACTCAGTAATGGGATGGCTGGGTCAAATGGTATTTCTGATTCTATATCCTTCAGCAATTGCCACACTGTCTTCAACAATAGTTGAACTAATTTACACTCCCACCAACAGTGTAAAAGCATTCCTATTTCTCCACATCCTTGCCAGCATCTGTTGTTTCCTGACTTTTTAATGATCGCCATTCTAATTGGCATGAGATGGTATCTCATTGTGGTTTTGATTTGCATTTCTCTAATGACCAGTGATGATGAGCTTTTCTTCATATGTTTGTTCGCTACATAAATGTTTTCTTTTGAGAAGTGTCTGTTCATATCCTTTGTCCACTTTTTGATGAGGTTGTTTGTTTTTTTCTTGTAAATTTTTTTAAGTTCTTTGTAGATTCTGCATATTAGCCCTTTGTCAGATGGACATATTGCAGAAATTTTCTCCCATTCTGTGGGTTGCCTGTTCACTCTGATGATAGTTTCTTCTGCTGTGCAGAGGCTCTTTAGTTTCATTATATCCCATTTGTCAATTTTGGCTTTTGTTGCTTTTGCTTTTGGTGTTTTAGTCATGAAGTCTTTGCCCATGCCTATGTCCTGAATGGTATTGCCTAAGTTTTCTTCTAGGGTTTTTATGGGTTTAGGTCTAACATTTAAATCTTTAATCCATCTGGAGTTAATTTTTGTATAAGGTGTAAGGAAGGGGTCCAGTTTCAGTTTTCTGCATATGGCTAGCCAGTTTTCCCAACACTATTTATTAAATAGGGAATTTTTTCCCCATTACTTATTTTTGTCAGTTTCATAGAATTAGAAAAAACTACTTTAAATTTTATATGGAACCAAAAATGAGCCCACATAGCTAAGACAGTCCTAAGCAAAAATAACCTAGCTATAGGTATCACACTACCTGACTTCAAATTATACTACAAGGGTACAGTAACCAAAACAGCATGGTGCTGGTGCCAAAACAGATATACAGACAAATGGAACAGAACAGAGGCCTCAGAAATAACACCACACATCTACAACCATCCGATCTTTGACAAATATCTTCTAAATTCTTCCTCTTTTGCCATTTTCTATGCTCTTCAGTTTCCGTTGTCTTTGCATTTATCTGTTCTTCTTGTCCCACTTACACTCTGGCAAATATCTCCATTATCAGCATTGCTAATCCTGTTTTATTGAAGAACATCTTGCAGGAAGGCAAATGATCCTGCATGGCTAGGAAAAAAAATAAACAATATAAGAATAAACACTCTGGAGAGCTGTTTGCCCCAATGCCATATTGTATACAATTCAAAACAGAGACCTTAGTAGTAGTCTATTATTTTAAGGGCAATCCAAACACTAGAACAAAGTAAATGAGTAGTTAATATTGAATTCAATAATACATACAACAGAATGCCAGCTCTCCCTAAAGGGAGATTATGAATCACCAAGACCAAATTCTTTATTTTACAGATGAGGAAATGAAAGCCCAGGGAGATGAATTCATTTTCTCATAATTCTATAGCCAGATGCTTTAGTTTGTTGAGCTGAATAGATATTTTGCTTCAAAGTATTTATGATAGTTAAAGCAAGTTCACTTGATGTCTTTGTTTTGGTTACTGATTACTTTTTAAAAAATGCTTCAGTTTGGAATTTCCAGTTTTTTCCTGTTTTTGGCTCAAGTCACAGGTATTAAGTTTCGATTTCCAATATTATTAATAAAAGTAGGTTTACCAGTGATAACAAAGTGTTTTACCTATGTTGCAATGATAATTCTGAGCCATTCACAGTGGAAAACATGCTTGTCTAGGCAATTGAGGTTGTGCTTCTGCAAAAGGGAATGGTTGCACTTTGAGTCTCCTATCCCCTGCTCTCATTATTAAATAAATAAGCTCTAAGAAAACTCTAAATCTAAAATCTTATTTTCTGCTAGTGTTCCTGGTAGTTCAGTTTACCAGATTTCTAAGGCATTGTACTTCATTCTTTAGAGTTATTAGCAATCTCAGTCCATTTAGTCTTGGGAGGATCCCAGGCTGAAAACTGAGTACAAAACAGAAGCTGGCACCGACCAACTTCCATAAAAAAGGCTGGAAGAACAACATGAGTAATCAAGACCCCAAAGACACCTTTTTTTGGAGGCTTGTTCCAGTAGTACTCTTTTGAGTCAGAAGAAGTTACCAATGTCAGTGAGTAGAGAGAGCAAAGGTTTATTTCTTTTAACAAATGAAGTGTGATAAATTCCTAGCTATTACTCCAAAATGTCCCAGGAAGGGGTACACCTTATGTATGCTTCACCCCAGTATGTAACAAGATAGTTTAGTGCTTGTTGTTCATTTTAATTCAATACAGCTGTCACCACAAAGATGACAATTAACGTGAATACAAGTTTTCATAACTTACCCTCCAATAATAATCTATCCTTCTGCCGACGGATATTATGATCTATAAGTTTATTTTAAAAGCTAATATAAGAACTCAAACCAAAAGAAGAAGCAAAGGAAAGATAAGTGGTTGGAGAACTCATTGAGGTGAACTGCTAGTGTCAAAAAAACCCTATTATGCAGAGCCATGTTCTGTCATTAGGTTGATATCTTTTCTACCAGAATCAGGGACTATTATGAGCAACTATTCACTAATAAACCTAGAGGAAATGAATAAATTCCTGGACACATATAACCTACCAAGAATGAATCAAGAAGAAATAGAAAACGTGAACAGGCCAATAACAGGTAATGAAATCAAAACAACACTAAAAAGTCTCCCCACACCAAAAAAAAAGTCCAGGACTGGATGGGTTCACTGCCCAATTCTACCAAACTTTCAAAGAAGAACTAACACAAATTATCTTAAAACTATTACAAAAAATCGAAGAGGAGGACTTTCTCCCTTACTCATTCTACAAGGTCAGTATTATTTTGATACCAAAACCAGACAAAGACACAAAAAGAAAAGAAAACTACAGTCCAATATCCCTGATGAGCATAGACACAAAAATCTTCAGCAAAATACTGGCAAACCAAATCCAACAGCACATCAAAAAACGTAATACAATATGATCAGTTGATATTTACCCCAGGGATTTAAGGGGTATTTACCCCAGGGATTTAAGTTGATATTTATACCAGGGATTCAATATGTATAAATCAATAAATGTGATACATCATGTCAACAGAATCAAGGACAAAACCCATATGACCATTTCAACAGACACAGAAAAATCAGCTGATAAAATTCAGCAACATTTATAATGAAACTCAACACACTGTTTATAGAAGAGAGGTATCCCCCTCCAAGTAAAGACCAGATATGACAAACCCACAGCTAACGCTGCACTGAATGGGTGAAATCTGAAAGCCTTTCACTAAGGACTAACTGGAACAGGGTGCCCACTTTTACCACTACTATTCAACATAGTACTGGAAGTCTTAACCATAAAATCAGGCAAGAGAAAGAAATAAAAAGCAAACAAATAGGAAAAGAGGAAGTCAAATTGTCCTTCTCTACTAATGACAATATGATCTTGTATCTAGAACAATCCATAGTCTGTTACTGAAATGCCAGGGTCTAGGTCCTGTTAATCACCACACAGAAAGCCAATCACTGAGATAATGACTATTGCCAGGGAAGATGGCTTTTTATTTAGTTGGTATCAATCACGAGAATGGGAGATACATCTCAAATCTGTCTCCTCAACTGACTAAAACTGAATATTCTCATAGTGGGGAAGGAATGTGAAACGGGAACTAGGGAGGGGTATGGAAGGTAATCAAATGAGGGGTCTAGCATCTCACTGTCTGGATGCAGTGATCTGGTGAGCTTCAGTCCCTTGCTTGAGAGATAGTTTCCTGAGGAAAGAACTCACATGAGACAGATATTAAGTTTCAAGTTTTAAGACTGGCGGCGGGGGGGTCAATTTCTATGTTTATTCCAAAAACCCCATAAATATTAGTTCTATAGGACAATTGGGTTGGATTAAGCTACACCTAAAAACTCTTATCTGATTAGTAAATTTGGTAAAGTTAGAGAATACAAAATCAACATACATCAGTAGTGTTTCAAAACAGCAATGATAAACTAGCTGAGAAAGAAATCAAGACTGCATTCCTATTTTCAATAGTTACAAAAATGACATACCTAGGAATAAATTTAACCAAGAAGGTGAAAAATCTCTATAAAGAAAATTACAGAAGACTGATAAAATACATTATAGATGACACAACCAAATAGAAAGCAATTCCATGCTCATGGATTGGAAAAAATAATATCGTTAAAATGACCATACTGCCCAAAGCAATCCATAGATTCAATGCAATTCCTATAAAAATACAAAAGTCATTTTTCATAGAATTAGAAAAAAATCCTAAAATTCCAGTTGAATCACAGAAGACAATGAATAGTCAAAGAAACCCTGAGCAAAACAGTTAAAAGCTGTTGGCATCACACTACTTGACTTCAAAATATATTACAAGGCTATAGTAACCAAAACAGCATAGAATTTATATAAAAACAGACACACAGACCAATGGAACAGAGTAGAGAATGCAGAAACAAAGCAATGCATTTATAGCCAACTGATTTTTGAGAGAAATGTCAAGAAAATGCATAGGGGAAAGGACACCCTCTTCAACAAATGGTGCAGGGAAAATTTATATACATATGCAGAAAAATGAAACTGGACCTCTATCTTTCACCATATACAAAAATAAAATCAAGATATGTTAAAGACTTAAATGTGAGACCCAAAACTATAAAACTCTAGAAGAGACCATGGGCAAAACACTATAGGACATTCGTATAGGCAAAGATTTTATGGCTGAGACCTCAAAAGCACAGTTAACACAAACAAAAATAGAGAAATGGGACTATATTAAACTAAAAAGCTTCTGTACAGCAAAGGAAACAATCGAGAATGAAGAGACAACCTATAGAATTGGAGAAAATATTTGCAAACTATCAATTTAACAAGGGACTAATATCCAGAACAAAACTGGACTTTATCTCACCATATACAAAAATTAACTCAAGATGGATCAAAAACTTAAATTTAAGCCCCAGATTAGATGGATTCACAGCCAAATGCTATGAAATATACAAAGAAGAGCTGGTACCTATACTATGAAATTATTCCTTCCTGAAAAAAAAATAAAAGAGGACCCTAACTCATTCTATGAAGCCAACATCACCCTGATACCAAAATCTGGCAAAGACAATTAAAAAGGAAAACTACTGGCCAATGTCTCTGATGAATATAGATGCAAAAATCCTCAACAAAATACAAGCAAATTGAATCCAACAGCACATCAAAAAGTTAATTCACCAGGATCAAGTAGACTTCATTTCTGGGATGCAAGGTTGGTTCAACATACAAATCAATAAATGTGATTCACCACATAAATAGAACTAAAAACAAAAACCATATGATCATCTCAATAAATGGAAAAAACAATCCAACATATCTTCATGATAAAAAATACCCTCAAGAAACTAGGCATCAAGGGAACATACCTCAAAATAATAAGAGTCATCTATGAGAAACCCATAGCCAATATCATACTGAATAGTCAAAAACTGTAAGCATTCCGCTTGAGAACTGGAGTAAGACTATGATGCCAACTCTCACCACTCCTATTCAACATAGTACTAGATGTCCTGACCAGAGAAATTAGGCAAGAAAAATAAATTAAAAGCATCCAAATAGGAAAAGTGGAATTCAAACTCTTTGTTTGGAGATAATATGATTTTTTACCTAGGAAACCCTATAGACTCTGCCGAAAGGATCTTGGAACTGATAAACAACTTCAGTAAAGTTTCAGGATATGAGATCAAAGTACAAAAATCAGTAGCATTTCTATACACCAATAATGTTCAAGCTGAGAGTGAAATCAAGAACATAATCCCATTTACAATACCCACCAAAATATAAAATACCTAGAAATACATCTAACCAAGGAATTGAAAGATATTTATAAAGAGAACTACAAAACACTGCTGAAAGAAATCAGACATGACACAAACAAATAGAAAAACATTGTATGCTCATGGATTAGAAGAATCAATATCAAAAAAATGATCATGCTGCCCAAAGCAATATATGCATTCAATACAATTCCTATCAAACTGTCAATGTCATTTTTCACAGAATTAGAAAAAATTATTTGAAAATTTGCATGGAACGAAAAAAGAGTCCAAATGACCAAAGCAATCCTAAGTAAAAAGAACATAGCTAGAGGCATAACACTACCTGACTTCAAACCATATTACAAGCCTACAGTAACCAAAACAGCATGGTACTGGTAGAACAGACATATATACCAATGAACAGAATAGAGAACCTGGGAATAAAGCTTCACATCTACAGCCATTTGATGTTTGACAAAGTTGACAAAAATAAGCAATGGGGAAAAGATTCCCTATTTAGTAAATGGTGGTGGGATAGCTGGCTAGCCATATGCAGAAGAATCAAACTGGTTTCCTATGTTTCAACATATACAAAACTTAAATCAATATGGACTAAAGATTTAAATGTAAGACCTCATACTATAAGTAGAAGAAAACCTAGGAAACATCATTCTGAAAATTGGTTTTGGGAAATCATTTATGACTAAGTCCCCAAAAGCAACTGCAACAAAAACAAAAATTGAAAAGTGGGACCTAATTAAACTAAAGAGCTTCTGAACAGCAAAACAAACTATCAACAGAGTAAACAGACAACCTACATAATGGGAGAAAATATTTGTAAGTTATGTATCAACAAAGATCTACTATTCAGAATCTATAAGGAAGTTAAACAATTCAACAAGCAAAAAACAACCCCATTAAAAGTGGGCAAAGGCATGAACACGTATTTCTCCAAAGAAGACGTACAAGTGGCCAATAAACATGAAAAAATGTTCCGTATAACTAATCATCACAGAAGTGCAAAGTCAAGCCACAATGAGGTACCAACTCATACCAGTCAGATGGCTGCTATTAAAAGGTCAAAAAAACGACAGATGCTGACAGGGCTACAGAGTAAAGGGAATACAGATACACTGTTGGTGGGAATGTAAATTAGTTCAGCCACTGTAAAAAGCAGTTCAGAGATTTCTCAAAAGAACTTAAAACAGAACTACCATTTGATCCAGCAATCCTATTTCTGTGTATATATCAAAAATAAAAGAAATCATTCTATCAAAAAGATACTTGCACCCACATGTTCAACACAGCACTATTTACAATAGCAAAGATATCAAATCAATCTAGGTACCCACTAATGGTGGATTGGGCAAAGAAAATGTGGTTCATATGCATGTTCTCACTCTTAAGTGGGAGTTGAACAATGAGAACACATGGACACAGGGAGGGGAACATCGTACACTGGGGCCTGTCAGGGGGGTAGGGAGAAAGGGGAGGGAGAGCATTAGGACAAATACCTAATGCATGCAGGGCTTAAAACCAAGATGATGGGTTGATAGGTGCAGCAAACCACCATGGCACATGTACACCTATGCAACAAACCTGCACGTTCAGCACATGTATCCCAGAACTTAAAGTTAAGTAAAAAATAGAAAAATAAAAAATAAAAAACCAAAAACTAATTTGTGATGATAGATCATTATGATTTTTAGCATTTAAAAAATTGAGTGATACTCATGAAAAAGAAATAAAACTTCCTTCCATTTCTCTCCAAAAAAGAAAAAAGAAAATGTGGTACATATACACCATGGAATACTATGCAGCCATAAAAAGAACAAAATTATGTCATTTGCAGCAACATGGATATAGCTGGAGGCCATTATTCTAAGAGAATTAATGCAGCAACAGAAAACCAAATACAACTTGTTCTCATTTATAAGTTAAACATTAGGTACTCATGGATATAAAGATGGCAACAATTGAAACTGGACTCTTAGAGTGGGGAGGAAGAGAGGGGGTCACAGGTTGAAAAACTATTGCATACTATGCTCAGTACCTGGGTGATGGGATAATTCTTACCCTAAACCTCAGCATCATGCAATATACCCTGGTAACAGACCTGCACATGTACTCCTGAACCTATAATAAAAGTTAAAAATAAAATAACTAAAAAGTGGCCACATTTGGCCAAAGGACATTAAGGGACATTTCTCAAAAGAAGATATACAAGTGGCCAATGAGCATATGAATAAATGCTCATCACCACTAATCAGAGAAATACAAATCAAAACCACCATGAGATACCATGCCACACCAGTCAGAATGGCTATGACTATTATTTACAGACAAGGTCTTACTCTGTTACCCAAGTTGGAGTGCAGTGACATGGTCAGAGCTCACTGTAACCTCAAACTCCTGAGCTCAAGTGATTCTCCCACCTCAGCCTCCTGAGTAGCTAAGACTACAGGTGTGTGCCACCATGCCTGGCTATTTTTTTTAAGTAGAGACAGGTTCTTGCTATGTTGCCCAGACTGATCTCAAACTCCTGGCCTCAAATGATACTCCTGCCTCAGCTTCTCAAAGCACTTGGATTACAGGCATGAGGCACCATGCCAGGTCCAGAATACTATTATTAACAAGTTTAAAAATAACAGATGTTGACAAGGATGCAGAGAAAAGAGAATGCTTATACATTGTTGATGGTAACATAAATTAATATTTCATCTATGGAAAATAGTATGGAGATTTCTCAGAGAACTAAAAATATGACTCCCATTTGACTCAGCAATGCCACTACGGGGTATCTACCCAAAAGAAAAGAAATTGTTATAACAAAAAGACACCTGCACTCATATGTTTATCACAGCACTATTTGCAATAGCAAAGTAATTGAATCAACCTAAGTGTCCATCAGTGGATGACTGGATAAAGAAAATGTGAGGGGTGTGTGTGTGTGTGTGTGTGTGTGTGTGTGTGTGTGTACACCACCGCAATACTATGCAATCATTAAAAGGAATGAGATTATGTCTTTTGCAACAACATGGATGGAACTGTAGGCCATTATCTTAGGTGAAATAACTTGAAAACAGAAAACTAAATACAGTGTATTCTCACTTATAAGTGGGAGCTAAACAAGGTGTACACATAGACAAAGAAGAAAATAACAGACACTAGGGACTCCAAAAGGGGCAAGGGTTGGAGGGTGATAAGTGTTGAAAAATTACCTGTTAGGCACAATGTTCACTAGTCAGGTGATGGATACACTAGAAGCCCAAATTTTACCACTACACAATATATCCATGTAACAAAACTGAAAATGTACCCTCTGAATCCTTACAAATAAATTAAATAAATAAATAAGAAAAAGTGGTATATACACACAATGGAATACTATCAGGCCACAAAAATTAATAAAATCATGTCATTTGCAGCAACATGGATAAACGTGGAAGACATTATGTTAAGTGAAATAAACCAGACACAAAAAGACAAATATTGCATGTTCTTACTTATTTGTGGGAGCTAAAACTGTTGATCTCATGCAGATAGAAAATAGAATGATAAATACCAGAGGCTGGCAAGTAGGTGTACATGGGAGGGAGGGATGAAGTGAGGTTGGTTAATAGGTACAAACATACAGTTAGATAGAAGGAATAAGTTCTAAAGTATGATAGCAGAGTAGGGTGAATGTAGTTATCAACAATGTATTGTATATTTCTAAGTAACTAGATGAGAGGGCTTGAAATACTCCAAACATATAGATAGAAATTATAAATATTCAAAGAGATGGATACCCCAAATATCCCAACTTGAGCATTAAACATTCTATGCATGTAACAAATACTCACATGTACCCCATAAATATGTAAAATATTATGTATCAATTTAAAACGCCAGCCAGGTGTGGTTCATGCTTGTAATCCCAGAATTTTGGGACGCTGAGCTGGGAGGACTGTTTGAGGCTAGGAGTTTGAGACCAGCTTAGGCAACATAGCAAGACCTATCTCTACAAAAAAATTGAAAAAATTTAGCAAGACCCTGTTTAAAAAATACACCTAGGACAAAAAATAGAGATCCAAATGCAAACAAAATTTGTGTATTTAATATCTTAGAGGTCAAAGTGCTTTGCAGACATTTATTATTGCATGTTTCAGAAAGGAAAGAATCAGGATTGTGCATTAATCCTGATTTTATGGAAGGTGAGACTGTGATATGGGAAGGTTAAACACCACTTTCCCATGGTAGTAAAAATAATCCAATGTATGTTTTAAATGCTTCCATTTATAGGGCTTGTTTGTCAGATAGTTCCTTAAATTTGTTCAGTAAACAATATCGGATACTCTACCTAGGAGGGGAGAAGTAGAAAGGGTATCCTGAGTTCATTTCACACTGGAAAAACCTAATTTCCTCTAACATGTCCCCAACCTTTCAATGTAAACTTATCTAAATGAAATACCAGAGTGGTTTCAACCCTCAGGAATGGAATCCACACCTCAGCCACTTCAGCTCTTACCTCTAGAAGGAAGAATCCACCTGCAGTCACAGGGATTAGTATGAAATTCCTATTCATCTCAAGGTTTAGAAGGCTGTATTGTTCATCATTCTGGGTCTCTTCAGTTAAAGGGAACTCCTGATTCAATTCAACAGTTTCTGAGAAACTAGGGAGCCTAGTTTAGCAGATAGGCAAATAACTTACAAGTCAAGGGAGAGGTAGTATGACAAGCAAAAGTTCTGAGGAGATAAGAGGTGGTTTCCCCTTTGCTCATGGGAAAATATATATATATATAATCTATGTATCTATATATAATCTATCTATCTCTCTATATATAATCTATCTCTCTCTATATAATCTATCATCTATCTATCATCTATCTATCTATCTATCTATCTATCTATCTATCTATCTATCTCTATCTAGAGAGAATGAATGAATCTGAGTATCACTGAACCCATGACCAGGGAAGGTCTAATTCTCCCTCACATTACCAATAAGAATGTATGTACTTACCTCTGTAAAGCCACTCAGTGTTCATCTTCCAGCTTCAAGTCGCCCCTTGCATTGCACTCTGCTTCAGTTGACTCTGGTTCCTGCTCTCTAGACAGCTCTGGGTTTAGGCCTCTGGATCTGCGGACAGGATATGGGTAGGCATGCTGTAGGAACTAATCATTAATTGTAACTGTTGTAGCAGCCACAATAACTAGCCAAGAAGGAGAGAAGCAGACAAGCAATGAGTGAGGGATGCTAGAGTCTAGGGTTGGGTAGAGATGAATGGTAGCAGAGGTGAGGTCACGTAGAGTGGGAGGAGGGAGATAATGGCAGTTCAGTGGCCTGGCCACTGGCTGGCAGAGAACTAGCACAGACTTTGGCTAGAGCATAAGCTTTTGTCACAGGCCTTCTCCGAGTCTTCTAAAAATAAAAACGTGTATGTGTGTGTGAGAGAGAGATGGAGAGGTGAGGTGGAGATTGTGAGTTTCAGTTGGGGAGGGGTTATCTAGGATGAGAGGATGTATACATTTATAGAGCCGTAAGGGCTTACTGTCTTTGGAGGGCCTAGAAAACACTGGCACCTAGGTTCTCCACTAGGGTGGAAGTGCTAAAATAAATGTCGGTGGACCAGCTGATATGTGGTAGGGCAGGTGGTTGACCCTATACTCTTTTTTTCATTGGGTTGCAGGGGGGATGGGGGCGGGTGGTGGCACACAGCCTCTGGGTCAGGTACTGGACCTCCCTCCCTTACAAAGCTGCCAAATCTTTCCAACAGAGCTGGACTCTCCTTCCTGCCCAGCTGCACAGAGATTTAAATAGTTACTTGGTTTCTCAATAGTTCTCCCAGAGGGCTAAAGATTGAGTCCCTTTGTTCTTCTGACAACCTGAATTGTAGACTCATTGAATTGAATGTGCTCTTAGTGACAGTTAAAAGAAAGCGAGAGAACAGTATTTATGCTCATTGGCCTCTCCCTGTTGGAATGCTGCCACAGTTCCCTACCATCCACCAAGCCTGGTGGCTGGGACCTGGGTGCAATGCCTATAGCTCTGCTGCCTGTTCTAACATCTTTAAAGCCCATGCTAATGGCACGGATGTATATTAACTCTGCTAGTTCTTACCCCAGACTCCCTGCCATTTCTTGACAAAGGGGACTTCTGGCCCCCATTATCCTCTCAATTATTGTAGAAGTGTCAACATTACCCAGTGGTCTTCCCTCCAATGCCTGAAATAACACCATCAGCCCTATTTTGTTCTTATTCAGTACCCTGAACATGAACCACTGTACTAAGGGCTGTCACTCCCTTTCTTGACAAAATAGCAGCTCCCTTTTTGGCTTTTGTTCAGGAAAAAATGCCTTTTGCCTTCATACTAACCTCTGGGTCTATATACTGGTGTTGTACCATGTGCAAACATTTTGGAAGGCAGGGACATGCAGGAGAAGGCTGCATATTAGGATTGGGATGAATATTGCTTTCTTATTTATGCTTTTTCCTATTTTGCTAAACATTTAGTTTAAAAAATAACAAAAAAGACAAAGTAGGGAAAAAGGTACCACATTAGGGTACTTTCTTTTTTTTTCCCTTTTTTCTTTTCTTTTTGAGACAGAGTCCCACTCTGTCGCCAAGCTGGGGCCCAGTGGTGCCATCTCGGCTCACTGCAACCTCCGCCTCCCAGGTTCAAGCGATTCTCCTGCCTCAGCCTCCTGAGTTGCTGGGACTGCAGGCGTGCACCACCAGGCCCAGCTAATTTTTGTATTTTTAGTAGAGATGGGGTTTCACGTTGTTGGTCAGGCTGGTCTCGATCTCTTGACCTTGTGATCCACCCTCCTTGGCCTCCCAAAGTGCTGGGATTACAGGCATGAGCCACCACACCTAGCCCACATTAGGGTACTTTCTAGGTTACTTGCTGGGGTTCTTTTTATCCAGTCCAACCTTTGCTTGGAGACAAGAAACAGGCATCTAACTCATTTCAGGTGGATGAGTGTTTCTACAACCATTTTCATTTTAAAATTCTTTAGGAAGTTTCTTATAAGTCTGGGATCTTCTTACCTGTCATCTCACAACCTCCACTCAATGAAGCAATATTTCTGTTTTAAAAGAAAAATACCATCTCCTTTCACAGTTCCTTCCCTTTAAATTACTTCAACAGACTTTCTTTGACCCTAGGTTTCTTTGTGTCCTTCTTAAACGTATGGCAGCACCAACTGCTTGGGTTCTCAATAGGCTTAGGGCTTGTATGTTTTATAAATACTGCCAGCCACAGTGGTAAGGGGGAGGCATTAACATATTAGCTTATGCCATAACTACACTAGACACAAGGGCAATTGAACTGATTCACTATGAGAATCAAACGTTTAGAAGCAGTCAGGATATTTGCTACTCTAATTTAATCTTCACATTTGATGTGTAAGAAAAAGAGGGAAATGGATCTGTCCCAGGCCACATAGTCTGAACTACTAAAATAACTCAAGTCTCCTGTTTCACAACTCTAGTGCTCTTTTGACCGTATTACTTAAGGGATTTTATAAAATGTAGATATGTCAAGCATTTGGGCACCATTTTGAAATAAGAAAACTAGTCTTTGGCACCATTCTACCCAGGACTTTTACTGGGAGCTTGCCCTATATTCTGGGCTTTTCCTTTTTTCTGCATCTTTCATTAATATGTCTACCCCAGGCCAGATCTTCAGGGCTCTGTGGCTGCTTTCCAAGGTGACAGCAGGTATGTTAACAGCCCACTCTCTCTCTATTCCTGTATTCTGGTAACAGTGTCATAGCTTAGAAGAATGATTAGCAGAATAAACTTCAGGCACTGTGAAAGATCAGCAAGAAGGATGTTTAGGGATGGTGAGATTCTGCGATGGTTCTCAAATCATACTATGTTAGTGGTATTTTAAGATTATACATTTGGCCAGGTGCGGCGGCTGACTCCAGTAATCCCAGCACTTTGGGAGGCCAAGGTGAGTGGATCACCTGAGGTCAGGAGTTCGAGACCAGCCTGGCCAACATGGCAAAACCACATCTCTACTAAAAATACAAAAATTAGCTGGGCATGGTGACGAGCGCAGGTAATCTCAGCTATTTAGGAGGCTGAGGCAGGAGAATTGCTTGAATCCAGGAGGTGGAGGTTGCAGTGAGCTGAGATCGCATCATTGCACTCCAACCTGGGCAACAGCAGCAAAACTCCATCTCAGAAAAAAAAAAAAAGCTTATACATTAATGGCCAGAACTTACAATGTTGTAGAAAATGGAAAAATATCTTTACTGTTGATAGAAGCACATCATTTTCCAAGCTTATCAGCCTCTCTAAGTCTAGAGGCATGTAAAGAATGAAAAATGATGCAGACTGCACAGCAGGTTTGGAACACCTCATGGACTTATAGGCAAGTCACTTGATCTTATATACCTTGCTTTCTTCATTATGGTTGATATGGTTTGTCTCTGTGTCCCTACCCAAATATTATCTCAAATTGTAATCCCCACATATTTAGGGAGGGACTTGGTGGGAGGTGATTGGATTATGGGGACAGGTTACCCCATGCTGTTTTCATGATGTTTCATGAGGGAGTTCTCATGAGAGCTGATGGCTACACAAGTGTTTGGCAGTTCCTTCTTTGCTCTCTCTCTCTGCTGCTGCCTTGTGAAGATGTTCCTCACTCCCCCTTCACCTTCTGCCATGATTGTAACTTTACTGAGGCCTCCCCAGCCATGCAAAACTGTGAGTCAATTAAACCTCCTTTGTTTATAAATTATCCAGTCTCAGTATCTTTATAGCAGTGTAAGAATGGACTAATACAGAGAATTGGTACCTGCAGAGTGGGGTACTGCTATAAAGATAACCTGAAAATGTGGAAGCAACTTTGGAACTGGGTAACAGGCAGAGGTTGGAAAAGTTTGGAGGTCTCAAAAGAAGACAGGAAGAAGTGGGAAAGTTTGGAACTTTCTAGAGACTTGTTGAATGGTTTTGACCAAAATGCTGATGGTGATATTAAAAATGAAGTCCATGCTGAGGTGGTCTCAGATGGAGATGAGGAACTTATTAAGAACTGGAATAAAGGTCACTTATGCTATACTTTAGCGAAGAGACTGGCAGCATTTTGCCTCTGCCATAGATATCTGTGAAAGTTTGAATTGGAGAGAGATGATTTAGGATATCTGGCAAAAGAAATTTCTAAGTAGCAAAGCATTCAAGAGGTGACCTGGCTTATTCTGAAAGTGTTCAATTATATGCATTCACGAAGAGATGGTTTGAAATTGGGACTTATGTTTAAAAAAGCAGCAGAACATAAAGGATTGAAAATTTTGCAGCTTGACCATGTGGTAGAAAAGAAAAACCCATTTTCTAGGGAAGAATTCGAGCTGGCTACAGAAATTTGCATAAGTAACGAAGAGCTGAATGTTTATAGCCAAGACAATGGGGAAACTGTCTCCAGGCCATGTCAGAGACCTTCATGGCAGCCTGTCCCATTACAGGCCTGAAGGCCTAAGAGGGAAAAATGGTTTCATGGGCCAGGCCAAGGACCCTGTTGCTCTGTGCAGCCTTGGAACTTGGTGCCCTGTGTCCCAACTATTCCAGATCCAGTCATGGTTAAAAGGGGCCAACATGCAGCTCAGGATGTTGCTTCAGAGGACACAACCCCAAAGCCTTGGTGGCTTCCATGTGGTGTTGGGCCTGCAGGTCTCCCAGAGATTCTGATTGTTTTGGAGTGGGGCTCATGCATTCATGTTTATTATATTTCTCAAGTAAATATCAAAAGTTGGGTTTGAAAACTACTGGACTATATGTGATTCTATGAGACGACCATTCCCAGAGAAGCAGTTGTAAAGATAAGCTATGTTCAAAAGGATTTGTAAAAGCAGCTCAGGCATGTACAGAGACACAGGAGATTTACTCTGGCCCCAAGATCCCTGGCAAAGGTGACTACAACTCAGGCAAGGCAGGCAGGTCCATACATACCCCTAGGAAGATGGATGAATCCAGGGGGTCAAGCAGTGTTGGTCTGCGGGCCCCACTTCCATGGCACCTCACAAGATAAGACCAACTGGCCCAGAATTCCAGCCAGCCACTGGCAACAGGGTAGCACCTGCCTGAGATGGGATGAAGTCATTGCAGGGAGGGGTAGGTAACCAACTTTGCTGTTTGTATGACTCAGGCGTTCCAGCCTGTGGGTCATGGAGTGTCCAAACAGTTTGGACTCTCAGCTGCTTTACCAATACATGGTCAGACTGCTTCTTTAAGCAGGACCCCAATCCATTCCTTTTCCAGCCAGGGCCTCCAGGCACCCTCACCCATGTTCTATGGATAGAATTCTGATTTCTCCCTGGGACAGAGTACCCAGAGGGTGGGGTGGGCCACCAACTTTGCAGTTTGCACAACTCAGCCATTCTAGCCTGTGGGCTTAGGAGAATCCAAGCTGCCTGGGGCAGAGGTGGTTCACCAGCACAGCACTGCTGTTTTGTTGAGGTGTGGCCAGATTGCTTCTTTAAATGGACCCCAATACATTCCTCCTTGCTGGTTGGTCCTCCCAGCCAGAACCTCTGGCCACCCCCACTTGTGTCCTATAGCCAACAGAGTTCTAATTTCTTCCTGGGATGGAGAGCACCACCTTTGCTCTTTGAGCATCACAGTTGTTCCATCCTGTGGGCCTTGGAAACCCAAACCAATTGGTGGCCGAAGGGATCCCCCAACACAACACAGCCACTCTACCAAAATGCAGCCAGATTGCTTCTTTTTTTTTTTTTTTTTTTTAAGTTCTGGGATACATGTGCAGATTGTACAGGTTTGTCACATAGGTATACATGTGCCATGGTGGTTTGCTGTACCTATGAACCTGTCATCTAGGTTTTAAGCCCCACATGCATTAGGTATTTGTCCTAATGCTCTCCCTCCCATTGCCCCCCACCCCCTGACAGGCCCCGGTGTGTGATGCTCCCCTCCCTGTGCCCATGTGTTCTCATTGTTCAACTCCTACTTATGAGTGAGAACATACAGTGTTTGGTTTTCTGTTCCTGTGTTAGTTTGCTGAGAATAATGGCTTCCAGCTTCATCCATGTCCCTGTACTCATTCTTTTTTATGGCCAAAATGCAGCCAGCCTGCTTCTTTAAGTGGGTCTCTGATCCCCTTCCTGTTGACTGGGTAAGAACTCCCAACCAGTGACTCCAGCCACATTCTACAGGTGTGTTCAGGCAGGCAACAGGTCAGTAGCCCCCTGGGATGAGGTTCCCAGAGGTAGGAGCAGGCTGTTATCTTTGCTGTTTTGCAGTCTTCACTGGTGATGCCTGCAGATACTGGAAAAACTGAGGCAACTAGGCTCTGGAGTGGACCCCCAGCAAACCACAGCAGCCCTAGGGAAGAGTGGTGAGACTGTTACAAGAAAAACAAACAAACCACCAACAACAAAAACAACAAAAGACAAAAAACCCAACCAAAAATCAGCAACTTCAAACTCAAAGGTAGATAAGTTCACAAAGATGAGAAAGCATCAGTGCAAAGACACTCAAAACTCAAAAAGCCACAGAGCCCCCTTACCTCCAAATGACCACAGCACCTCTACAGCAAGAGATCAGAACTGACCTGAGGCTGGGATGGCTGAAATGATAGAAGTAGGCTTCAGAAGGTGAATAAAAATGAGCTTTGCTGAGCTAAAGGAGCATATTGTAAACCAATGCAAAAAAGCTAAGAATCATAATAAAACAATGTAGAAGTTGACAGCCAAAATAGTATAAAGAGAAAAAGAGAACCAACCTGACAGAGCTGAAAAACAAAACACAAGAACCTCACAATGCAATCACAAGTATTAATAGGAGAATAGACCAAGCAGAGTAGAGAATCTCAGAGCTTGAAGACTGTCTTTCTGAAGTAAGCAGGCAGACAACTATAGAGATAAAAGAATAAAAAGGAATAAACAAAACCTCCAAGAAATATGGTATTATGTAAAGAGATGGAATCTACGACTGATTGGGGTACCTGAAAGAGACAGGGAAAATGGAACCAAGTTGGAAAATACACTTCAGGATATAATTCAGGAGAAGTTCCCCAATCTAGCTAGACAGGCCAACATTCAAATTCAGGAAATGAAGAGAGCCACAGTAAGATACTCCATGAGAAGATCTCCCTAAGACACAGAGAATCATCAGGTTCTCCAAGGTCAAAATGAAAGAAAAAATGTTAAGGGCAGCCAGAGAGAAAGGCTAGGTCACATACAAATGAAATTCCATCAAACTAAGGGCAGACTTCTCAGGGAAAACCCTACAAGCCAGAAGAAATTTGGGACCAATATTTAACATTCTTAAAAGAATTTCCAACCCTGAAGTTCATGTCCAGCCAAACTAACCTTCCTAAGTGAAGGAGAAATAAAATCCTTTTAGGACAAGCAGATGCTGAGGGAATTCATCACCACCAGATCTGCCCTGCAGGAAGGAAGCTGTAAATATGGAAAGGAAAAACTGTTACCAGCCATTACAAAAACATACTGAAGTACATAGACCAGTGACACTATGAAGCAACCACATAAACAGGTCTGCAAAACAACCAGCTAACATCATGATGACAGGATTAAATCTACACATAACAACAATAACCTTCAATGTAAATGGACTAATTGCCCCAATTAAAAGACAGAGTGGCAAGTGGGATAAAGAACCAAGACCCACAGGTATGCTGTCTTCAAGAGACCCATCTCATGCAAAAACACACAAAAAATGGAGAAGTGCCTCCCTTTGGACAGATGCTGGCCCAGCCACCCCATGAATCCTCACAGAAAGGCAGATCCCACCACAGCCCCCAGGAAGAAGAAAAACCAGTTGCGCTGTGAGGGAATAGAGATAAAACAATAAAAAGAAATGAACAAAACCTCTGAGAAATATGGGATTATGTACAGAGACCGAATCTAGGACTGATTGAGATACCAAGCAAATAGAAAACACAGAAAAGCAAGTGTTGCAAGCCTAGTTTCTGACAAAACAGACTTTAAACCAACAAAGATAAATAAAGACAAAGAAGGGCATTACATAATGGTAAGGAGTTCAATTCAACAAAAAGAGCTAACTATCCTAAGTAGATATGTACCCAACACAGGAGCACTCAGATTCATAAAGCCAGTTCTTAGAGACCATCAAAGGGATTTGAACAACCACACAATAATAGTGGAAGACTTTAATACCTCACTGACAATATTAGCCCAATCATCGAGATAGAAAATTAACAAAGACATTTAGGACTTTAACTCAGCACTAGATCAAGCAGACCTAACAAACATCTACAGAACTGTCCATCCCAAATCAACCTAACTATGTAAAAATGACTAGCACTCCTGTATATCAACAATAGGCAAGCCAAAAGCCAAATCACGAGTAAACTCTTTCACAATTGCCACAATAAGAATAAAATACCTAGAAATACAGCTTACAAGGGAAGTGACGGACCTCTTCAAAGACGGCTACAAACCACTGCTCAAAGAAATCAGAAATGACACAAACAAGTAGAAAAACATTCCATGCTCATGGATGGATAGGAGAAATAAATATTGTGAAAATGGTCATAGTTCCCAAGGCAATTTACATATTCAATGCTATTCCCATTAAACTACCATTAACATTTATCACAGAATTAAAAAAAAAACTATTTTAAAATTCATGTGGAATCAAAAAAGAGCCTGAATAGCCAAGGCAATTCTAAGCAAAGAGAACAAAGTTGGAGGCATCATACTTCCCAACTTCAAACTTTGCTAAAGGCCTACAGTAACTAAAATAGCATGGTACTGGTACAAAAACAGACACATAAACCCATGGACAGAATAGAGAAACCAGAAATAAGATTGCACACCTACAACCATCTGAACTTCGACAAACCTGACAAAAACAAGCAATGGGAATATGATTCCGTATTCAATAAATGGTGCTGGGAGAACTGGTTAGCCATATGCAGAAAATTGAAACTTGACCCTTCCCTTACACTATATACAAAAATCAACTTAAGATGGATTAAAGACTTAAATCTAAAACCAAAAATCAGCCAGGCATGATAGCTCATCGGCCTGTAATCCCAGCACTTTGGGAGGCCGAGGTGGGTGGATCACCTGAGGTCAGGAGTTTGAGACCAGCCTGGCCAACATGGTGAAACCCTGTCTCTACTGGAAACACAAAAATTAGCTGGACATGGTGGCGCATGCCTGTAATCCCAGCTACTTGGGGGGGCTAAAGTAGGAGATCTCTTGAACCCAGGAGGCAGAGGTTGCAGTGAGCTGAGATCGTGCCATTGCACTCCAGCAAGGGCAACAAGAGTGAAACTCTGTCAAAAACAAACAAACAAACAAACAAACAAACAAAAAACAACAACAACAACACAAATCACAAAGTCTTTAGATGAAAACCTAGGCAATACCATTCTGGATGTAGGCATGGGCAAAGATTTTATGACAAAGCCACTAAAAACAATTGCAATGAACGCAAATATTGACAAATGGGATCTAATTAAATTAAAGAGCTTCTGCACAGCAAAAGAAACTATCAAGAGTGAACAATCTACAGAATGGGGGAAGTTTTTCCATCTATTTATCTGACAAATTTCTAATATCCAGCATCTACAAGGAACTTAAACAAATTTACAAGAAAAAAACCCCATTAAAAAGTGGGCAAAGCATACGAACAGACACCTCTCAAAAGAAGATATACATGCAGCCAACAAACATGAAAAAAGCTCAACATCACTGATCATTAGAGAAATGCAAATCAAAACTACAATGAGATGCCATCTCACACCAGTCATAATGCCTATTATTAAAAAGTCAAAAAATAACAGATGCTGGAGAGATTGTGGAGAAAAAGAAGTGCTTTTACACTGTTGGTGGGAATGTAAATTAGTTCAACCATTGTGGAAGACAGCGTGGCAATTCCTCAGTGATCTAGAGACAGAACTACCATTTGACCCAGCAATCCCATTACTGGGTATGTACCCAAAGGAATAGAAATCATTCTATTATAAAGACACATGCATGTGTATCTTAATTGCAGCAGTATTCACAACAGCAAGGACATGGATCAATGTAAATGCCTATCAATTATAGACTAGATAAAGAAAATGTGGTGCATATACACCATGGCATTATATGCAGCCAGGAACAAGATCATGTCCTTTGCAGGGATATGAATGGAGCTGGAGGCCATTATCCTTAGCAAACTAATGCAGGAACTGAAAACCAAATACTGCCTGTTCTCATTTATAAGTGGGAGTTAATGATGAGAATGCATGGACATATGGAGGGGAGCAACACACACTGGGGCATTTTGGAGATGGGGGATGGCAAGAAGGAGAGGATCAGGAAGAATAGCTTGTGGATTCTGGGCTTAATACCTGGGTGATGGGATGATTTGTGTAGCAAACCACTATGTCACACATTTACCTATTAACAAAACTGCACATTCTGCATGTATACCCTTGAACCTAAAATAAAAGTCAGAAATAAAAAAAGGAAGCATTGGACTTAAATTGGACTTTAGACCAAATGGGCCTAACAGACATTTACAAAACATTGTACCCAACAACTGCAGAATATACATTCTACTCATCAGCATATAGAGCATTCTCCAAGATAGACCATATGTTGGGCCTCAAAACAAGTTTCAATATTTTTTTAAAATGGAAATCACATCAAGTATCTTCTCAAATCAAAGCAGAATTGACCTAGAAATCAATAACAAGAGGAACTCTTGAAACAATAGAAACACATAGAAATTAGACAACATGCTCCTAACTGATCTCTGGGTCCATGACAAAATTAGGGCATACATTAAAAAAATTAAACAAACGGAAATGGAAACACAACATAAACAACATACCAAAACCTCTAAGAGACAGCAAGAGCAGTGCTAAGAGGAAAGTTCATAGCATTAAATGCCTACATAAAAAAATACAAAGATCACAAATTAAAAGCCTAACATAGTACCTCAAGAAAATAGAAAAACATGAAAAAACCGAAGCTAAAGCTAGCAGAAGAAAATAATGATCAGAGCAGAACTAAATAAAACTGAGGCCAATAAAACAATACAAATGATCAATGAAATGAAAAGCTGGTTCTTTGAAAAGACAAATGGAATTGATAAACAGCTAGCTAGACTAACCAAGAAAAGAAAATCTAAAATCATAATCAGAAATGAAAAATAAGACACTACAACTGATGCCTCAGTAATACAAAATATCATCAGAGAGTACTATGAACAACCATATTCTTACAAACTAGGAAACCTAGAGGAAATGGATAAAGTCCTGGAAACACACAACCTCTCAAGATTGTGCCGGGAAAAAATAGAAACTCTGAACAGCCCAATAACAAATAATGAGACTGAATCAATAATTAAAAAAAGTCTCCCAACAAGAACAGAAAAAAAGCCCAGGACACGTGGATTCACAGATGAATTCTACCAAATGTGAAAAGAAGAACTGGTACCGATTTTCCTGAAACAGTTTTAAAAAATGGAGGAGAGAATTCTTCCTCTCATTCTATGAAGCCAGCATCACTCTGATTCTAAAACCAGGCAAAGACACAACAAAAAAAGAAAATCATGGGCCAATATCCCTGATGAAAATAGATGCAAAAATCCTCAAGAAAAAAATACTAGCAAACTGAATCCAGCAACACATCAAAAAGAGAATACTCAAGTGGGTTTTATTCCAGGGATTCAAGGATGGTTCAAATATACAAATCAATAAATGTGATTCATCACACAAACAATTAAGGGTAAAAACATAGGGCCATTAGAATAGATTAGAAAAGACATTTAATAAAATTCAGCCTCCCTTCATGATAAAAACCCTTAGCAAAGTAGGCATAGAAAAAACATACCTCAAAATAATAATGGCCATATACAACAAATGTACAGTCAACATGATACTGAAGGGGAAAAGTTGAAAGCATTCCCCCTAAGACAGGAACAAGATAAGGATGCTCACTTTTACCTCTCCTATTTAAGATTGTACTAGAAATCCTAGCTAGCCAGAGAAATCAGGCAAGAAAAGAAATAAAAGACATCCAAAGTGGAAAAGAAGAAGTCAAATTATCTCTCCTTGCTGATGATGTAAGCTTATATCTAGAAAACCCTCAAGACTCCATCAAAAAACTTCAAAATATACTACACTTACCTAACTTCAAAATATACTACAAGGCTATAGTAACAAACACAGCATGGTACTGGTGTAAAAATAGACACATAGACCAATGGAACAGTTGAGAACTCACAAATAAAGCCACATATGTATGCCAACTGATCTTTGACACAGTTGACAAAACATACACTGGGGAAAGGATACCCTTTTCAATACACAGTTCTGGGAAAATTAGATTTCCATATGCAGAATAGGGACCCAGTGGGAGGTAATTGAATCATGGGGGCTGGTGTTACTTGTGATATTCTTGTGGTCGTGAATAAATCTAATGAGATCTGATGGGTTTATCAGGGGTTTCTGCTTTTGCTTCTTCCTCATTTTCTTTTGCTGCTGCCATGTAAGAAGTGCCTTTAGCCCTCCTCCATGATTGTGAGACCTCCCCAGCCATGTGGAACTGTAAGTCAAAATAAACCTCCTTTTCTTCCCAGTCTCAGGTATGTCTTTATTAGCAGCATGAAAATGGACTAATACAACCTCAAACAATAAAAATACTTGAAGAAAACCTAGGGAAAGTTCTCTTGGACATTGGTCTAGGCAAATAATTCATGATTAAGATCTCAAAAGCACAAGCAACAAAACCAAAAATAGACAAATGGGATTTAAGTAAACTAAAAAACTTCTGCACAGCAAAAGAAATAATCAGAGTGAACATACAACCTACAGAATGGGAAAAAATATTTTTGAACCATTAGTTCAAAATATTAATTGGGACTAATATTCAGGATTTACAAAGAACTCAACAACAACCACAAACCCAATAAGCCCATTAAAAAGTGGGCAAAGAACATGAACAGACATTTCTCAAAAGACATGCAAATGGCCAATAAGCATATGAAAAAAATGTTCAACATTGCTAATCAGAGAAATGCAAATTTAAACCACAATGAGATATCATTTTATGTAGGAGATTGGTCAGGGTGGTGGGAAAAGTTGTAGAAAGATGCAAACCTTCTTCAAAGGCTGGGTGGTTTTACAAGAGCTTTGGAAAAGGATATAGCTAAGGGCAGCCAAATTCTCTTATCCAGTGCCTGAAAGATTAGGTTGGATAACAAGGGGATGTAAAGAAACTGATCTAGAAAAGTTAGTTTACTTAGGCCTCAGAACCTGGCCTTTAATCATTTGCACACAGGACTGCTGTCTTGGGAGGTGGTGGGGGGGGGCAACCATGTTAATTACCCACAAGTGTGTTAACTCAAGGCCTTTGTCATTAAATCTGTACTAAATAAATGCCCACAGTGCCAGCTTGTCAGGGCCACGGCTGCTACAACTCTTTCTGTGAGCGGCCTGGTCCCCTAGCCCACTCTTTCACTGGATATCTGTGTTGGAGTGCATTTGTTCATCCATCGTTCGGCCAGGGTCTGTGGGTCAGACCCAGCAATTTTACATCAGTTAGGATGCCTATTACCAAAAAGTTAAAAAATAACATGTTGGTGAGGATGCAGCAAAAAGAGAACACTTATACACTGTTGGTGGGAATGTAAATTACTACAGCCTCTATGGAGAACAGCATGGAGATTTCTCAAAGAACTAAAACTAGAACTACTATTCGATCCAGCAATTCTACTACTGGGTATCTACCCAGAGGTAATCATTATATAAAAAAGCTACCTGCACTCATATGTTTATCACAGTACTCTTCACTATAACAAAGATATGGAATCAACCTGCTTGTCAACTGATTATTGGATAAAGTAAATGATATATATATATATATATATATATATACACACACACAGAGTGGAATACTATTCAGCCATAAAAAATAATAAAATCATGTCTTTTGGAGCAACATGAATGGAACTGGAGGCCATTATCTTAAGTGTAACAACTCAGAAACAAAATCAAATACCACATGTTCTCACTTATAAAAGAAGGGGCTAAGTAGTGTGATCACAGGGACATAGAATGTAAATTAATAAACACTGGAGACTTGAAATGGTGGGAGTGTGGGAGGGGGAGGGGGATGAGAAATTACTTAATGGGTACAATGTTCATTATTCAGGTGATGCCTACCCTAGAAGTTTAGACTCCACCACTACACGATATATCCATGTAAAAACACTACACTTGTATCTGTTAAGTCTGGACAAATAAAAAATAAAATAATAATAAAGGAACCAATGTTGGAAAGGTTGTCAAGAAGCAGGAACAATTATGAACTGCTATAATGATATAACTAGGCAGTATAAATCTTTATAGAGAGCAGTTTGGCATTATGCATTGAGAGGTCATTAAAAAGTCAGCTTGCTCTTTAACCCAGCAATCTCACTTTTGGAATGTAGCCTAAGGAAACACTTATAAATAAATTAAAAAATATTTGTACAAAATGATTGATATTTTTATTAATGAAAAATTGGGAATTGTCAAAAACCCTACAATGAAAAAATATTTAAATCCTAAAATCATAGAATGCTAAAGCTAGAATCTTTGAGGTCATTTTTTCCAAATACCATTTATTTTCCACCCCTTTTTATTTTTCAGAGGAAGCAACTGAACTCATGTAAACTCTAATATCAACTGGAATGCATATGCTACAGCCAAACTTGATAAAGACTATAAAATGTAAGAAAAGGTATGGATACAATACGGTAGTCACAGCTTTCGATGAAAATGTAATAAAAAGGGGAAAACAAAAATATAGCCTGTGAAAAGTTAAATTTTTAGGCCCACTCTTTGACAGCTATCTGACATCTCTAAATTATCAAACAGTTGGCAACATGCTTCTTGGATAATTTGCCTGATTCAGTGACAATTTGTCCAGAAATAGGCATAGAGAAAGGAGGTGGTCCTGTACTTAAAGTGAAAATAATTCAATGGAAACAGAATAAGAAATACTACATCGAAAATAAGGCAACTTTAGCTTCAGTTCCAACTCTGCCATTAAAACCAAGTCTCTGACTCCACTCTGGGACTGTGCTTTCTTGTTTCTTTTGGAGTAGATGACCTCAAAGATCTTTATTTATAGCCAACATTTTATGTCATCCTATAATATGGTTCCTGGAAGCTTAAAATTAAATTCAAAGAGTTGGTTAGAACATCATGCTCCTAATGCCAAACCACTGCATTTAAATCTTACATGTTCCCCTTGTTCTAGAATCACAAGCTAACCCCTCAACTGTAGGTAGCAATCTCGCAAATATGTTACTTGTCATGGAGAGGCCTGAATGAAAGTGTTTGGGCTACATTCTCAAAACTGGTAAACAATGCCAATATAATACTGCCTGATATTAGGACAGCAAGGCATAATCTGCTTAAAACTATTATGTCAGCTTTCTGGAGGTCAGTTGGAAAGATTTAAAGGGAATAAAAGAGCAAGTTTCCTTTAAAAGCCTACATTTGGAGGAAGAAAACCAAAAGGAAAGGTAAATTAGTTAGTAATCTTTAGTACTACATGCCACTGAGGTTTCACACAAACTTTGGACTTCCCAAGAGGATTGATTAGAGGCTGACAGCTGTAGGAGTTCACTGGATACAGCTCCCCTGAGGGAGAGGATTTCTCCTTTTTCTCCACAGTGCCCTTGTAGCCAGTATGCGTGGAGATGTCCCAGACAACAACAATACCTTCCCCTTCACTTTACAATTTCGAAAGCTCTTCCACATCCATGACTTAATTAGATCCTCACAATAGTCCTGCAAGACAAAGATTATTATATTCTTCCCATTTCATAAACTTATCAAAGACTAAGTAATCTCAAAGCTAGTAAGACGTGGAGACAGAATTTGAATCCACACAATCCAAGTTCAGTGCTTTTTCCACAAACCACTTTTCCTCTACCTCAGATGCAAAGTCTCACTGCAGCTTCCAAAACCCAAGTATTCTTTCTTTTCCTACTCCTTGGTCCATGATCTATTTTCATGCTTATCTTTAGTTCTACTTTACATTCTGTTGTAGCTCAACCAATTAAGAAGTGGAAAAGACCTATTGCATACCTAGAAAACAGAGTGAGATTTTAAAGTAGATTGTGTGTTATAGGCCCAGTTGCTGACATTTCTTGAGGAACTATTCATTTTCACATATTCTAAATCATTGCCCAAGTCATCAAGCCATGTCCCATGGCCAATCTTTTCTGTTAAACAACTAGACAACATGAACATAAATTGTCTCTGTCAGCCATTACTAGTCTGAGGAGGAAATGAAGAACAATCTTTGGGAAACACTCTGATTTATTCAGATCCAATAGCATACATCCCTTCACTTGCCCTATTCTTCTTGGTTAGTCTTGACTAATTCTTCCCTTCATTACAACTTCTGGCACCAGTGTGGGCATGCTATGAGTCATCAATCCATTTTCCTTAATCTTGTGGTATGTGGCATTCTGGTGTCTTTTAACCAGGCATTCTTTCTACCCATTGAGACTTAATTCTTACTTAGAGCCTGGATTATGACAAAGCTCATTAGTCTCAGAAGCCAAACCAACACTAACATGAATCAGGTGAATTCAGTGGGGTAGTCAGTAGAGTTATCATTCCCACTTGCCCACACAAATTTATTTGTTGACTGTTTTCAGCACTTTGAGCAAATGGAAGGTTTAGACAGAGATGAAGAAAAGTCAAGACTTAGAGACAAAAGCCAAACAGAAAGACAAATGAAACTGAAGATTTTATAACATGTTATAATTGATTACTCATTAAGCACCTATAGATTGTCAGATGAATATTAGAGATATCATGGAAAATGGGGCTCAGATGTTTTTCCCTTCAAATATGGATGTTAAGAGTATCAGTTTAAAGGTTCATTTATTTGAAATTTTCTTTCCTTAGCCACCAAAAATAATCAGCCGGAGGAAAAAAGGCCTCTAAAAATCTCCCCAACAACTGAAAGTACCAAGCCTTTGTAATTTTTCACTAACTCCTCTTTCTATTTGGCCCCTGTTATGTACATCCTATTTTAGTTTATTAAACCTTCACTAGTGTGGGTGTGAAAGAAAATGAAATACTTAAGGCTACGGCTTTAGAGTCAGGATACTGTGAGAGGATTGCACACCTACCTGTTAAAAATAAAGCCACAGGATGTTCCAATATATTTGGATAACAACAGACGTCAGTATCCTCCAGTTTTCAACATATCTCAGCTGGGAATACCCTAATTTACCAATCAGAATGGGTTTGCAATTTAGGATTTCTGCCCAGACAGTAAACTGCCTCTGAAAACAACATTTTTTTGTGTGTGTGGAAATCATTCCCATTTAAATAAAGCTTTCCTGTGCTTGTCTCTGGGTGTGTTATTCAGGGTTGCCCTGACTTTGTGTACCTGGGTTGCAATTCTTTGTTTTTCAAATAAATGGTATTTTCTCTGAATTTTGTATCAATATATATTTTAGTTAACATAGCTGGATTACAGAAGTCAGACCTTAAGTGATTTTACCTTCCAGTGGACCTCTGTTTTCTGAAATCAGGTGACGTACCCACAAGAAAGAGCTCCTTATGCTCTCCATCTCTTCGGATTGCTGATATGGTCATTGGTAAGTCCTCTCAGGCCCCATCCTCCTTCCCTTTAGTTGAGGACAATGCCTTTGAGAGTTTGGGAACAGCTGTTCCAATTGTTCTGGCAAAAGCTCTTACCTTGTGCAGGAGTTTTCCTGCTTTTGTCAGAAAATTTCATATTGGTTAGGAGTTCTTCCATTGATGAGTAAAATTAGCATTATAAATATGGGATTCTTTAATTCTAATCTTTGTAATTATTGTCCCCCTTCTGGGATTCAAGATAGTTATATGTTCAAAAATTATGGACTCTCCACATGTGTTTATCTGGAACCATGGACCTTTTACATAAAAGACATTTTGAAATTACAATGGCCAAATTGGTGTTCCTTTGATTTATTTAAACTAGGTTTTCTCTGAACTAAATGGAGAAGACCATGGTTTTAAAACAATAAAACCTAAATGAGGTGCTGATTTTAATTAGATTTAGAAGTGTCCAAACTCATTCAGGACTCTAAAATTGCCTCCCTCCAAAACAAAGTCTCTAAACTCACAAAGGTGAATAAAAAAATTGAAAGAAAGGAAAAGTCCTCAAGGCCCAGGTTTCTTCCCCTTACTCTCATTTTTCTACTTCTCCTGCTCCTCAGTCTCTATATCCTGTACTTGCTGAACTTCTGTTCTTATCATCCCAAAGCTTCCCTTGATTCCCTCATTCTTCTAAACCTATTCAAATTCACCTATTTAAGCTCCATCCAAATAATAATGGCCCTCTCTTAAACATTTCCAAACACCTTGGACAAAAGCTGAACCTAGGCCTATAGTTAAAGAGTTCCCCAAAGTTACTGAGAGCCCTCATGAATTTGCTGAAGAGTTTCAAATTGTTATCCAGTCTTATGAACCTGGTTTCTCTGACCTTTACCAATTAAAGCACATGCTTGTTGGAGAAGGTCAGCCACAACACTGGATGGCAAAAGCAGGTAGGAACAATCATCTAACTGATATCCAACACAATATGCCTCCCAATAGGGGAAATGCCCAAGAAAGAGCCAAAAATTTACATGAAGGCATTCCTTTAGCATTCCCTAAGCCACTAGAATAGAACAGTATTCTGGCTGGTGCTCAAAAGGAAGGTGAGGCAGTACCTGATTATTACAACAGACTTGAAACAGTTTTGAGGAAAACTGGACTCCCTTGGATGTGGAATCTACCAAAGTGGTCTTTAATTCTACGTTTATAAATGGCCTAGCTGAAGAGCTTGTAATTCTAGTTAAATTGGCTCAACTTAATTGGGAAACAATATCCACCTCTGACTTAGTTAACCTGGACAACAAGTTAACCTGAAAAATTTCTATGACCAATAAAGCAAGGGCAAAGAAAATACCCTTTATAATAAAACATGGCAGTCTAATGCCATAAGCCAAACCTTTAAAACTTGTTTTTAGGTTTGGAGGTACATGTGCAGGTTTGTTATATAGGTAAATTGTGTCACGGGGTTTGTTGCACAGATTGTTTCATCATCCAGGTACTAAGCCTAGTACTCAATAGTTATTTTTTTCTGCTCCTCTTTCTCCTCCCACCCTCCACACTCAAGTAGGACCCAGTGTCAGTTGTTCCCTTCTTTGTGTTTATGAGTTCTCATCATTTAGCTTACACTTACAAGTGAGAACATGTGGCATTTGTTTTTTTGTTCCTAAGTTTGCTAAGGATAATAGCCTCCAGCACCATCCATATTCCTGCAAAGAACATGATCTCATCCTTTTCATAAAACCAAATCTTAAATGGGTTTGCCACTACTGCAAAAAGTCTGGACATTGAAAAAAAGTATACAATTAAAACCTGCTAAAAGTCCCCTTAATAAACTGCCCTCTATGTTGCTTATGGACTGACAGTGGTCTGAGAAAACACAGTTGATTTTTCCAAATTTGCCTCTTAATCATTTGGGCAAAATATTCCTAATGACTGAAAAAGAGGTTCTCACTGTCATTACTGGCATTGGAGCAACTCCCTGTGCATAACCTCACCTGCCTCAAGCAGCCCCTTCCTTGGAGTATTGAGAACATTCAAATGGTGGGAGTTTCTAATACACCTATAACAGTTTACAAATCTTTACCCTTGCTTTTTCAATTAAATCTTCGACAGGACAGTCATTCTTTTTTCTAGCTCCTTTGACCCCAGTTAATTTACTCTGAAGGGACTTAAAAATGTCACGCTGCCATTTCCTTTTCCCAAAAGGGGGAGAGTGTTCTTGGAATGGACACAACCCTTACTTTAACTGACAACAGTGAAAATTCCTCAACATCTTTGTCCAATTTTGCCCTTAATCTAAATAACAAAAATGAGAGATTAGCTCTTTTAAAAGAGGTTTTTGAGGACCTTTTGGCTAAATCACAACAGACATTGGATGAATCCATTTGGCTTCCCCACTAAAAAATTCAAATTGACCCAAACAAGCCCCTTCCTAATATCAGACAATACCCCATAAACCCTGAAGCCCTTGCTTTATTGCTTTTTCATTCAATTGGTTTATAATTAAACCAAGTATAGAAGAATATAAAGCCAATCATCTTATAGTGCCTCACACAAGCATCTGCAAAACCCCTATCCTTCCCATAAATAAACCTCATGAATGAGGATGAAGAGTTGTACAAGACCTAAGAGCCACTAATAACATTGTCATTCCTTGATGCTGTCATTTCAAATCCCCATAACTTCCTTACTTCCATCTTCACAGAAAGCAAGTTTTTCACAGTAATAGGTCATGGTAGTGCTTTTCAAAAAAGCATTCTTGTGAACCCTGTGAGTCAATTTTTATTTGCTGTTACATGGGAAGGACAACAATATACCTGGAGAGTAATGCCTATACTGAAAGTCCCTCTTTTCATAGATACTGAAGACAGATTTAACAGACATTTTTTTCCCTCCAAGGATCTTCTTTCTTGCAGTATGCTGATAATCTCCTTCTCTGTCCCCTTCTAAAGGGGTCTGTGAACATGATAGCATTCAAATCCTTAAACTTCTAGCAGACAAAAGCCATAAAAGGTTTCCAGAGAAAAACTCCAATCTATTCAGGCCCATATCAAATATTCAAGACACTAGATATCAAACCAAGGACTTCTCTTGGATCCTGATAAACATTTTAAGCTTTCCTCAGTCTTAGACTAAGAGACAATTACAAGGGGGTTTGGGCCTGGCAGTGTTCTGTCAAAACTGAATACCTAATTTTTCTTTGATAGCTCAACCATTATACACTCTTCTGAAAGTTAGCAAACCGGATTCCCTGGACTGGGAAGAGAATGCTTGTATAGCCTTCTATCAATTCAAAGACTTTCTGAGTTCTGCCTTAGGGCACCCCAATTATGAGCTCCCCTCCTTCCTTTTCATGCATGAAAGAGAAGGACATGCATTAGAGGTCTTTACCCCAAAATGTGGAGATCAATACAGACTCCTTGGCTATTATAGCCAGCAATTAGATTCAGTAGCTAAGGGACTTTCTCCCTGCATGAGAGCTATATGAGCCACTGTGGCTTTGTCTAAATATATGAAAGAAATAGTCATGGGATCACCTCTCACTATCTATGTTCCTCATGCTGTAGAAACTTTACTCAACTCTTATGATACTCAACATCTATCTGCAAGAAGACTCATTTATTCTAAGAAGTTGCTTTTGATTTTTCCTGGTATTATTCTTTCTGACTGCAATAATCTTAATCCAGCAACCCTCCTTCCCCCACCTGATGAAGACACCTCATGACTGTCTAAATTGAATTGACTAGCCACTAAAGCCTAGAGTTGATTTACAAGAAACTCCTGTACCAAACACATAACTTTCATGGTTTACTGATGGATCATATATGATATGTAATGAAGAAAACTATGCTGGAAATTCTATCACTATCCTTTATGAAGTAGTTGAATTAGCCCTGCTCTTGATGGCTACTTTGGCCCAACAAGCAGAATTTATGGCTTAACCAGAGTTTGTGTCCTGGCAAAAGGTAAAACTGCAAACCTTTACACTGGTAGCCATTATGCCTTTGGGATTGTTCATCAGTAGCATGCTTTGGAAATGAAGAGGAATTTTTTTTTCCTCCAAAGGGAATCAAATTAAAAATAAAACTTTTGTCAATAATTTATAAAATTCAACATCCCCCCTGCCTTGGCCATAATTGAAATTTCTGGGCAATAATTTATCCTTTGTGTTACAAAATCCAGTTATACTCTTTTAGTTATTTTAAAATTTACAAGTAATTAAAATTGAAATCTGATGAGGATAAAGGAAACAACTTGGCTGATCATGCAGTAAAAGTGCCTGCCTTGAGTTTTACTAAGACTGAAAACCTTACAGCTAACATTATTTTCCAAAAAAGGATATAAATGATGTTGTTAAACATGGTCAGTCTTGAGTACCACATAAATAAAAATTTATTTGGGCTGATAATGGTTGCATTATTTGCCCAACAAGAGATTTATGGTATGGTTCCAATAATAAATTGGTATTATTAGAATCTATGAAAAAAACCCTACTCAGAATGACACATAAGAGGACTCACTGTTCAACAAGGTTATAAGTTATTTTTTCTTTTTTCTTTTTCTTTTTATTATTATTATTATACTTTAAGTTCTAGGGTACATGTGCGCAATGTGCAGGTTTGATACATAGGTATACATGCGCCATGTTGGTTTGCTGCATCCATCAACTCATCGTTTACATTAAGTATTTCTCCTAATGCTATCCCTCCCCCAGTCCCCACCCTGCAACAAGCCCTGGTGTGTGATGTTCCCCGCCCTGTGTCCAGGTGATCTCATTGTTCAATTCTCACCTATGAGTGAGAACATCTGGTGTTTGGTTTTCTGTCCTTGTGATAGTTTGGTGAGAATGATGGTTTCCAGCTTCATCCATGTCCCTGCAAAGGAGATGAACTCATCATTTTTTATGGCTGCATAGTATTCCATGGTGTATATGTGCCACATTATCTTTATCCAGTCTATCATTGGACATTTGGGTTGGTTTCAAGTCTTTGCTATTGTGGATAGTGCCACAATAAACATACATGTGCATGTGTCTTTATAGTAGCATGATTTATAATCCTTTGGGTATATACCCAGTAATGGAATTGCTGGGTCAAATGGTAATTCTAGTTCTAGATCCTTGAGGAATCGCTACACTGTCTTCCACAATGGTTGAACTAATTTACACTCCCACCAACAGTATAAAAGTGTTCCTATATCTCCACATGCTCTCCAGCATCTGTTGCTTCCTGACTTTTTAATGATTGCCATTCTAACTGGTGTGAGATGGTATCTCACTGTGGTTTTGATTTGCATTTCTCTGATGGCCAGTGATGATGAGCATTTTTTCATGTGTTTTTTGGCTGCACTGATGTCTTCTTTTGAGAAGTGTCTGTTCATATACTTTGCCCACTTTTTGATGGGGTTGTTTTTTTCTTGTAAATTTGTTTGAGTTCTTTTT
The DNA here is from genome assembly GCF_000001405.40 of Homo sapiens. NCBI lineage: Eukaryota > Metazoa > Chordata > Mammalia > Primates > Hominidae > Homo > Homo sapiens. Next base: position 73,706,668 of record NC_000023.11, on the reverse strand, counting down.
AGATTCTGGATATTAGCCCTTTGTCAGATGGGTAGATTGCAAAAATTTTCTCTCATTCCGCAGGCTGCCTGTGCACTCTGATGGTAGTTTCTTTTGCCATGCAGAAGCTCTTTAGTTAAATTAGATCCCATTTGTCTATTTTGGCTTTTGTTGCCATTGCTTTTGGTGTTTTAGTCATGAAGTCCTTGTCCATGCTTATGTCCTGAATGGTATTGCCTAGGTTTTCTTCTAGGGTTTTTCTGGTGTTAGGTCTAACATTTAAGTCTTTAATCCATCTCGAATTTATTTTTGTATAAGGTGTAAGGAAGGGATCCAGTTTCAGCTTTCTACATATGGCTAGCCAGTTTTCCCAGCACCATTTATTAAATAGGGAATCCTTTCCCCATTGCTTGTTTTTCTCAGTTTTGTCAAAGATCAGATGGTTGTAGATGTGTGATGTTATTTCTGAGGCCTCTGTTCTGTTCCATTGGTCTATATATCTGTTTTGGTACCAGTACCATGCTGTTTTGGTTACTGTAGCCTTGTAGTATAGTTTGAAGTCAGGTGGCATGATGCCTCCAGCTTTGTTCTTTTTGCTTAGGATTGTCTTGGTAATGTGGGCTAGTTTTTGGTTGCATATGAACTTTAAAGTAGTTTTTTCCAATTCTGTGAAGAAAGTCATTGGTAGCTTGATGGTGATGGCATTGAATCTATAAACTACTTTGGGCGGTATGGCCATTTTCATGATATTGATTCTTCCTATCCATGAGAATGGAATATCCTTCTATTTGTTTGCATCCTCTTTTATTTCATTGAGCAGTGTTTTATAGTTCTCCTTGAAGAGGTCCTTCACATCCCTTGTAAGTTGGATTCCTAGGTATTTTATTCTCTTTGTAGCAATTGTGAAAGGGAGTTCACTCATGATTTGGCTCTCTGTCTGTTAGTGGTGAATAGGAATGCTTGTGATTTTTGCACATTGATTTTGTATTCTGGGACTTTGATGAAATTGCTTATCAGCTTAAGAAGATTTTTGCCTAAGACGATGGGGTTTTCTAAATATACAATCATGTCATCTGCAAACAGGGACAATTTGACTTCCTCATTTCCTAACTGAATACCCTTTATATCTTTCTCTCACCTGATTGCCCTGGCCAGAACTTCCAACACTATGTTGAATAGGAGTGGTGAGAGAGGACATCCTTGTCTTGCACTGGTATTCAAAGGGAATGCTTCCAGTTTTTGCCCATTCAGTATGATATTGGCTGTGGGTTTGTCATAAATAGATCTTATTATTTTGATATGTGTTCCATCAATACCTAGTTTATTGAGAGTTTTTAGCATGAAGGGCTGTTGAATTTTGTCAAAGGCCTTTTCTGCATCTATTGAGATAATCATGTGGTTTTTATCATTGGTTCTGTTGATGTGATGGATTACGTTTATTGATTTGTGTACATTGAACCAGCCTTGCATCCCAGGGATGAAGTTGACTTGATCGTGGTGGATAAGCTTTTTGATGTGCTGCTGGATTCTGTTTGCCAGTATTTTTTTGAGGATTTTTGCATCGATGTTCATCAGGGACATTGGTCTAAAATTCTCTTTTTGTTGTTTCTGCCAGGCTTTGGTATCAGGATGGTACTGGCCTCATAGAATGAGTTAGGGAGGATTCCCTCTTTTTCTATTGATTGGAATAATTTCAGAAGGAATGGTACCAGCTCCTCTTTGTACCTCTGGTAGAATTTGGCCGTGAATCTGTCTGGTACTGGACTTTTGGCTATTAATTATTGCCTCAATTTCAGAGCCTATTATTGGCCTATTCAGAGATTTGACTTCTTCCTGCTTTAGTCTTGGAAGAATGTATGTGTCCAGGAATTTATCCATTTCTTCTAGATTTTCTAGTTTATTTGCATGAAGGTGTTTATAGTATTCTCTGATGGTAGTTTGTATTTCTGTGGGATCAGTGGTTATATCCCCTTTATCATTTTTTTATTGCATCTATTTGATTCTTTTCTCTTTTTTTCTTTATTAGTCTTGTTAGCAGTCTTTCAATTTTGTTGATCTTTTTAAAAAACCAATTCCTGGATTCATTGATTTTTTGGAGGGTTTTTTGTGCCTCTATCTCTTTCAGTTCTGCTCTGATCTTAGTTATTTCTTGCCTTCTGCTAGCATTTGAATTTGTTTGCTCTTGCTTCTCTGGTTCTTTTAATTGTGATGTTAGGGTGTCAAGTTTAGATCTTTCCTGCTTTCTCATGTGGGCATTTAGTGCTGTAAATTTTCCTCTACACACGCTTTAAATGTGTCCCAGAGATTTTGGTATGTTGTGTCTTTGTTCTCATTGGTTTCAAAGAACATCTTTATTTCTCCCTTCATTTCGTTATTTACCCAGTAGTCATTCAGGAGCAGGTTGTTCAGTTTCCATGTAGTCGTGTGGTTTTGAGTGTTTCTGAATCCTGGGTTCTAATTTGATTGCACTGTGGTCTGAGAGACAGTATGTTGTGATTTCTGTTCTTTTACATTTGCTGAGGAGTGCTTTACTTCCAACTATGTGGTCAATTTTAGAATAAGTGCGATGTCGTGCTGAGAAGAATGTATATTCTGTTGATTTGGGGTGGAGAGTTCTGTAGATCTCTATTAGGTCTGCTTGTTGCAGAACTGAGCTCAGGTCCTGGATATCCTTGTTAACCTTCTGTCCCATTGATCTGTCTAATATTGACAGTGGGGTGTCAAAGTCTCCCATTATTATTGTGTGGGAGTCTCAGTCTCTTTGTGGGTCTCTAAGAACTTGCTTTATGAATCTGAGTGCTCCTGTATTGGGTGCATATATATTTAGGATAGTTAGCTCTTCTTGTTGAAATGATCACTTTACCATTATGCAATGGTCTTATTTGTCTCTTTTGATCTTTGTTGGTTTACAGTCTGTTTTATCAGAGACTAGGATTGCAACCCGTTTTTTTTTTTTTTTTTTGATTTCCATTTGCTTGGTAGATCTTCCTCCATCCCTTTATTTTGAGCCTATGTGCATCTTTGCTCATGAGATGGGTCTCCTGAATACAGCACACTGATGGGTCTTGACTATCCAATTTGCCAGTCTGTGTCTCTTTTAATTGGGGCATTTAGTCCATTTACATTTAAGGTTAATATTGTTATGTGTGAATTTGTTTCTGTGATTATGATGTTCACTGGTTATTTTGCCCATTAATTGATGCAGTTTCTTTATAACATCGATGGTCTTCACAATTTGGCATGTTTTTGCAGTGGCTGTTACCGGTGTTTCTTTCCACGTTTAGTGCTTCTTTCAGGAGCTCTTGTAAGGCAGGCCTGGTGGTGACAAAATCTGTCAGCATGTGCTTGTCTGTAAAGGATTTTATTTCTCTTATGAAGCTTAGTTTGGCTGGATATGAAATTCTGGATTAAACATTCTTTTCTTTAAGAATGTTGAATATTGGCCCCCACTCTTCTGGCTTGTAGGGTTTCTGCCAAGAGATCCGCTCTTAGTCTGATGGGCTTCCCTTTGTGGGTAACTTGGCCTTTCTCTCTGGCTGCCCTTAACACTTTTTTCTTCATTTTAACCTTGGTGAATCTGACGATTATGTGTCTTGGGGTTGCTCTTCTTGAGGAGTATCTTTGTGGTGTTCTCTGTATTTCCTGAATTTGAATGCCTGCCTTGCTCAGCTGGGGAAGTTATCCTGGACAATATCCTGAAGAGTGTTTTCCAACTTGGTTCCATTTTCCCCATCACTTTCAGGTACACCAATCAAATGTAGATTTGGTCTTTTCACATAGTCCCATATTTCTTGGAGGCTTTGTTCATTTCTTTTTACTCTTTTTTTCTCTAACCTTGTCTTCTCACTTTACTTCATTAATTTGAGCTTTAATTACTGATACCCTTTCTTCCACTTGATCGAATTGGCTGTTGAAGCTTGTGCATGCATCACTAAGTTCTCGTGCCATGGTTTTCAGCTCCATCAGGTCATTTAAGGTATTCTCTACACTGTTTATTCTAGTTAGCCATTCATCTAATATTTTTTCAAGGTTTTTAACTTCCTTGTGATGGGTTTGAACATCCTCCTTTAGCTTGGAGAAGTTTGTTATTACCGATCTTCTGAAGCCTACTTCTGTAGTCATTCTCCATCCAGCTTTGTTCCATTGCTGGCGAGGAGCTGTGATCAGAGGTGCTCTGATTTTTAGAATTTTCAGCTTTTCTGGTTTGGTTTCTCCCCACCTTTGTGGTTTTATCTACCTTTGATCTTTGATGTTGGTGACCTACAGATGGGGTTTTGGTGTAGATGACGTTTTTGTTGATGTTGACACTATTCCTTTCTGTTTGTTAGTATTCCTTCTAACGGTCAGGTCCCTCAGCTGCAGGTCTGTTGGAGTTTGCTGGAGGTCCACTCCAGACCCTGTTTCCCTGGGTATCACCAACAGAGGCTGGAGAACAGCAAATATTGCAGAACAGCAAATATTGCTGCCTGAGCCTTCCTCTGGAAACTTTGTCACAGAGGGGCAGCTGCCTATATGATGTGTCTATTGACCACTACTGGGAGATGTTTCCCAGTTAACTACACAGGGGCCAGCGACCCACTTGAGGAGGCAGTCTGTCCGTTTTCAGAGCTCAAATGCCATGCTGGGAGAACCACTGCTCTCTTCAGAGCTGTAAGAGAGGGAGGTTTAAGTCTGCAGAAGTTGTCTACTGTCTTTTGTTCAGCTATGCCCTGCCCACAGAGGTGGAGTCTAAAGGATGTACTCAAGGCTAAGACTTCAAAGTGGAGTCAGGAGATTGTGAGATGATTGCACCCTCACCTGCTGAGTAAAGCCACAGGATGTTCCAATAGACCTGGATAATAACAGAAGTCAGTATCCTCCAGCCTTTAACATCTCTCAGCTGGGAGTACCCTAATAAAACAATCAAAATGGGTTTGCAATTTAGGATTTCTGCATAGCCAAAGAACTGTCTTTGAAGACAACTTTTATGGAGAGCTGGTAAGGAAAAACCTTTCCTGAGCTTCTTTTTTTTTTCACTTTGCACAACGTATTTTTATTTTTATTTATTTATTCATTTTTCTTATTATTATTATACTTTAAGTTTTAGGTTACATGTACACAATGTGCAGGTTCGTTACATATGTATACATGTGCCATGTTGGTGTGCTGCACCCATTAACTCGTCATTTAGCATTAGGTATATCTCCTAATGCTATCCCTCCCCACTCCCCCCACCCCACAACAGTCCCTGGTGTGTGATGCTCCCCTTCCTGTGTCCATGTGTTCTCATTGTTCAAGTCCCACCTATGAGTGCGAACATGCAGTGTTTGGTTTTTTGTCCTTGCGAACGTTTGCTGAGAATGATAGTTTCCAGCTTCATCCATGTCCCTACAAAGGACATGAACTCATCATTTTTTATGGCTGCATAGTATTCCACAGTGTATATGTGCCACATTTTCTTTTCTTTTATTATTATTATACTTTAAGTTTTAGGGTACATGTGCACAATGTGCAGGTTAGTTACATATGTATACATGTGCCATGCTGGTGTGCTGCACCCATTAACTCGTCATTTAGCATTAGGTATATCTCCTAATGCTATCCCTCCCCCCTCTCCCCATCCCACAACAGTCCCCAGAGTGTGATGTTCCCCTTCCTGTGTCCATGTGTTCTCATTGTTCAATTCCCACCTATGAGTGAGAATATGCGGTGTTTGGTTTTTTGTTCTTGCGACAGTTTACTGAGAATGATGATTTCCAGTTTCATCCATGTCCCTACAAAGGACATGAACTCATCCTTTTTTATGGCTGCACAGTATTCCATGGTGTATATGTGCCACATTTTCTTAATCCAGTCTATCATTGTTGGACATTTGGGTTGGTTCCAAGTCTATGCTATTGTGAATAGTGCTGCAATAAACATACGTGTGCATATGTCTTTATAGCAACATGATTTATAATCCTTTGGGTATATACCCAGGAATGGGATGGCTGGGTCAAATGGTATTTCTAGTTCTAGATCCCTGAGGAATCGCCACACTGACTTCCACGATGGTTGAACTAGTTTACGGTCCCACCAACAGTGTAAAAGTGTTCCTATTTCTCCACATCCTCTCCAGCACCTGTTGTTTCCAGACTTTTTAATGATCGCCATTCTAACTGGTGTGAGATGGTATCTCATTGTGGTTTTGATTTGCATTTCTCTGATGGCCAGTGATGATGAGCATTTTTTCATGTGTTTTTTGGCTGCATAAATGTCTTCTTTTGAGAAGCATCTGTTCATATCCTTCGCCCACTTTTTGATGTGGTTGTTTGTTTTTTTCTTGTAAATTTGTTTGAGTTCATTGTAGATTCTGGATATTAGTCCTTTGTCAGATGAGTAGGTTGCAAAAATTTTCTCCCATTGTGTACGTTGTCTGCTCACTCTGATGGTGTTTTCTTTTGCTGTGCAGAAGCTCTTTAGTTTAATTAGATCCCATTTGTCAATTTTGTCTTTTGTTGCCATTGCTTTTGGTGTTTTAGACATGAAGTCCTTGCCCATGCCTATGTCCTGAATGGTAATGCCTAGGTTATCTTCTACGGTTTTTATGGTTTTAGGTCTAACGTTTAAGTCTTTAATCCATCTGGAATTAATTTTTGTATAAGGTATAAGGAAGGGATCCAGTTTCAGCTTTCTACATATGGCTAGCAGTTTTCCCAGCACCATTTATTAAATAGGGAATCCTTTCCCCATTGCTTGTTTTTCTCAGGTTTGTCAAAGATCAGATAGTTGTAGATATGCAGCATTATTTCTGAGGGCTCTGTTCTGTTCCATTGATCTATATCTCTGTTTTGGTACCAGTACCATGCTGTTTTGGTTACTGTAGCCTTGGAGTATAGTTTGAAGTCAGATAGCGTGATGCCTCCAGCTTTGTTCTTTTGGCTTAGGATCGACTTGGCAATGTGGACTCTTTTTTGGTTCCATATGAACTTTAAAGTAGTTTTTTCTGATTCTGTGAAGAAAGTCATTGGTAGCTTGATGGGGATGGCATTGAATCTATAAATTAACTTGGGCAGTATGGCCATTTTCACGATATTGATTCTTCCTACCCATGAGCATGGAATGTTCTTCCATTTGTTTATATTCTCTTTTATTTCATTGAGCAGTGGTTTGTAGTTCTCCCTGAAGAGGGCTTTCACATCCCTTGTAAGTTGGATTCCTGGGTATTTTATTCTCTTTGAAGCAATTGTGAATGAGAGTTCACTCATGATTTGGCTCTCTGTTTGTCTGTTATTGGTGCATAAGAATGCTTGTGATTTTTGCACATGATTTTGTATCCTGAGACTTTGCTGAAGTTGCTAATCAGCTTGAGGAGATTTTGGGCTGAGACGATGGGGTTTTTTAGATATATAATCATGTCATCTGCAAACAGGGACAATTTGACTTCCTCTTTTCCTAATTGAATGCCCTCTATTTCCTTCTCCTGCCTGATTTCCTAGAACTTCCAACACTATGTTGAATAGGAGTGGTGAGAGAGGGCATCCCTGTCTTGTGCCAGTTTTCAAAGGGAATGCTTCCAGTTTTTGTCCATTCAGTATGATATTGGCTGTGGGTTTGTCATAGATAGCTCTTATTATTTTGAGATATGTCTCATCAATACCTAATTTATTGAGAGTTTTTAGCATGAAGGGCTGTTGAATTTTGTCAAAGGCCTTTTCTGCATCTATTGAGATAATCATGTGGTTTTTGTCTTTGGTTCTGTTTATATGCTGGGTTACATTTAGTGATTTGCGTATGTTGAACCAGGCTTGCATCCCAGGGATGAAGCCCACTTGATCATGGTGGATAAGCTTTTTGATGTGTTGCTGGATTCTGTTTGCCAGTATTTTATTGAGGATTTTTGCATCAATGTTCATCAAGGATATTGGTCTAAAATTCTCTATTTTTGTTGTGTCTCTGCCAGGCTTTGGTATCAGGATGATGCTGGCCTCATAAAATGAGTTAGGGCGGATTCCCTCTTTTTCTATTGATTGTAATAGTTTCAGAAGGAATGGTTCCAGCTTCTCCTTGTACCTCTGCTAAAATTCGGCTGTGAATCCATCTGGTCCTGGGCTTTTTTTGGTTGGTAAGCTATTAATTATTGCCTCAATTTCAGAGCCTGTTATTGGTCTATTCAGAGATTCAACTTCTTCCTGGTTTAGTCTTGGGAGAGTGTATGTGTCGAGGAATTTATCCATTTCTGCTAGATTTTCTAGTTTATTTGTGTAGAGGTGTTTATAGTATTCTCTGATGATCGTTTGTATTTCTGTGGTATTGGTGGTGATATCCCCTTTGTCATTTTTTATTGCATCTATTTGATTCTTCTCTTTCTTCTTTATTAGTCTTGCTAGCGGTCTATCAAGTTTGTTGATCTTCTCAAAAAAACCAGCTCCTGGATTCATTGATTTTTTGAAGGGTTTTTTGTGTCTCTATTTCCTTCAGTTCTGCTCTGATCTTAGTTATTTCTTGCCTTCTGCTAGCTTTTGAATGTGTTTGCTCTTGCTTCTCTGGTTCTTTTAATTGTGATGTTAGGGTGTCAATTTTAGATCTTTCCTGCTTTCTCTTGTGGGCATTTAGTGCTATAAATTTCCCTCTACACACTGCTTTGAATGTGTCCCAGAGATTCTGGTATGGTGTGTCTTTGTTCTCATTGGTTTCAAAGAACATCTTTATTTCTGCCTTTATTTTGTTATGTACGCAGTAGTCATTCAGGAGCAGGTTGTTCAGCTTCCATGTAGTTAAGCAGTTTTGAGTGAGTTTCTTAATCCTGAGTTCTAGTTTGATTGCACTGTGGTCTGAGAGACAGTTTGTTATAATTTCTGTTCTTTTACATTTGCTGAGGAGTGCTTTACTTCCAACTATGTGGTCAATTTTGGAATAGGTGTGGTGTGATGCTGAAAAGAATCTATATTCTGTTGATTTGGGGTGGAGAGTTCTGTAGATCTCTATTAGGTCCGCTTGGTGCAGAGCTGAGTTCAATTCCTGGATATTCTTGTTAACTTTCTGTCTCGTTGATCTGTCTAATGTTGACATTGGGGTGTTAAAGTCTCCCATTATTATTCTTTGGGAGTGTAAGTCTCTTTGTAGGTCACTAAGGACTTGTTTTATGAATCTGGGTGCTCCTGTATTGGGTGCATATATATTTAGGATAGTTAGTTCTTCTTGTTGAATTGATGCCTTTCCCATTATGTAATGGCCTTCTGTGTCTCTTTTGATCTTTGTTGGTTTAAAATCTGTTTTATCAGAGAGTAGGATTGCAACCCCTGCCTTTTTTTGTTTTCCATTTGCTTGGTAGATCTTCCTCTGTCCCTTTATTTTGAGCCTATGTGTGTCTCTGCACATGAGATGGGTTTGCTTAACACAGCACACTGACGGGTCTTTACTGTTTATCGAATTTGCCAGTCTGTTCCTTTTAAGTGGAGCATTTAGTCCATTTACATTTAAGGTTAGTATTGTTATGTGTGAATTTGATTGTGTCATTATGATGTTAGCTGGTTATTTTGCTCGTTAGTTGATGCAGTTTCTTCCTAGCCTCGATGGTCTTTACAATTCGGCATGGTTTTGCAGTGGCTGGTACCTGTTGCTCCTTTCCATGTTTAGTGCTTCCTTCAGGAGCTCTTTAGGGCAGGCCTGGTGGTAACAAAATCTCTCAGCATTTGCTTGTCTGTAAAGTAATTTATTTCTCCTTCATTTATGAAGCTTAGTTTGGCTGGATATGAAATTCTGGGTTGAAAATTCTTTTCTTTAAGAATGATGAATATTGGCCCCCACTCTCTTCTGGCTTGTAGAGTTTCTGCTGAGAGATCAGCTGTTAGTCTGATGGGCTTCCCTTTGTGGGTAACCAGACCTTTCTCTCTGGCTGCCCTTAACATTTTTTCCTTCATTTCAACTTTGGTGAATCTGACAATTATGTGTCTTGGAGTTGCTCTTCTTGAGGAGTATCTTTGTGGCGTTCTCTGTATTTCCTGAATTTGAATGTGCTATGGTGGTTTGCTGCATCCAGCGACCTGTCATCTACATTAGGTGTTTCTCCTAATGCTGCCCCTCCCCTAGACCCTCACCCCTTGATAGGACCTGGTGTGTGATGTTCCCCTCCTTGTGTCCATGTGTTCTAATTGTTCAACTCCCACTTATGGGTGAAAATATGTGGTGTTTGATTTTCTGTTCTTGTGTTAGTTTGCTGAGAATGATGGTTTCAAGCTTCATCCATGTCCATACAAAGGACATGAGCTCATCCTTTTTTATGGCTGCATAGTATTCTGTGGCGTTTATGTGCAACATTTTTTTTTATCCAGTCTATCATTGATGGGCGTTTGGGTGGGTTCGAAGATTTTGCTATTGTGAACAGTGCTGCAATAAATATACGTGTGCATGTGTCCTTATAGTAGAATTACTTATAATACTTTTGGTATATACCCAGTAATGGGATTGATGGGTCAAATGGTATTTCTGGTTCTAGATCCTTGAGTAATTGCCACACCGTCTTCCACAATGATTGAACTAATTTACACTCCTACTAACAGTGTAAAAGCATTCCTATTTCTCCACATTTTCTCCAGCATCTGTTGTTTCCTTTCTAATGATCTCCATTCTAACTGGTGTGATATGGTATCTCATTGTGGGTTTGATTCGCATTTCTCTAATGACCAGTGATGATGAGCTTTTTATCATATGTTTGTTGGGTGCATAAATGTCTTCTATTGAAAAGTGTCTGTTCATATCCTTTGCCCACTCTTTGATGGGGTTTTTTCTTGTAAATTTAAGTTCTTTGTAGATTCTTGGTATTAGCACTTTGTCAAATAGACAGATAGCAAAAATTTTCTCCCATTCTGTAGGTTGCCTGTTCACTCTGATGGTAGTTTCTTTTGCTGTGCAGATACTCTTTAGTTTAATTAGATCCCATTTCTCAATTTTGGCTTTTGTTGCCATTGCTTTTGGTGTTTTAGTCATGAAGTCTTTGCCCATGCCTGTGTCCTGAATGGTATTGCCTAGATTTTCTTCTAGGGTTTTTATGGTTTTAGGTCTTACATTTAAGTCTTTAATCCAACTGAGTTAATTTTTGTATAAAGTGTAAGGAAGGAATCCAGTTTCTGTTTTCTGCATACGGCTAGCCAGTTTTCCCAACACCATTTATTAAATGGGGAACAATTTCCCCATTGCTTATTTTTGGCAGGTTTGTCAAAGATCAGATAGTTGTAGATGTGCAGCATTATTTCTGAAGCCTCTGTTCTGCTCCATTGGTCTATATCTGTTTTAATACAATACCAAGCTGTTTTAGTTACTATAGCCTTGTAGTATAGTTTGAAGTCAGGTAGCATGATGCCTCCAGCTTTGTTCTTTTTGCTTAGGATTGTGTTGACTATATGAGCTCTTTTTTGGTTCCATATGAAATTTAAAGTAGTTGTTTCTAATTCTGTGAAGAAAGTAAATGGTAGCTTGATGGGGATAGCACTGAATCTATAAATTACTTTGGGCAGTAGGGCCATTTTCATGATATTGATTTTTCCTATTCATGTGCATGGAATTTTTTCCATTTGTTTGTGTCCTCTCTTATTTCCTTGACCAGTGGTTTGTATTTCTCCTTGAAGAGGTCCTTCACATCCATTTTAAGTTGTATTCCTAGATATTTTATTCTCCTTGTAGCAATTGTGAATGGGAGTTCACACGATTTGACTCTCTATTATTGGTGTATAGAAATGCTGTGACTTTTGCACATTGATTTTGTATTCTGAGACTTTGCTGAAGTTGCTTATCAGCTTAAAGAGTTTTTTGGCCGAGACGATGGGGTTTCTAAATACACAATCATGTCATCTGCAAACAGAGGCAATTTGACTTCCTCTCTTCCTATTTGAATACCTTTATTTTTTTCTCTTGCCTGATTGCCCTGGCCAGAACTTCCAATACTATACTGAGTAGGAGTGGTGAGAGAGGGCATCCTTGTCTTGTGCCAATTTTCAAAGGGAATGCTTCCAGCTTTTGCCCATTCAGTATGATATTGCCTGTGGGTTTGTCATAGATAGCTCTTATTATTTTGAGATACGTTCCATCAATACCTAGTTTATTGAGAGTTTTTAGCATGAAGCCTGTTGAATTTTATCACAGACCTTTTCTGCATCTATTGAGATAATCATGTGGTTTTTGTCATTGGTTCTTTTGATGTGATGGATTACATTTATTGATTTGCATATGTTGAACCAGCCTTGCATCCCAGGGATGAAGCCGACTTGATCATGGTGGATAAGCTTTTTGATGTGCTGCTGTATTTGGTTGCATTTTATTGAGGATTTTCGCAGCAATGTTCATCATGAATATTGGCCTGAAATTTCCTTTTTTTTTTTTTTTGTTATGTCTGCCAGGTTTTGGTATCAAAATGATGCAGGCTTCCCTCATAAAATAAATTAGGGAGGAATCCCTCTTTTTCTGTTGTTTGGAATAGTTTCAGAAGGAATGGTACCAGCTCCTCTTTGTACCTCTGGTGGAATTCAGGTATGAATCTGGCCCTGGGCTTTTTTTGGTTGGTAGGCTATTAATTACTACCTCAATTTTGGAACTTATTATTGGTCCTTTCAGGGATTCGACTTCTTCCTGGTTTAGTCCTGATAGGGTGAATGTGTCCAGGAATTTATCCATTTCTTCTAGGTCTTCTAGTTTATTCACATAGAGGTGTTTATAGTATTCTCTGATGGTAGTTTGTATTTCTGTGGGATCAGTGGTGATATCCCCTTTATCATTTTTTATTGTGTGTATTTGATTCTTCTCTTTTTTCTTCTTCATTAGTTTGGACAGTGGTCTAACTATTTTGTTAATCTTTTCAAAAAACCAGCTGCTGGATTCATTGATTTTTTGAAGGATTTTTTGTGTCTCTATCTCCTTCAGTTCTGCTCTGATCTTAGTTATTTCTTGTCTTCTGCTAGCTTTTGAATTTTTTGCTCTTGCTTCTCTAGTCCTTTTAATTGTGATGTTAGGGTGTCAATTTTCTTTCTCTCCTTTTTTCTCTTGTGGGCATTTAGTGCTATACATTTTCCTCTAAACAGTGCTTTAGTGGTGTCCCAGAGATTCTGGTACATTGTGTCTTTATTTTCATTGGTTTCAAAGAACTTATTTATTTCTGCTTTAATTTAGTTACTTACGCAGTAGTCATTCAGGATCAGGTTGTTCAGTTTCCATGTAGTTGTACTGTTTTAAGTGAGTTTCTTAATCCTAAATTCTAATTTGATTGCACTGTGGTCCGAAAGATTTTTTTTTATGATTTTCATTCTTTTGCATTTGCTGAGGAGTGTTTTACTTCCAATTATGTGGTCAATTTTAGAAGAAGTGCCATGACATGCTGAGAATAATGTATATTCTGTTGATTTGGGGTGGAGAGTTCTGTAGATGTCTATTAGTTCTCCTTGGCCAGAGCTGAGTTCAAGTCTTGAATATCCTTGTTAATTTTCTGTCTCATTGATCTGTGTAATATTGACAGTGGGGGGTTAAAGTCTCCCAATATCATTATTTGTGAGTCTAAGTCTCTTTTTAGGTCTCTAAGAACTTGCTTTATAAATCTGAGTGCTCCTGTATTGGGTACATATTTAGGATAGTTAGCTCTTCTTATTGCATTGATCCCTTTAGCATTATGTAATGCGCTTCTTTGTCTTCTTTGATCTTTGTTGATTTACAGTCTGTTTTATCAGTGACTAGGATTGTAACCCCTCCTTTTTTTTTGCTTTCCATTTGCTTGGTAAATATTCCTCCATCCCTTTATTTTAAGCCTATGTGTCTTTCCACGTGAGATGGGTCTTCTGAATACAGCACAGCAATTGGTCTTGACTCTTTATCTAATTTGCCAGTCTGTGTCTTTTAATTGGGGCATTTAGCCCATTTATATTTAAGGTTAGTATTGTTATGTGTGTATTTGGCAATTTTATTCCTACATTTTTTTTTTGCCTGCACCCAGCCCCAATTAGCAGCTCTAAGTAATGTGTCTGTTAATTCCTGCTCTTATTTCTCCTCATCTATCCAGCAGAAGACATGCCCAGTTTCAGAATGTATCTCCCACACCTTTCCTAAATCAATTTTGCAATACAGACTTCATACTCATTCAACCAATAATCAATTTATAGAAACCAATATGAAGGAAATGATCAGATTGAGGCAAAGATTTCTGTATAAAGATGCTCATGAAGTCATTATTCATTGTCGTAAAATACTGAAAACTGACGAAATACCAAATAATGGGAAATAATGAAATTATAGTATATTCACACATTGTGCTGCTATATAACCATAATTTAGTTTTGAAGAATAGATATATGGAAAAATGTTAAAATGTAAAAACAGTATTCAATAGACAATATAATTAACTACCAGTTACATATTTACTGGTAGTTAATAATATTAACTACCAGTATTTACTGGTATATACTAACATATAATTTAATGGTATATACTAATATATAATTAACTACCAGTTATATATGTACTGGTAGTTAATATATAATTAACTACCAATATTCAATAGACAATGTAGTTAACTACCATTTGACCCAGCAATCCCATTACTATTAAAGGAACTATTACTAGTAAAGGAATAGACCCAGCAATCCCATTACATTTGAAGGAACTATTACTATTAAAGGACTAGAAATCATTCTATTACAAAAATACATGCACATGTATGATTATTACAGCACTATTCACAATAGCAAAGACATGGAACCAACCCGAATGCCCATCAATGATAGACTGGATTAAGAAATATGGTGCATATACACCATAGAATAGTATGCAGCCATATAAAAGAATGAGATCATGTCCTTTGCAGGGACATGGACGAAGCTGGAAGCCATCCTCCTCAGCAAACGAACACAGGAACAGAAAACCAAACACATGTTCTCACTCATAAGAGCTGAACAAGAACACACGGACACAGGGAGGGGAATAACACACACCAGGGCCTGTCGGGGCAGGGAGGGAGGGAGAGCATCAGGATAAATAGCTAATGCATACCGGGCTTCATACCTAGGTGATGGGTTGACAGGTGCAGCAAACCACCATGGTACACATTTACCTATGTAACAAACCTGCACGTTCTGCACCTGGAACATAAAATAAAAATTTTAAAAAGTACTATATGCATATACATAAGTAATACAGTGCAATTTTAAAACATTAAAATGGCAGTAGATGGTTGGGTTAATGATATTAATTTTCTTCTTCATAATTGCTATTAGAAAATGTATTATTATAATAAAGAAAAAATTCTGTTAACAGCCATATCTCTCATTCATCAGACACTAATACAGGCCTTATGGAAAAAAAAAAACCCTAATTTAGTCCTGGTTGCAGTGTCTAAACTTAATGAGTTAAGCCTATTTTTGAAATAAGAAATTTTCATTTAGATTAATGCCAATTTGGTTCAATGTAATGTAAGAAAAAAATCCCAATCAGTAGTCTTATCCACATAAGAAAATAAAAGGCAGGTTTTATAGATTCCCACCAAGAGTTTTTTTAACCATGTTAATATCGCCTTGGGCAATATCACCCTTGGGAGATAACAAAGCCAATGCTGCTTTGGGTGGCTGACCAAACTTTTGCTGAAAAGATATGAAGTAAAAAAACGGTTCTAAAATAATGTGTTGGTCTTCCCAGCTTGTGGCTATGCTTCACTAAAAGGAGTCTGTGATGTCACTATTCTATTTGAAAGCTTAGCAAGTTTCATAAACAGCATCCATTCATCATCATACACACACTTTCAAAGGCATAACGATTTCAAATACCCCAATGTTCTAAGAATCATTTCATGGAAACTCAATGTCAGAATTAGATGAGACTTTAGAGATTGTCTCTAAGGGATCTCAGGGATCATGAAATCCAGTGCCCACAATCACCAGATAACAACAATGAATGAAGCAGGTCATTTTCAAAATGCTTCCTTTTCACATACATACACAGCAGTCTCTTCATTTCCATCTCCCTCAATTTTTGTAAATAATATATGTAGCTATCATGGTCTGTATTTTTTTGATATTGAAAGGAACATGGGTTTAAGAAATATTTTGCTTTCCTTTTAACTGAATCATAAGAAAACTTGGATTTCAGAAAGATAAGAGGGAATGGTGGTGACCATGGCAAAACAGAAAATAAATCTTCCATCTAAAAGGGACAGGCTGTTACTCAGCTCTAGCTAATTGTCCATATGTGAAATTCAAAGAAAGCCAGAAATCTGGATTTCTATATGAAGACTTTTAAGTTTGTTATGATGTGTAAAAGAAATTCTGTATGTCAAAAACACATGTCTGAGGACTGGATACAGCTCAGCTTACAACCTTGATCTAGCTCAACCTCCTACCTTGGGTATGACAGACAAAATTAGGCTCACTGAGTGTACTAAGTTTTCGCTAGAGGTAACCTAGGTGACCACGGATTTTAACTCAAATTCCTAGTAATTATAACTGGAGCATTCTACTATCCCCCAGAGAATTTCCTACATTTATGTAAGTGAAGTATCTTATGAAGCACTAAGTATTTAATAATAGATGTAATGTCATGTGGCTTCTGCCCTCAATGTAAAGTTGAATGTAAAAGTATTTCCCACATAGCATATTCTACTTCACATCTAAGAAGTCATCAATAAAAGTATGCTTTTTTGCCCCATCCATATAATAAAGCTTTGAAAAAAAATTTAAATAATTATGAAACTTTTATATAAGTTTAAGTGTGTTATCATCTCTGCTTTAACATTTTGAAATTTATAATCTTTTTGAAATATTCGGTAAAATTACCAAATATATTGGGAAATATTAATGTTTGTCTTGTATATGTTGAATTTGCAAAAATTAGGCATAACCTTAAAAAATCTATTATTGCATGAAATCAGCTTGAGTAGTAACTGAAGTAGAAGATATTAACACTTGAATTTCTTACACAGTCTGAAGAAGTGTCAAAACGTTTGCCAAGTAGCTTCACATTTCCACATCCCTGCACTAAAAATTTATGCTCAATAAGGTGGAACTATACTTATACTTAAATTTTACAGTTTATAGGTAGCTATGCAGGGTAAATGCAAAGTCATTTAGAAATAACTTCCTACTTAGCCAAATGCCAAACGCTGGGAACAACACAGGTCTCCAAACCCAATATACAAGCAAAGCTCATGTTACTGTGCTTCATTTTGTTGTGCTCTGCAGATATTGTGGATTTTACAAATTGAAGATTTGTGGAAACTCTGCATTGAGTAAGTCTATTGGCACCATTTTTTTCGAACAGCATGTGCTCACATCATGTCTCTGTCACATTTTGTTAATTCTTAAAATATTTCAAACTTTTTCATTATTAAAATCTGTTATGGTGATTTATGATCAATGATCTTTGATATTACTATCGTAATTGTTTTGGGGGACCATGGACTGCACTCATGTAAGATTGCAAACTTAATAAATGTTGTGTTTTGACTGCCCCACTGATGTGCTGTTTCCCCAGCTCTCTTCCTCCTCAGGCCTCCCTATTCCCTGAGACAAAATAATATTGAAATTAGGCCGGCTAATAACCCTAAAATAGCCTCCCAGTGTTCAAGTGAAAAAAAGAGTTGCATGTTTTTCACTTTAAATCAAAAGCTTGAAATGATTAAGTTTAGCAAGGAAGGCATGTCAAAAGCTGAGAGAAGGTGAAAGCTAGGCCTCTTTCACGAGTTAGCAAATTGTAAATGCAAAGAAAAATGCCTTAAAGGAAATATAAAGTGCTATTCCAGTGAACACATGAATGATAAGAAAGCAATACAGCCTTATTGCAGATATGGAGAAAGTTTTAGTTGTCTGGATAGAAGATCAAAGATCCAACTAGCCACAACACACCCTCAAGCCAAAGCTTAATCCAGAGCTAGGCCCTAATTCTCTTCAATTCTATGAAGGCAGACAGAGGTGAGAAAGGAGCAGAAGAAAAGTTTGAAGCCAGCAGAGATTGGTTCATAAAGTTGAAGGAAAGAAGTTTTCTCTATAAAAGTGCAAGGTGAAGTAACAAGTTATCCAGAAGAGTTAGCTAAGATCATAGATGAAGTTGGCTACACTAAATAACATATTTTCAATGTAGGCAAAACAGCCTTATATTGAAAGACGACACCATCTAAGACTTTCATAGCTAGAGAGGGGAAGTCAACGCCTGGCTTCAAAGCTTCAAAGGACATGCTGACTCTCTTGTTAGGGGCTAAGCCAATGCTCGTTTATCATTCCAAAAATCCCAGGACCTTTAAGAATTATGCTAAATCTTCTCGGCCTGTGTCCTACAAATAGAATAACAAAGCCCGGATGACAGCATGTCTGTTTACAGCATGGCTTACTATTTTAAGCCCACTATTGAGACCTACTGTTCAGAATAAAAAAGATTCCTTTTAAAATATTACTGCTCATTGACAATGCACTTAGTCACCCAAGCTCCGATGGAGATGTACAAGAAAATTAATGTTGTTTTCATGACTGCTAATACAATATCGATTTGGCAATCCACGGATCAACAAGTAACTCAACTTTCAAGTCTTTTTAAGAAATACATTTTGTAAGGCTATAGCTGCCATAGATAGTGATTCCTCTGATCGATCTCTGGGCAATGTAAATTGGAAATCTACTGGAAAGGATTTACTGTTCTAGGTGCCATTAAAAACATCTGTGATTCATGGAAGGTCAAAATATCAATGTTAACAGGAGTTTGGAAGACATTGATTCCAACCCCTCAAGGATGACTTTGAGTGATTCAACACTTCAGTGGAGGAAGTAACGGCAGGTGTGGTAAAAACAGCAAGAGGATTAGAAGTAGAGCCTGAAGATGTGACTGAATTGCTGCAATTTCATGATAAGGCTTGAATGGATGCTCATCTTACAGATTAGCAAAAAAGTGGTTTCTTGAGATGGAATCTACTCCTGGTGAAAATGCTGTGAATACTGTTGAAATGACAACAAATGATTTAGAATATTACATAAACTTAGTTGATAAGTAGTAGCTAGGTCTGAGGGGACTGACTCCAATTTTGAAAGTTCTGTGGGTAAAATGCTATCAATCAGTATTGCATGCTGCAGAGAAATCTCTTGTGAAAGGAAGAATCAAGCAATATGGCAAACTTCACTGTCTTAGTTTAGGAGATTGCAAAAGCCACCCTAACCTTCAGCAATGACCTGCCCCATCAGTCAGCAGCCATCAACACTGAAGCAAGACCCCCCACAAACAAAAATATTATGACTCATGGAAGGCTCAGATGATCACTAGTATTTTTTTAGCAATACAATATTTTAAATTAAGATATGTACATTTTTTAAGAAATAATGTTATTGCATACTTAATAGACTACATTATAGTGTAAACACAAATTTTATATGCACTGGGAAACCCCAAAATTTGTGTGACTTATTTTGGTTGTCTGGAACTGAATTCACACTTCTCTGAGGCATGTGTTTATAGCATAAAATACTTACAGGATTGAACGTTAACACTAGTATATGTGGAAAAAGGCCAGATATAAAATGCAATTTTTAAAAGGAAGCCTAAATTAATTGCCTTATAATGATGGACATATAGGGAAGGGAAGAAAGGAAGATGCATAAAAAAAACACAGAATTCAATTCATTAACATAGATTTACACTTTATTTTAAATTTGCATCCTGAGATAATAAAATTTTATCTGACAAGTGAACAATGACAGAAGCAGCAGTGAAAGTTTCGGAGAGGCAGGTATCCTTCATTTTGGCACAGCTGTATATAGATTGAGTTTTTCCAGGGAAGTCATTCCTGGACTCAAGGGAGAAAAAATGAATTCATTCCACAGGCTATGTAACAATGCAAGATGCATGAAAGTTCTTAGTTTGGATGAACATATCCGCTATTATTCTTTTCTGGTAAAGCTGTCCCAACAGGAATCCTCTGACAAAAAGTTGAAATCCTAGGCTTCTCCACCAGATATTTTTATCAATGCCCACTCTCTAGTTACCTGGATATCCTGTTCTTGCAGCCAGATTCATATTTGTATGTGGTTAGTCCAAGGAGGGCAAATTCGCTCGTAGATTATATACTTTCAAACACTTGTTACTTGTTTCAAAGTCCAGGCATTAAAACAATTTTACACTATTTGCGTACTAGAAAAAATGGAAAATAAAAAGTCGAGATAAAAACAAAGAAATAAAAGAACATTTGAGAAATTATTGCCTTGATTCATCATGTTGAATTTATACACAGAACTACTTTAAGAGTCAGAAATTGATATTTAGTCCAATGCTAGAATATGACATTATAACATTTTCCACATTTGTAATCCTATATGTGTGTGTATGTATGAGCAACATGTACACACCTAAATAAATTAGGCCAGTGATATTCTAAAACAGAAAAAAAACTGAAGGCAAATTCTAACCTGAAGTTATATAGCCTAATATAGCCAAAACACACAAACACACACATTTCATTATTTAGAGACTAGGTAAGCAATCTGTGGAGGGGGTCAAATAATCTTAGTTCCTTTATAAAAGTGGTTCCCAACATTTTCACCATAAGAATCCCTTCATTATTCTTTTCCCATGTTCCCAAGTATTTAATAAGTTGCACATAATAGGATTTCTTATTTTATTATTAATCAAAAACATACTGCCATTCACAGCTTTTGAGAGAATATAGGCAAAATGAATGGAAATTCAATGTCTTAATTGACTTGTGAAGCAGGAATATTATGGGTAAATGTATAATTTCTAATATACTTTTTGAAATATTACAAAAAGCTCAAGGATACCCTCCACTGCTATCATCTGCTGAAGTTGGGAATCACTGATTTACATCCACCTGCTTTTCCTCCCTAAGTATGTATTAACATAATACAATTACCCACGTTTAACACATAGGAGATTAATAACAAAATTTACTATTAAAACAATAGACCAAGTGCAATAGTCATTCTGTAGGACCTGACTGAAAAAGAAAACATAGCATGGATTTAAAGAAATCTATTTAGAAATTATATAATTATGATATCCAGTATATCTTTCAGTCAACTTCAAAGCACACTAATATATGAAAATATCCTCAATTCCCCTGTGAGGTAGGTCCAGATTATTGTCCCCACTTCGACAATGAGGACGTGAGGTACAGAGGAATTAAGCAGCAGAGCCAATAATTAAACCAGAAGTGACTTGTATTTGAGTCCCATACCACTTTCCTTTCCACCTAATTTTATCAATTTGTTCCAACAGATCTTTTTGAGGGTATGGAATTTGATTAGACACTAAAGTAAATGTTGGATAGGATATGAAATCTTTACATAAATGCCAAAGTGGGTCCTCCAATATTTCCATTGTTGTTACAGCTAAAATTCTTGCCTGAATACCAACTGCATAGACAGATTCTACACAGGCAAAGGACACAGACCTCAGTGCTCAGTTCCTAGGAAAACTACATTTACTCTTAGCATCACCAAGGAACTAAGGTCTAGCAAGCATCAGGTTCTTGGAGTCTGTGTGATAATTAACACGTCAGCCAGTCGGCAAATCAAACTTTTACTGCATGCAAGGCACTGTGAGAGTTTCCACCAAGGACAGTAGATCTGAGAATAATCATTCTGAGATTCTATAGAGTAAAAATGTCCTAAGAATTCCTTGAATCACAGAATGTTAAGTGATCTCTAATTTTTTGTCCAGCTCTAGGTTCCACCTCATCATTTTACAGAAGAGACAGACATGCAATTAAGATGACCTGCCTGGAGCCCACAATATTAGATCATTTCCTCATATAGTATGAATTTGACAAAGTTCACAGAAAATGGAACATACTCACAGGGTGCCATCAAAACAAAAAGGCTGGCTCAGAATCAGGTAAGAAAAATTTGGGGCAAGATAAGATCATTCATTTTTACATACAGATATATATCAATTGTTTTAGTCCACATACTACATGAACAGGTATTAATAAAACCTATTCATTTTTATGGAAAATTTCCCAATTGTTTGCTATTTAAAGGAACCCAAATAATTTGACAGTTGTTGCAAAATATTTTTAAAGTATACTTTTATAGGCATGAGAATCTAATTTCAATAAATTTGAGCACTTATAATCAAATTAGCAAAAAGTATTTCTACTATGTGAAACTGCTCCAGTTAATCAGGTGAATATAATTTCTATATCCTCCTAGGTCAATATAGTACATTTTAATACAATATTGTTTGGGAGCTTTATGTTCAAGTAGTGAGGTTTTATTTTTTTAAATGGCAGCTTATTTGTAAACAAAATAAAAGTGCTAATGATCTTTTAAAGCTTTCATACATTTGTTCAAAGGCTTACACGTTTTTAAACTTTATTCAAATTTCATCAAAAATGGTAGATAAAACAGTTTGATTGCTCAGATATTAGTGTTTACAGGCCATAATAATATGAATAGTATGTACATTAAATACTTAAATGGGTTTTGGTGGGGCTTTAATCAAAGACAACTGTCCTTCCAGAACTAAATTAAATTACATGTTTACTAGCATTAGAATTATACTGTTTTTTTAAGTGACTGATAGTCCGGTTCTGTAATATTTTGTCACTAATATATCATGATTGGGGAAAAGGAAGGAAAGAAGCTTTACATAATAAATAAAAGATAATACACTAGTAAAGTATTCTTAGACCTAGTTGAAAAGGATGATTTCTAATCTAATCATCTACCAATTCATTTATTATGCTTCCTTACACGTAATGTGTTATCTTTGTTCTAAAAAGACAAGGCACTTCTCCATCTTCTTCTAAAGTTTTACTACAGTGGTCTCTTTCCTAAATTAGCATTAGGAGGGAACAAAGAGTGGAGACATATCTGGGATGGAGTTAATAAATCTGTAAATAACACTTGCCCATATTAGTTATTAGGAATAAACATGTTATTGGCTTTTAGGACAAGCTTAAAAATAGCCAGTTGGACAAATTTATGAAGCCAGAATCTTGGGCCAAATGAGAAACATTGGAACATTAATTTTAAAAAACAATTTTAGCTTGTAATCTTAAAGCCTTGTGAGATTTATATACTTTGGCAAATACATGTTTTGCTCTGGAAACTATCACAAGTTTCATAAAGGAATATTATGTAACAAAGAAATTCAAAATTACTTTCTTCAGTCTAAAAACAACTTTCACAAAAGTATGTTACTAACCTAATGGAAAATTACAAGTATGTTCTATCCTAAGCATAACAGAAAAAAGGCTCCATGGGGGAGGAATTAATCACCAGTGTGCTGTGTCATTTTAGCATTCACTGCAACCAATTTCACTGAAAACAAAGCAACCCCGCCCAAACATTACAAAATACTCAATTGCTAATCAGCCCCCTGCAAAGGAAAACAGTTTGAAAAAGTAGTCATACAAGAGAGGAAAAAAATTGGTATTTTTTTGGGTAGTTGAAGAAACTAAGATGAGTCAACCAGCATAGCGAACAATAAAATAATAAACTCGAGTGATTAGAATAGGCTTTAAAATTAAGTTTACACATGCTGACAAGTGGTTTTTGTGACAAATGCTACTGTAACTTGTATTATACTGTGTCATTTCCAGATATACTGTATTCCCATTCTCAATAATTGTTTCATGGAAACAATTCACCACTTCATGCTGTTCTTTGAGCAAAACCAAGTGTGATTTATACATGGCAGAAAAAGTTCCTATGACCATCATATGATCAAATTCTAAGGTTATAGAAAAAAATAAGATTTCTAAGGATCAACACTTAAAAGCAATTTTCTATCAGTGAAAATGAGATATTTTGTATTATGCTGAAAATCGATTTTGGTATTAAAATATCACAGTTTGAAGCATAAATTTGATAACATTAGCTGGAACATAAACCTCAGATACAATTTTTCCCGACCTTAGCTACAAAACAAGACATTTGGTATACATTTTCAGAGGCTTCTACCTTGTCTATAAAAATACACCTTCAATTTTGCAGCAGGCAAACACATAATATTTGCAGGCATACACATTACTAAAGGTTAGAGATTTGGGGTGACTGAGTGGCACAGAGGTAATGGGGCACAGAGGAAGGTGGAAAAGTGTTTGTGCAAACAATTATAATCACATATAAAATAGTGTCTTCTTTTTCCTCTCTTTTTTAAACTGGTCAAGGACTGTGGATTTCAAATTAGGCATAAATTTTAAGAGTGGCTTAAAAAGGCTTGACCTTCTATGAAGAAATGATTGTTCACTTCACTGAGATGAATCTTGCCTAAAAGGTTTACTAAAAGCAGTAAGAGTAAGATGACAAAATATTACTGAGCCCTAGACACTTTTATTTTTAGCACTATGAATTACAAATAATGCCTACAAACAGGCATACATTTGCAGTTGAATTAATGTGATATAAAGCTTTCATTATACTGAATTTTCAAATTCTAGTTGTGTGGTGCTAGCAATCATTTTAATTGTGAAGAAAAATAGAGAAATATGGACCAAATAAATGTTACATATGTGCTGAATTTATAAACTAAAATACTTTTGTCTAAACACTTGTCTTTCCTCATTAATGTTTTATAAAGGATCATCAAAAACAGAATTGAGAATTTTTTTTCAATTATGAATCAGCTGCTATATACTCTTTAGCTACAGCTTCTCAAATAGTTCTCTCTCTTTCTCAAACTAGAATATCAGAACTGCAGAAAGGTGTTAGTGGCTTTCAAGAGGGTCTAGATACCTTCTGAAGATGTCTGAAATCTCAAAATACTCCTTAAAAGTCATAATTGTGTGTATTTTCAAAGGAAGAAAAGGCTAATAAATGCAGGATAGTGAGACTGTGAAATGTGTCAGATGTCAAATAGTTTTTTTGTGGGAAGGAGTAGACAACAAAATGGAAATTATTAAACGAAATGGAAAAATAAAGGTCATGGTTTCAGGTGCAATACAGAATATCTGAGATAATAATTTCAATTTTAGTCCACTTGTTACAAAGGGCAACCTTGCCCTACACCTGAAATTCTTAACATACTCATTATGGCCTTGCCATAAAACAGCATGTTAGCAGTTTCTACATTCAAAGGGATGCTTGCAAACTTCATTCATATTAAAATCTATGTAAAATTGTTGGCAATACAATAAGAGTAATGTTACATTATGTAAACCATGGCATACCACATTTTACATTATGCAAAGAGGCAATATTTACAAGTCTTTAGGAGTTTAAATATTTTATCCACTAACATAAGTGATAAAGCAAAGTGCAGGACAAAACCAGTGCCATTAATTGCATGTCCTTTAAAAGCATGTCCTTTAAAAGCAGAGTAAAACCATTTCTAAAAGCTACCAAAAGCTTATTTAAGTTTGTCCAGTAAGGGATTACAGAGCATCAAGTAGCCTAGAAAAATGATGCGAGTTTAGAAACAATGAGTATGAAAATTATAAGGCAGCATGCTCAGAACAAGTTTTTGTTTTTTAAACACCAACACTGATGATTTATCTTTAATGGCAACTATCTATATATGTATATGCACACACGCATGTGTGTGTATTTAAAATTGAGAGTGCAAAACACAAGCCTCATTGAAAGACAAAAAAGATGTGCAAATTTTCTTCATAAACCAACACAAAAGAGCGAGAAGAATATTCTACCATTATAAAGAATAAGTTGAACACAGCAAAGGAGACCATCTTCATTCCAAATCTACAAGGCACTAAGGGTAGGAAATGACAGGTAACACAGAAGTGACTGGATAAAACTCCTCAGTCAGGTCGGAATATGGGATATTTTGGTAAGAATTCTATTAGTATTACCTGCAAAATAAAAACAAGAATATATTTACAAAATATTTTTCATTTAATATAACTTATAAATAACCCAGAAAGTCTATAATCATTTTTCATAGGACAATATTTCAATCCTGAACCATATAAAGTAAGTGAAATACATGAAAAAAATATGTAAAGAACTTAAACCACAAGTTGTTATTAGATTGGCAATTTAAAAATTAAGCTGGCAAACAAAACTACTTATTGTAGCTAACAGATTTTACTATCTGATTTACAATAACTATTTGTCTAGGTTAACAGGAGCAAACTCCATTAAATTATATTATGTTTTTCCCCCACACCCCTATCTCTTTGTTAGCAAAGTAGAGATTAAAAAAATGCTATACAGATTAAAAAATGCCTTTATATTAGATTTATATATTTTTCAATTAAAGAAACTGATATTAGTTGGAGATTACTATCGTTCACAAGTTGTGAAAAATTAATGTGCCCAAATGGATTGAGTAAAACATATTAATTACAAAAGGTTTGAAAACATAATTTTAAAAAACTCGGATATTTTTGAATGTTTTATCTATAATGAATTTTAGACTTGTGGTCATATGCATATTTTCCCCAAAATTATTCAAAGTGTAGAGAGATACCATAATAATCCTTACTTATGAAACACACATGGAATGTTTATTATTAAATATGTACTACATATTGGAAGTTTGGATAAATGTAATATTTTCAATGTTAATTATGCTAAATTGATCACATTGGCTATATGTGAATTTATGTCTTATGACTAAGATTGTATAGCTTTCAGTTAAAACAAAAATTAGAACCTACAGTTTCTTCACTAAAAGTTAAATGTCAGCCAAAAAAAAAAAAAAAAGCCAGTAATAGGAATCCAGAATGCAGATATCAACTCCTATTTTATGCAAGTTTTGACAAGATTACATTTAGAAATATTTGTTCAACAGCAGCTTTCCCCACCACCACATGCTATGGTTTGTGCCTATGTTAAATGATTAAGGTTGTACAATGTTTTCATTTTAGCATACTAACTGAAACTTTTCTAAGATCCAAATGATTGTTAGCTTTCAAGATATTTTAGGTTGGCTACAAATCTAAAGAAGATAGAAGAAAACCTCTATATTTCAATGGACAAAAGTTCTGGCTGAGGAGAAAAAAGAAGGAATAGTTGACAAATGATAAACACAGGAAAATGGTACATTTAGAATGAATAAAAAAATAATTAAAAACAACCTCATACTTACATACTCCATCATATTGCTAGTTTCACATTTCCTCTTAGTCAACTTCCAGTGCAAAGCAAGCTAAGAAAGTATAGTCTTGTTAAGAATTTTTATATTAACTTAAACTAATTACAACCTATACATTTGAATAAATCACTGAAAACAATCCAGGAAAAGTACAGGATACAAAACAGAGCACTTAAAAATACCTTGTAAAGAATATATATTAAAAATTGAGTATTAATTCTCTAATCCATTCCTTTGTGGCCTAAAAATTCCCATTTTGTATTTATTTTTCAATTTAATGCTGCAAATATATGAATGGGGCACTTATGTGCTTAAAATTTCTTACCTTGTGATATAATCTGTTATTTTCCCATTCTATTAACTTCTGAATTGATCTTCTGGTCTAAGAAAAATGATCAAGACTTTGTTACAAGATGACCTGAAGAGCTTTGTAAACTATGTGCATCTATATTTTTCTGCCTACTTGTAACATCCCATTACTATCTCCTTGTTTTTCTATTAGAAATGAGAAATAAGCAATATCAGTGGCAGAAAATGCTAAAAAGGAGTAAGATTTGGATGACTATTATAATAAGATTATCTACCTATCAATCAATCAATCAGATTTTTATATATGCTTTCTAAAATGAAATATGTATGAATTTCTTTGTGTTGTGAGGCCATCCACTGGACTACTGTGAAAACCTAAACTATATACTAAGTTGAGATTTTAGTAGTCCATTTATGAATTTAATCTAGATTTTCACATAACTGTCTTAGGATTACTTTAAATAATCATCTAATGCCAAGCTAATCTAATTTCTCATGGAAAGTTTTCCTACCACAGCTCCTGGCACAATACCTGTCATATAGCATTCAGTCAAGGTCTATAGGCTGAATAAAGAAAGCCAACATATATCAGAATTTCCACTGAAAAGAACATGTTAAAAACAGCCAGTGGAAAAACTTATACTTAGAAAAATATAAATCAGAGAAGCAGTAATGTAGCAAAGAGGGGGACAGAGACTGAGTTTCTTCATTTAGAATCTGTATATTTTGTAAGGAGTACATAATGTTAAAAAAGCTTTTCAAAACATTAAAATAAAAGATGAAACCTACCTAGCCCATCATGGACATTGCCAACACCAGTGTGCCCTACCTGAGAACTAATGGACCCACCCACTGGCCCACTGCAGACACTGCCAGCACCTACGTCCTCCCCCCAGGACCCCAGGGACTATCTGGCCTGGGAGCCTGAAGAGCAAACTTCTTGGCCCACTGGGACCTGCATGCCCTGAGGGAGGGCCTGAGGACTGGCCCACCCAGGGCCTGCTGCCACCACTTTTTACACCTGCATGGCCCACCCATGGTCCAAAGACTGACATACTCAGGGCAAGCCAATGTCAGTGCCCACATGCACTATCTAGGGGATTGAGGACCAGTCTACCTGGCACTGCTGTCCCAAACAAAGCCTTACCACAGCCTCCACAATCAACTGCAGCCTGAGCCACTAAGGAACTCAAAGACACTGCTGAAACTGATTACAGCTGAAGTAATCTAAGGAGATTACACTGTGCTGCCCATGCAGAACCAAAGCCAAAGCACCCTACCCAACCAAAATTATAGATACATCTACAGGAAAAACTCGTTCTCTATGGGAGCTATTCCATACAAATGAATGAAGTGGCAATTATAGCAGATGTGGATATCAATGTAAGGACAAAAAAAAAAAAAAAACAACCTCCAAAAGGACACAATAATTTTCCAGCAACAGACTCCAAAGAAAATTAAATTTATGAAATTCCTGAAAAAGGCATTAAAAATGATCTTAAGAAAATTGAGAGGGAGGAGCCAAGATGGCCGAATAGAAACAGCTCTGGTCTACAGCTCCCAGTGTGAGCGACGCAGAAGACGGGTGATTTCTGCATTTCCAACTAAGGTACCGGGTTCATCTCACTGGGGAGGGCCAGAAAGTAGGTGCAGGACAGTGGGTGCAGCGCACCGTGTGCGAGCCGAAGCAGGGCGAGGCATCACCTCACTCGGGAAGCACAAGGGGTCAGGGAATTCCCTTTCCTAGTCAAAGAAAGGGGTGACAGATGGCACCTGGAAAATCGGGTCACTCCCACCCAAATACTGCGCTTTTCCAACGGGCTTAAAAAACAGCACACCAGGAGATTATATCCTGCACCTGGCTCGGAGGGTCCTAGGCCCACAGGGTCTCACACATTGCTAGCACAGCAGTCCGAGATCAAACTGTAAGGTGGCAGTGAGGCTGGGGGAGGGGTGCCTGCCATTGCTGAGTTAGTTGTTTGATTAGGTAAACAAAGCAGCCGGGAAGCTTGAACTGGGTGGAGCCCACCACAGCTCAAGGAGGCCTGCCTGCCTCTGTGGGCTCCACCTCTGGGGGCAGGGCACAGACAAACAAAAAGACAGCAGTAACCTCTGCAGACTTAAATGTCCCTCTCTGACAGCTTTGAAGAGAGTAGTGGTTCTCCCAGCACGCAGCTTAAGATCTGAGAACAGGCAGACAGCCTCCTCAAGTGGGTCCCTGACCCCCGAGTAGCCTAACTGGGAGGCACACCCCAGTAGGGGCGAACTGACACCTCACAGGGCCGGGTACTCCTCTGAGACAAAACTTCCAGAGGAACGATCAGGCAGCAGCACTTGCAGTTCACCAACATCCGCTGTTCTGCAGCCACCCCTGCTGATACCCAGGCAAACAGGGTCTGGAGTGGAACTCTAGCAAACTCCAACAGACCTGCAGCTCAGGGTCCTATCTGTTAGAAGGAAAACTAACAAACAGAAAGGACATCCACACCAAAAACCCATCTGTACGTGACCATCATCAAAGACCAAAGGTAGATAAAACCACAAAGACGGGAAAAAAACAGAGCAGAAGAACTGGAAACTGTAAAAATCAGAGCACCTCTCCTTCTCCAAAGGAACGCAGCTCCTCACCAGCAATGGCACAAAGCTGAACAGAGAATGACTTTGACAAGTTGAGAGAAGAAGGCTTCAAATGATCAAACTACTCTGAGTTACCGGAGGAAATTCGAACCAATGGCAAAGAAGTTAAAAGCTTTGAAAAAAAATTAGAAAAATGGATAACTAGAATAACCAATGCAGAGAAGTCCTTAAAGGACCTGATGGAGCTGAAAACCAAGGCACGAGAGCTACGTGACGAATGCAGAAGCCTCACTAGCCGATGAGATCAACTGGAAGAAAGGGTATCAGTGATGGAAGACGAAATGAATGAAATGAGGCGAGAAGAGAAGTTCAGAGAAAAAAGAATAAAAAGAAACGAAGAAAGCCTCCAAAAAATATGGGACTATGTGAAAAGACCAAATCTACGTCTGATTGGTGTACCTGAAAGTGACAGGGAGAATGGATCCAAGTTGGAAAACACTCTCCAGGATATTCTCCAGGAGAACTTCTCCAATCTAGCAAGGTAGGCCAACATTCAAATTCAGGAAATACAGAGAATGCCACAAAGATACTCCTCGAGAAGAGCAACTCCAAGACACATAATTGTCAGATTCACCAAAGTTGAAACGAAGGAAAAAATGTTAAGGGCAGCCAGAGAGAAAGGTCTGGTTACCCACAAAGGGAAGCCCATCAGACTAACAGCAGATCTCTCGGCAGAAACTCTACAAGCCAGAAGAGAGTGGGGGCCAATATTCAGCATTCTTAAAGAAAAGAATTTTCAACCCAGAATTTCATATCTAGCCAAACTGAGCTTCATAAGTGAAGGAGAAATAAAATCCTTTACAGACAAGCAAATGCTGAGAGATTTTGTCACCACCAGGCCTGCCCTAAAAGAGCTCCTGATGGAAGCACTAAACATGGAAAGGAACAACCGGTACCAGCCACTGCAAAAACATGCCAAATTGTAAAGACCATTGAGGCTAGGAAGAAACTGCATCAACTAACGAGCAAAATAACCAGCTAACATCATAACGACAGGATCAAATTCACACATAACAATATTAACCTTAAATGTAAACGGGCTAAATGCTCCAATTAAAAGACACAGACTGGCAAATTGGATAAAGAGTCAAGACTCGTCAGTGTGCTGTATTCAGGAAACCCATTTCATGTGCAGAGACACAGATAGGCTCAAAATAAAGGGATGGAGGAAGATCTACCAAGCAAATGGAAAACAAAAAAAGGCAGGGTTTGCAATCCTAGTCTCTGATAAAACAGACTTTAAACCAACAAAGATCAAAAGAGACAAAGAAGGCCATTACATTATGGGAAAGGGATCAATTCAACAAGAAGAGCTAACTATCCTAAATATATATGCATCCAATACAGGAGCACCCAGATTCATAAATCAAGTCCTTAGTGACCTACAAAGAGATTTAGACTCCCAGACAATAATAATGGGAGACTTTAACACCCCAATGTCAACATTAGACAGATCAACGAGACAGAAAGTTAACAACGATACCCAGGAATTGAACTCAGCTCTGCACCAAGTGGACCTAATAGATATCTATAGAATTCTCCACCCCAAATCAACAGAATATACATTCTTTTCAGCACCACACCACACCTACTCCAAAACTGACCACACGGAAGTAAAGCACTCCTCAGCAAATGTAAAAGAATAGAAATTATAACAAACTGTCTCTCAGACCACAGTGCAATCAAACTAGAACTCAGGATTAAGAAACTCACTCAAAACTGCTCAACTACATGGAAACTGAACAACCTGCTCCTGAATGACTACTGGGTAAATAATGAAATGAAGGCAGAAATAAAGATGTTCTTTGAAACCAAGGAGAACAAAGACACAACATACCAGAATCTCTGGGACACATTCAAAGCAGTGTGTAGAGGGAAATTTATAGCACTAAATGCCCACAAGAGAAAGCAGGAAAGATCCAAAATTGACACCCTAACATCACAATTAAAAGAACTAGAAAAGCAAGAGCAAACACATTCAAAAGCTAGCAGAAGGCAAGAAATAAATAAGATCAGAGCAGAACTGAAGGAAATAGAGACACAAAAAACCCTTCAAAAAAATCAATGAATCCAGGAGCTGGTTTTCTGAAAAGATCAA